>NT_187614.1:0-319674 GCF_000001405.40 Homo sapiens | reverse complement strand
TTTCACAAGGCTCCAGGTAATTCTGATGCATGTAAGGTTTAAAACTCACTTCCATTTCACAAGGTCCTCACCAAATTACCTCCTACTTTCTCATTTCAGCCAGTTCCACACTTCAGTCAGGGCCTGTGACTTTTAACAAACCCTGTGTCTCTGCACAGATGCAGATCTCGTATCTCTCAGGATGCTGGCAGTTTCCAGGCAGAAAGCAAACAAGCAAACCAAACTCAAAGAGGCTTTGAGTAAATGCACCTTGTGGCTCCAAGACTATAGGGCATCGAGGTGGCCCTAGCTCCAGGCAAGGCTGGACTCAGCGGCCCTGTGGTATCTCATGAGTCCTCTTTGCTTCTCTTTCTGATCTCCCTTTCCTGTGAGAGGCCCTGGGTGGCTGCCAGTACCTGCCAGTGTACATGAATCCTTGTTCATTTTCTGCAGGGAAGAGTGAGTCTGTGTTCCCATTGGAAAAAACATCACTAGGCCCTTTTGGATTTGACTGACTTAGGAACCGAATTCCTAACCAGTCGCTGTGGTTATGGGGATGGGTTTCATTGATTTGCTTAAGTTAATCAAGGCACATAACTTGAATCTTTGGGTTTACTGAATTTTACATAAACTTAAAGCCTGAGAATGGTGGGGAAGGGGGTTTGCCCTGAAGAAATGTGAGTTTCTGGCATCAGGGAACATGCAGAATAGATGCTGGTCAGGAAAAACAAGTTTTCACTATAATGTGTTTGTCTTTTTCCTGTTATTTTTGTCTTGATGATATAAAAGGCACTAATACTTTGTGTGTGGTAAACATTTCTTCTCCTATGCTCTCTAGATTAGAAACTATTAGTCGTCCACTTTCCTGAATGACTTTATTTTTAATGAGATGCTGACTTGTGTTATTTCCAGTTGCCCAATGAATGACTATTGCCCAAATCTAGGGCAAAAGAGACATAAACTCTTCATGATGTCAAGGTAACCACTAGAAAATGGGGCTACATACCCACGCCAGAACATACTGAGAAAGGTAGAACTGGCCCTGCCATAAGCACTACCCACCTTCCTTCATAGAAGCCAAAGATCGGGCACTGAGGATGCAGGAGGAGATGAGACAATTCTTAGAACAATGAGTCCTCAATAGAAATTGTCCATATTAAGGAACAGAAGGGAGTCCTTTCATAGTGGATGGACAAAGGGGTAGACAAGGAGACTGCAAGCGAAGGAGACACTTCATACTTGCCGTTTTTATTCCTCCTCTTTCCTGGGAACTGCACCCACAAAAATACATTATGTGGGATTGACCACATCCCAAATGCTAGGTGGCTCCTGATTAAAATAAGCTGATTTGCATCTTGAGTTTTTTAAGCTTACCATAACATAAGCATTTCTCATGTCACTGCATTGTTTGTAAAGGCTGCCTAATAGCCAATTAAGGGAAGAGCCCATAATTTTCTTAGCCATTTCCATATCATAGGCAATTTAAATTGGGTCCAATTTTAAGTTGCTATAAATATGCTGGGGACCAAATACACTTATGCATTGTTCATTTTTTCCATATTTGAATTTATTTCTATGGAGAATAGATTCCTAGACATGGACCCTCTTGGCCAAAGGCTAAGAACATTTATTTCAAGGTTCCTTATGCATATTAGCACCCATATTAAACACATCTTTAGGTCCTTGGCTTAGCGCATATCTCTCTTGAATGAACAGATGTCTGAAAGCCTGGCTGTACTCTCATCGCTCAGTAGCTCAGGCTTTGCTAATACAGCTCTGTCCATCTGTGTGTGATTGAAGTTGGGCTGTGCTGCTCAGGACTCCTGGCATCGTTGCATAAGTCAAGTCTACACCGTTAGAACAGCTGTGGGATAACAGAGAAGTTTCTGCTCTGCCAGGGAAAATATGACTACAGAGCTTTAGTGAGAAGGAAGTAGCTAAGTGTGGTCTGGGGTAACACCAATATCTCACCTCCTGTTGCTGTGGAAACCACTTCCCCACAAACAGCCCCAAGACAAGTGAGCACTTGAACTGTTCCTGCAAATACCCTGAGCCCTGTGGTTACCCAAGACCCCCTTGCATGTGCAAGTCAACAAGACACCACGGTGCTTAAAAAACATCCTGTCTCATGAGCCCCGGTTTCCATCTTCCCATGACTCAGGGCTTACCTCTTTAGAGAAGGGGACACAGCTCAGACCCCACAGCTGGTGACTGAGTGCCCAAGTCCTATCCTCTTCTGCTCACACTCTTGGGCCCTCACGTCCTCCTCTCTCACGATGCCCCCCTGTTCCTGGGCCTCCTCTCACGAGTCAGTCTTTGTCCTGCCTTTTGCTGTTGTTCCCTGCACTCTCTGGCTGGGGTCAAACCACATCGCCAAAGTCCAAGGACAGAGGTACCCAAGTGAAACAGAGAACTTCCTAAGGGATTTTCAAAATGCCCTGGGCTATCTGTTCAGGAAGATTTTCTTCCCCAAAGTGTTTTCACTTTCTATTCTATAAACCTTAAAGGCAGGGTACGGTCTTGTCCTACTTAGTGAAGGAGAACATTGAGTAGGTTTCAATAAGGGGCAGAACCCAGCTACAATCGCTTCCTGGTGGCCAGCTGAGTCATAAAATTGCCACAGGTCTGCCTCACAGGTGATTTGCAGAGATGGCCTCTTGCTGGAAAAATTTCTTCTTAGACCATATTATGTTCCCCCAGTAGAGCTGGAATAAGAGGCAGACTATCTAACTAGCTGCAATTTCTACAGAGGGAGATGGAGGCCAAACCTAAGGCTCAAACAGAAATGGAAGGGAAAAGTGGGGAAACAAGAAATCCCCAACTTCCTGCTGGTTCTTCTCACCCCCAAATCTCCAACTTCCTGCCAGTTCTTCTCATCCCCAAATCATCCCCTGAACAGTGCTGTCTCCATCTACTTCCTTCTGATTTTATCACTGGGTAGAAGGAGTTGGCTCACTTGTCCCCAGTGAAAAATGACTCAGGGTCACGCTGCTCCTTCCCTCAGAATGCCCAGGTCCCCAAGCACCCAGGCATCTGCTGCTTTTCCTAGGATCCCCAGAAGCCCCCTAGCAAAATGGTAGATGGCAATTATGAGACTCACTGCTGGTGCCAGGCGAGGGCTGGTGCTTCTGCCCATCTCTGGAGAGAAGCAGGACTTGGAGGGTGGCAGCCTGCAAGGGCACCAGTCGGTTTGAGGGCCATCCTGGGGACCCCAGGCCTTTGAGGTCCTATCTGGTGGTGGGACACAGGGAAGGGCCATAGAGGTGTTTTCTGGCCTGACCTGGGGTCTGCAGGGAACCAGGGAAGAGCTGCCCCTGGCAGAGGGAAGAGAGGAGGAAGTGTTAGCAGGAGGAGGCTGCCTGAGGAGACCGCCTGAGCCACTGAGGTAAAGTCTAGGGAGCTGAGGTTGGGCAAAGAATCTTGAACAAGTGGATAGGCCCTATGCTTGCCAAGACAGAGATGGGAAGGCAGCATGGGACCAGGAATTCTCTTGCTGATTCCTCAATTTTTATAACTGTCTCTTTTAACAGCTTCCAGAATGAAAGTGGCTGAGGCTGGCATGTCTGTGCCAACCCCACCAAGTTCTGGTGCCAAGTGCATCATTGATCTCAGAGTCAAATCCCTGAGTGACCTGGAAGCAACAAGACACTGTTACGTTTGTGGCAGATTAGGAAGCAGGGACCCAGGCCCTAGGGACGTCCCTTCAATTCCTGAACCTACCCCTACCCAAGCAACCACACTCTGGGACTCTTCTTAACATGCATTTCAACTTATCTAGACTATTTAATTTTTGTAATGTATTTCTATGCGTTCTTGACTGCTTGTCAGAAGGGACCTCACAACACCCTCTACGCCCCTTCCTCAGCCCCTCCAGTCACACAGCGGCTGACACATATTCAGGCACATGGCTATTCTTTGTGGCTCTCATACAAGGTGGGTGGCTACGTTCAGCTTTTTCTAGAGGACATTGTTCCAAAGCTGTCAACCAACAAATATTTATAGAACATTATTTACCATTTCTATGTTCAGCTATGTAAAATAATGAATTTGTTTTGAGTAAACCAGTCTTAAACTGTTGGTGATCCTATTGGCTTTGTTTTGTGACAAAGCAAGGTGGTGGGATGGGAGGGGAAGAGTAGAAAACTCTGAAGAGGGGAAGTCAACAGAAAGGAAATGACGGTAATGCCTCTCCCCAAATAATGAAACACTACTTTATAAAACAAGGATTATTTTATAAAATATTATGCACCCAGTGTATAATGCATATGCACTAGGTAAATTCATGCTTGATATATATATTCATGCATTTAAGTTTATTTTTCTCATGGGTCAAGCTCTCTTAAAAATTATTCATTGTCCTTCAAATTCTAACAATGTCTCCAAGGGCTAAGTATTATTAATATTCCCATTTGATAGAAGAGGAAATGTTGGCTCAGAGGGTTAAAACAACTTGTCCAAGGCCATGCAGCAAATAAATAGTGTAACTAATATGCAAACCTATGAGCATTCCAGAACCACCTGGGATGGTCGTTTAAAATGCTCACAAGAGAATTGGGTTTGGATGTGGGAATCTAGACTTTTACCAAACCCCTATGTGATATACATACAGACCAAAGACCAAAAACTACTGAATTTCTCAATAAAACTGGTTTTTGTTTTTTTGTTTGTTTGTTTGTTTGTGTTTTTGAGATGGAGTCTTACTTGGTCACCCAGGCTGGAGTGCAGTGGTGTGATGTCGGCTCACTGCAACCTCCACCTCCCAGGTTCCAGTGACCCTCCTGCCTCAGCCTCCCAAGTAGCTGGGATTACAGGTGCATGGCACTACACCCGGCTAATTTTTGTATTTTTAATAGAGACGGGTCTTCACCATGTTGGCCAGGCAGGTCTTGAACTCCTGACCGGAGAGATCCGCCTGCCTCAGGCTCCCAAAGTGCTGGGATTACAGGCATAAGCCACTGTGCCCGGCCTCAATAAGAATTTAACCACTCTTTTAAAAATAAGACACACATGGTAATAGACATCTTACCTGGGTATTATTTCCCTAGAATCCATGCTCCACAAAATCAGTGGTTAACATTAGAGAAAGGAAAGACAGTCAGCCAATATATACAACAAGACTTCTATTGTGAATGCAGAATTATTTGACGGATTGCCTAGATTGAGGTTAAGAAACTATGGTCCTCAGAACAAATCTAGCATGACCCTGTTTTGTAAATAAAGTTTGGTTGAAACACAGCCACTCCTGCCCTTTTACATATTATCTATTGCAGCTTTCCCAAGACAAAGGTGGAGTCACATTGTTCTAACAGAAATGATATAACCCACAAAGACACCAGTATTTACTATCTGGCCTTCTATAGAAAATGTGTGCTAACTTCTGGCCTGTTATGTTTTTAAGTATAAGAAAGTTAGACTGAGTCAGGATTCCTGCTGTAAAATGCAAGTGGGAGAAATTCAACATACTTGTGAGAAATGCAAAATATATTAACTTTTTGATAAGCCCTACTTACTTTGTGTGTTTAAAACAATCTATTTTTTAGTATCAAAAAGTGACATTTTGATAATCGGCATTTTTGAAGAGAAATTACACAGTCTGTAGAAAAATTTAAAATTTACATACTCTTCAATCTTATTTCTAGGAATCTATTTCAAGAAACACTATCTAAAGAAACAAAGGAGGGCCAGGTGCAGTGGCTCACTCCTATAATCCCTGCTCTTTGGGAGGCCAAGGCAGGTGGATAGCTTGAGGTCAGGAGTTGGAGACCAGACTGGCCAACACGGTGAAACCTCATCTCTACTAAAATACAAAAATTAGCCGGGCATGGTGGAAGGCGCCTGTAATCTCAGCTACTTGGGAGGCTGAGGCAGAAGAACTGCTTGAACCCAGGAGGCAGAGGTTTCAGTAAGCCGAGATGGCACCACCGCACTCCAGCCTGGGTGGCAGAGTGAGACTCTGTCTCAAAAAAAAAGACACAAAGTGTTGGCACATTGCTGTTGTTTGCAGCTCTGTTTGTAAAACAACCAATAGAAATAAATTCTTTAAAAGATGAATAGTTTAAACCATCGTGGTATAACCACATAATAAACACAAAATTACTGAAAAGAATGAAGTGGATATACATAGTGAAATGAAAGGTATCTAAGATATTAATGTAAAACTATGTATATAGAATATACATTCCATATGTGTATCTCTATACCAATATCTATATTACCACATATTTATTATATAACTGTACATATAATAATATTTTGCTTTGGTAAAAGCTATATATATTTACATAAACATAAGAAGGACATTTGATGTGTGTGATATATCCCAATCTATTAAATGTGATTTCCCTGGCAACCATAACTTTTAAGAAATGAGGATCTCCACTTTTCATTTTCCATTCTTTGTGCTTTGATTTTCATAAGTATGAGTATGTGATTTTTAACTCAAAAACCAAGATTTGAGAAGCTGGGGCCTTGCACTAAAAACTGGTTCTCTCTTAGTCCTCTTGAACCACTTGCTCTGGGTCCCTCATTGAGGGGACAAGCTTTGCAGATTTCAGTCTAGTTCAGAGAACTTCAGGAATGCTCGCTGCTGTTATGTTACCCATTCTATGAAGAGATCAAGGCAACAAACATGTCCTGTCTAGACCCAAAGAGTACATTTTGACTCTCTCTCTCTCTCTACACACACACACACACACACCCACACAAACACACCTGCATAAATAGCTTCTCTCATGCAACATTTTATATTCCCTTCCAATTTTGAGATATTCCTCCTCTAGCCCGTCATAGCAAACCAGCTAGGGCAAGTGTGGGGGCATTATCCGGAATCATGATAGTAGCCATCTCTGCCTTGGTGAAGCCATAGAGTCTCATTCTTTCTTCCCCTAAGGCCTCTCAACATCTGATGACTGGCACCATTGGCCCATGAACTTTAAAATATTTCAAATAGATCTAGGATTTATTTCACATCTCAACAACATGAATATTGCATAAATCCTTCGTATATTAGATGAATACTAAACTGACAGCCTATTATAATCGGGGGAAAGGAAAAGCAAAAGATTCTAATAGACTGCAAGTTCACATTGGCTAGGTCTCTTTCCTTGGTTAACCTCTTTTTTAAGAGTAAGTGGCAGACAAAGTAGGGTTCACTAAATAGTCCACATGTTCCCCTTCATGGCATTTGCATTGGGCTCTTGTGGCTAATTTTGGCCAATGAATTGTAAGATTAAGTGAAGCATGTCACTTCTGGACCAAGACAGTTAAAAGCAGTATGCCTTTTCTGTCTTCTTTCTCATTCCAGAATCTACAGCTACAGGATGGAAGCAGCCTGAATTCCTGAGTCACCACCTGGAGGAGAGCTGCTCTAGGATCAATACTGCTCAGAGTGTAGTTCATGGGTCAGCAGCATCAGGATCACCTGAAACCTCATTAGAAAGGCAGAATCTTGAGTCTTACCAAGACCTGTAGAATCAGAGTCTCAGGTGGAACCCAGGAATCTGTGTTTAGACAAGCCCACCAGTGGATTCTGATGCAACTAAATTGTGAGATCCAGTGATCTAGCCCACATCAGATTTTGTATGAGTGGAAAACTTTTACCTTGTTAGACCACTGGGAGTTTGTTTGTTATCTAGGTACAACCTATTCTATCCTTACTTATATATAGACTATAAACATAAAATGCTTAACTGTTCTCCAATCATCAGCTCCACCTTAACATCTTGGGGAGATCCTATCACGTTTTGGTCACATCCAGTTATTAAAATTCCTTCAGTTTAGAACCCTAATCTTAAATTTGACTTAACTAACATTTCTACTTCTTCCTTTCTCCTCGCCCTTCACCAGAGCAAAACAGGCTCTGGTAGTTGGAGTGTGATGAAGCTTTAGTTTGGTTCTGAGATACCCTCTCTCCTTCTCTTTTTAACTCCTCTGGCATGTTGGAAAGAGGGGTTGTCTGTGTGGGGTAATATAAAGAGAAAATTTTGCTGGTTGTGGTGGTTTGTACCTGTAATCCCAGTGCTTTGGGAGGCCAGGGCCAGAGGAACACTTGAGGCCAGGAGTTGGCGACCAGCCTGGGCAACACAGTGAGATCCTGTCTCTACAAAAAAAAAAAAAATTTAATTAGCAGGCATTGTAGTGTGCAGCTATAGTCCTAGCTACTCAGGAGGCTGAGGCAGGAGGATCGCTTGAGCCCAGAAGTTCTAGTCTGCAGTGAGCTGTGATCACACCACTGTACTCCAGCCTGGGTGACAGAGCAAGACCCTGTCTCTAAAAGAATTTTTTTTAATTTAAATGTTTAAAAGAGAGAGGGGAAAGAATTCTTTTAACTGCCTACAGATGTAGTCCCTGCCCCCACTGCTAGGTTATCCCTGCATCTTTTAAAAAAATATTGAAGTTATGGGCAATGCATGTATATTTCCCTCGGATAGATGGGCATTCCTGAGGGTCCTCTCTCTGCATAGTTTCTTAGGTGAGAGATCCCACCCTTGCCCAACATCTTTCACCTCTCTCTTCTGCTCACACCACTGGCAGCATACCCTGGGCCTTTGCTAGCCTGGAAGACACCATTGAGCATGTTACAAAAAAGCACCATGGAGCACACCTAGCCCTGTGTGAGTGCAAGACCTTACAGGTGATGGGCAGACTGGCTTTCAGCACCCTCTTGCCCACACATCCAGGGGCCTTTGTAGACAGCGGCCCTGAGACCACCCCATCAGCTACTGCTGTTAAGATCCTTGTAAGCTAAGCAGTGGATCTCCTATTGGTAGGATGAGCACTTTAAGACTCAAAGGGGTTACTATTAATAACTATGCTGGCACAACTGGCATAAACTGGGTCATTTCCCAGACAAAATGGGACATGTGATTCCCCCAACCTTTGCGGAGTGTCACTGGGAGGATGGCTCGAGCCCAGCTCCCTTCCACAGGATCACTCGGCCAATGGAAAGCTCATTCCATGTGGTGGGAGAGCAGCCTCCAGCAATCCTTTTCCCTGCTTTGGTTCCTATCTCCTGTTTTCTTCTCCCCTGCTCATTTTGGCTCAGGCAAATCATGAGGTTCACCATGTAAGCTGACATCCAACTGGAAAATGAGTTGCCTTGTTTGCAGGTACTTCCAGTTTGTACAAGTTACCCTCTGGAGACCCCTTCACTGGGCTTCAAGAGCAGTTAGAAGTAAAGACCTCTCCTTCACAAAGGTGGAACCCACTAGGCTGGCCACTTTCTTTCCTCTTCCTATGTCTACAATGCCCTGGAAGGATTGTCTGGCCCCAGTTGTTAGTGACTTAGTTTAGAATATAAAGTCTATAATGAAAACTTAGTCTCAGATTTGGGAACTAGCCATCATTTGTGGGGCAACAGGGTATATCCCGATCAAAATCTTTTTACAAAACCGGTAAAATAATTCAGGAAAGACCAGGCACAGTGGCTCACGCCTGTAATCCCAGCACTTTGGGAGGCCAAGGCGGGCAGATCACCTGAGATCAGGAGTTCGAGACCAGCCTGGCCAACATGGTGAAACCCCATCTCTACTAAAAATACAAAAATTAGCTGGGCGTGGTGGTGCGTGCCTGTAATCCCAGCTACTCAGGAGGCTGAGGCACAAGAATCACTTGAACCCAGGAGGCAGAGGTGGCAGTGAGCTGCGATCATGCCATTGCACTCCAGCCTGGGCGACAAGAACAAAAACTGTCTCAAAAAATAATAATAATAACAATAATAATTATTATTATACAGGAAAATACAGAATGGCAAAGGGGTATATTATTACTGCATTATTAATGTAAAAATTGAGTATAGTGTTGAATAAAGTGAGAAAATCCCTAAGACAACTGGCATATAACAGGAGAGTCTGAATTGAACCCCCAATTTGGGAAGAACATGCTTGATGTGATGTAATCACAGGCAGGGGATTGGTCATCTTCACATATAAAGACAGAATTAATATGAGAAAGTTACATACATTTGGTAGATACTAGTTGGGTTCCAAGGTCTTTCTCTCTTTCTTTCTCTTTTATCCTTACATGATTCTTCGGAAAAGCAACCCCTCTGGTAGTCTGTGTGGTTTTCAGCCCATCAACATTGCTTGTTATAGACATTGATCAGCTGAAACAAATCAGTAAATCCACTTCTCTGGCCACAAAGATGAATTAAGATACAGGTTGGCAAACTTGCTCTGTAAAGGACCAAATGGAAACTACTTCAGGTTTTGTGGGTCATACAGTGTCTTTCACAACTACTCAGCTCTGCTTTGTCGTATGAAAATATGATTCATTCCAGGTAAGGAGTCCTTGCTAGACTGTGGGCTGTAAACAATACAGAAACAAATAAACCCAACTGCATTCCAATAAAACTTTTTTATGGACACTAAAACTCCAATTTCATACAATTTTCATATTTCTCAAAATATTCTTCTTTTGGATGTTTTCAATGACTTAAAATGTAAAAACATCTTAGCTCGCAGGCCATACAAAAACAGGTAGTAGGTCAAATTGGGCCCAATGGCCATAGTTTGCTGGCCCCTGGGTTAAGAGATGGGCTCTTAATCCAAGCCAGCCAGACCAATAAAAGTGGAACTCAGGCTCTTGGCTCAAAATACGAGGATACAGACATTGTCTTCCCAATTTGCTCTGGAAGTTTCTGGAAGCTATTCTGCCAATAGAGTAAATAGGATGAATATAGTAACTTCTTTCTAGGATGAAGCTCTCAAATGCAGGGAGATCAGAAATTCAGAAAGACATGTATAGTCCATAGCGAAACAAGGACCACTGAATCAAGTTTTGCCTGAAACTAATTCTATTTCTTGAAGCTTCAGTTATGTGAACTAATAAGTTCCCTTTATCATTTAAGCCAGATTGAGTTATTTTTCTGACACTGTGACTTAAACCATCCCTAACTAACATAGACTGCAATGTTGTAAGTATGGGTCCCCAAACGTGGAACTGGCTGAAGGCAGTAGCTAAGGTCAAAGTCAGTGGGGATACCTCTAGTTACCAAAATTGCTGGTTACCCCCATGGCCTGTTATATATTCTAAGTCCATCTTCGAGCCAAAGTTTTATCAAAAACGAAAATTCAGGGTATTGGAGACTATTTCTTGCATCAGTCTTAGTAAGGCCCACTAAGAAAGAAATTAACTTACTTTGAAACTGATTCTTCTGATAGCAGAGAAGGGGAAAAAAAGTAGTTTTTTAAAGAAATGTACTTTCTGCTTGCTGCCTGAAAACCAAGCTAATTAAGAATCCTGTGATCTGGAGCTTGCAGGACTAGAAGAGCAGAATTTTCCAGTCCAAGCTAATGTTAATATAAGCAAAAATGAGGAGGTGAGAGATTAGGCAGGACAGGAAAGCAGGTCCCGAAGCAGCCAAATCCACCTCCTTCTCAGATCCCACATTGTAAATATTTATCTTGATGATAAAATGAATGTATTAGTCAGTTATCCAGAAAAACAGAAACAGTAGGCTATTTCTCTCTATAGATATAGATTGGATACCAATGTTGATATAGATATAAATACCGAGATATTTATTAGGGGAATTGGCTCCCACAATTACGGAAGCCAAGAAGTCCTGCCATCTGCAAGCTGGAGAACCAGGAAAGCCAGTGGTGTGATTTGGTCCGAAGGCCTGAGAACCAGGGCAGCCAAAGTTGTCAGTCCTGGTCCAAGTTCACAGACCTGAGAAGGGGTCAAGAAGGGTAGGTGATGGTACAAGTCCCTGTCTGAGTCTGAAGGCTCAAGAATCGGAAGCGTGGATGTCAGAGGGCAGGAGAAGATGGATGTCCCAGCTCAAACGCAGACAGCAAAGTCACCCTTCCTCAGCCTTTTTGTTCTATTTGGGACCTCAGTGAATTGGATGATGCCTGCCTGCATTGGTGAGGGCAGATCTTCTTTAGTCTTCTGATGCTAATCTCTTCTGGAACACCACACAGACACACTCAGAAATGATGTTTATCAGCTACCTGGGTATCCCTTAGCTTAGTCCAGTTGACGCGTAACATTAACCATCACAATGAACAGCTGTGCTCTTTGTGAAGGTGCAGCTGTATTCATCAGAGGCAGGGAGCTAAAGACGCTGACCTTCGCACTTGTTTCACCAGCAGGGGGCAATGTGGAGTCAATACAATGGGGGAGCCGGTGGGCGGCGGAAGGGATGACCACAGAGCTCCCAGTGCTGTGCTGGAAGAGACGTGTTAAAAACCCAGTTCTAGAAATAACTGTATCTGATAGATTTTCTGCTTATGATTAACCATCCAATGGAATGAACCAAAAATAACTAGATCAGATGCCTTCAAAAATTAGAACGGAGTTGCAGTGCCTCTGAAACCTTAATGCTGGTTAAAAACAGCCTGTGACCCCACACCAACAGTGGTTCTCAAACTTGGCTGTGCATTAACATCCCCTGGGGAGTTTTTAAATTACTGATGCCAGGCCCCCACATCAATCCAATTAAATTCATAACTTTGGAGGTGAGGACCTGGCATTAGAATTTTTAAAAGCTCTCCTAAGTGATTCTAATGTGAATTCAAGGTTGAGAAGCCGTGTTCCACACTTAAGCCAAAGCCCTGTTCTACACTTAAGCCAAAGCCCTGTTCTACACTTAAGCCAAAATCAACAGACATCTCCAACAGGAAACAGACACCTCTATAAGCAGTATTCCTTCTTCAGAGGGTTGCCAGATACAATTTAGGATACCCTGTTAAATTCGAGTTTCAGAAAAAGAACAAATCATTTTTGGTACAAGTAGGTCCCAAATATTGCATGGGATATACTTACACTAAAATAGTATCCATTCTGTATTTTTATTTGCTAACTCTGGCCACCCAGCCCCAAGCCTCATCTCGTATAGTCATGGAAAACATCCTCCCCAAAAGCAGAGTGGAGAACAAAGATAACATTACCAAGGCTTTCAGCAACTTCCAGGTAAGGAGTCCTTGCTAGACTATGGGCAGTATTTGCTAGACTTTTACTAATATAAGTACTTAGCCCAAAACCCAGCACTTGGTAAGACCTCAACAGATGTTAGCCATCATTCTGAGGAAAGCTTCATTTATGAAAATGAGCTTGTGTGCGTAAATATGCATTGCAGCGTCATCTTGATATTCATTTAAGTAGAAAATTTTTCTATCACATTTCAGTTACAATATGGTTTATAAACTAATGGTGTCTGTTTCAACTTTTCAGGAAAGTATCTCCAGGGAAATGTCTGGTATGACTGTAGAAGTACTTGGTCCCTATCTTGCTGTTTCTGCCCCTTTTCATATTTCCCTACTCCTCCCCCAGAATTCCTCTCAGTCTGTGATTCCGATTAGTGAAACAAAATCAACAGAGTCGTCACAGTGAGAATGCTGGTTTACCTTTTATATAATAAGTACTGCCAATATATTAAAAGGTGGTGCTGAGCAAAACCATTCAATAAAGATTTGTCATTTGATACATATGGCACAATGTCTGCTGAGAAAGCTAATCACACTGATTGATCCATGCATTGAATGTACGAAGAGTTGAAGGGAAAGGGGAAAGGATGATAAAGACAATGTCATGAGATGTCAGAGAAAATACTAATTTCATAATGCAGCTCAACAATAGAAATCAATTTCAAAATGAAATATGATGCATAAACTAAGATTAAAGTTAGTTAATGTGGCTGGGCATAGCAGATGGGACTCTTAGAAGAGGTGGCCTCCAGGGTGGCAGGGCCATTGCCCTGGCTCAGGCTCCTGTTCCCTCCTGGGCCCACCAAGTTCACTGGGCCCTCGCAGCTTCCAGGCCCCTCAGGCATTCAGCTTCAGGTCGCTGATGTATTTCTGGACCCACTTCTTATTGGGGTCAGCACAGATCTGCCGGCCTCTCTTGGTTAGGAGGCTGTGGAGAAGGGAGGAAGAGTTAAGAACTGACGAATTCATCAGGGGAATCCTGTGGCCCCTGCGTCCTTCTCTGTCCCAGGCATCTCAGGGCCTGTCCTCGTGCCCGTAAAATTTCCCCTTAACTTCGGGGTTCACAGGCCTTCCCCAAATGTCTCAGATGGGGTTCCTCAGGAAGCAAACTTCCTGTTGTCATGTCTGCTCTCTTCCCTCTGCCCAGGGGCAGGCCCTTCAGGACTCTGCAGGCCCCAGGCCAGGTCACAAAACACTGCAGGGGCCTCCCCTGGAGTCCTTTACCTTGATGGGCCTTAGAGAGCTGAGTACTCTGAGGGGACCTCACCCCAAACCTCCCATCCTCCCTCCCGAGGGGTGGGCAGGAGCACTGGCACTTACATGACACCTGGCTTGGGGCACTGGGGGCTGGTTTCAGAATAGTCAACTATGAACTTTTGTGGAATCTGCCAGGAGGTATAGACGAGGCAGCAGAGCTCTTTGTTGGTACCAACTGCAAGAGACAGGACAGAAAGATCCCAAGTCATTGTTCACAAGGCAAGCCAGCTGCTCCTGGTCCCTTTCCTTGAGAGTCAGGAAGAACTGGGAGATATCACCGCTTGGGGTGGGGATATAGGGACAAAGAGATCCAGAAGGAAGCTGGCATTTCTTCTTTTCCCTGACATTTTAATTTCTGCATCTTTCTCTTGGTATTTCTCATTCTCTGGCTGTCTTGGTTCTGGGTCTCTATGTCTCTTTACTGGAAATTTAGTTTTCTGAGCAAACTATTTCCCATCCCATCTCTCCTTGGGGAGTTCCATCTGAATTCATAAGGACAGCCAAGGCCACACCACTGAGAACCAATTGGACCCAGATCCTACCTCTTGTCAAAATCCCCGTGGGCCTCCATTTTCTCATCCATAGAATGGGACTCACTCTCCCTCTGTCTCCCAGAGGTGGAGAACAGAGTTGCTGAAACCTCTTAGGAAGAAAAATCCTCCTCGGGAAATAGTCCCTGAAATCCCTCTGATGTTCTGTATTTGGAGGTCTTAGAGATAGACTTGGGCAGTGGGGTCCAAGCCATGGCCAGACAGTAGGGGCACAAGAGCAAAAGACAAATTCACACAAGGGACAGCGGGCCTGGGGGCAGAGGGCCTCAGTGAAGAAAAGGACAGCAAGGGCAACTGCAGGGGTCCCCAGGATGCTGGGCAGAGTGTGAGCTCCCATGGCTGCCGGGAAGAGCTGAACTCAGGACTTGTAGCCGCTGCCTCCTTCTGGGGTCTCAGCCATCTCTTCTCTTTACAGGCAGCCTTGGGGTATTAGAAGATATAAACTTGGGGAGACTGAGGAGGAATTTTGTTTCTTTTTTCATTTTTTAAACTTTTAAGTTCGGGGTACATGTGCAGACTTGTTACATAGGTAAACTCATGTCATGGGAGTTTGTTATACAGATTATTTCATCACCCAGATATTAAGCCTAGTACCCATTAGTTTTTCCTGATCCTCTCTGAAGGGGAAAATTTTTTAATCATGATATTGGTGTCATGCTGTGCATTGCACAAACCAGGAGAGCTTCAGCTCACCACAAAGATTCAGGCTATTTGCAAGAATGCTTCAGTTGATCCCTTGGTGGGGAAATGGTTTCCACAGTGAGAGGAGGTGAGATGCTGGTGTCACCCTGAGACTGGGTTAGCTGGTGCCTTCTCACAAGGGCAGGTCTTTAGATAAAGCCTTTCTCCCATTGAGCAGAACCTTCTGATAGCCTCCCCAGCTGTTCCAACAGCATAGATGTACCATGGACATCAGAGCCAGGCATGGTGGCTCATGCCTGTAATCCCAGCATTTGGAGAGGCCAAGGTGGGAGGATTGCTTGAAGCCAAGAGTGTGAGACCAACCTGAGCAACATAGTGAGACCCTGTCTCTATAAATTTTTTTTTTTTTAAAGTAGCTGGGCATGCCTGTAGTTTCAGCTTCTTTGGACGCTGAGGCAGGAGGATTGCTTCAGCCCGGAAAGTCAAGCCTACAGTGAGCTCTGATCATGCCACTGCACTCCAGCCTGGGCAACAGAGTAAGACTTTGTCTCAAATAAATAATTAGGTAAATAAATAAATTTAAACAGGTGGTCCTCCCTGAGTTTGTTTAACAGCTCAGTTGTGTCATCAAGAACTCAGGCTTCTTAAAACATCTCCCCTTCCCCCACCATTTTGTTGGCTTTTCTTATTTGAGCTTGTCACCTCGTGGTCCCAAAATGGCCGCTGCTTTCTCAGTCATCACATCCTCATAATGTCTCATCCACAAGCATACGAGGGAGTCTCATAGGAGTACAGGAAGAGCAATGTTACTAGTGTTTTTAGTTCAAATAGCTTTTTATATGATTTGTTATGTGAACTATAGATTACACCAAAAAGCAGTAAAGCTAATTTTGAAAACACATAAAATACAGAAAAGAATAAAAACTCATTTAGAATCTCAAAGCTGGGTAGGCAGCAGGCAAACGGAGGCAGGAATGTGAGAGTTTTTTTCTACATTCCCTATTGTGGCATATGTGCATTCTGATGCAAAACCTGAAAAAAAAATTTCATTGAAGGTAGGAAAAATTCTAGTACCCAAACCTAGCCACTTTTTTTTTTTAAAAAACAGTTTGGTATATTTCTTTCCAGTGCAGTTTTTTTCTAGGCTTATGATAGTACTGTTTGCTCATTTGCTTTTTTCCTTCTTCTTACTGTGTCTGGTGGGGGAAGACATTACTGTTGTCATGATACAGGTTTTAATTTTGTATTTTTTTATTTATACAGCCATGCATCACTTAATGACAAAAATACATCTGAGGAACTTGTCATTAGTCTGTTTTGTTATTGTGGGAATATCATAGACTTACACAAACCTAGATGGTGTAGTCTACCGTACACCTTCACTGTATGGTACAGCCTGTAGCTCCTAGGCTACAAAGTTGTACAGCATGCCACTGTACTGAATACTGTAGGCAACTGCAATGCAATGTTAAGTATTTGCATATCTAAACATATCTAAACATAGAAAAGGTATAGTACAAATACAGAATTATAATCTTATGGGACCACCGCTGTATAATATATGCAGTTTGTCATTGACCAAAGCATTGTTATGCAGCATATGACTGTGCTTAATATTAAAAGACTTTTCCAAATCATTCCAGTATTTTTAAGAACTGCCTAATTTACTTAAGCCTAGTGCATTAATATTGTCATGCACTACTGTAACATATGTGGGTTGGTTTCAATTTTTCCTTTTTTTTTAGATGGAGTCTCACTCTGTTGCCCAGGATGGAGTACAGTGGTGTGATCCCAGGTCAATGCAACCCCCACTTCCCAGGTTCAAGCGATTCTCCTACCTCAGCCTCCTGAGTAGCTGGAACTACAGGCGTGCACCACTATGCCCAGCTAATTTTTGTATTTTTAGTGAAGATGAGGTTTCACCATGTTGGCCAGGCTGGTCTCGAACTCCTGACCTCAGGTGATCTGCTTGCCTCGGCCTCCCAAAGTGCTAGGATTACAGGTGTAAGCCACTGCACCTGGCCAATTTTTCATTGTTATAAGTTGTGCCAAACATCTGTATGCAAAAAACTTTCTCCATAAGTGAGGTTATTTCTGTAGGATATTTTCCTAGCTGTGGGCTTCCTGGGTGAAAAAATAAGGGCATCTAAGGCTCCTGATCTATATAGACACCCCATATGTCATGCATATTCATGTCTATTACCCAGAGTCAAACCCAATGATGGCATATTGTAGGGAGCTATGAATGTTCAATGAATCAAACAGCAGTTAAAAGCCTGGCCCCATCATTCTTGTCATTCCCATAGTCCAGACTTTCCCTATTCCATTCTGTCCATTTGGGTCTGGATCAAACACAACTCGAACTACTTAAGATTCTGGGGTATCATCTTACATGTCACTTCTGTGCAATGGAAACACAACACTAGAAATATCTGTTCCATAGGAGGAAATGACCATGGTGCCATTCACAAATAGATCTGTTCTTGATAGAAGGTACCAGCTAAGCTTGGCTTCTTGGTAACACCAATTCTTGACGTCCTCCTCATGAGTTAAGCATTTCTTAGAAGCACTCCGATTAACACGATGTAATGGTCCTTTTCACCCAGGGTGTGGTTTAAATGTGACTTGTGCTGCCCAGAACGCTGTGGCATGACCATTTACATCACACCATGTGGTCAGAGGAGCTGCAGCACAGCATTAGAGAGCTGCTCTGTGGTGGAAGTGTTAATCTGAAGATCTCTCCTTGTACGTATGACTTCAACACTAACATCTCACCCTCTCTCACTGTCAAAAACATTTCTGCACATTCAGCCCCAACAAGTGAGCAGTTGAGTTGCTCTTGTACATCCTGAACCCCTGGGGGACCCAAGGTACCCCAACATGTACAACTCAGAGCAAGACACCATGCACTTAACATCTTCCCCTCTGGTCATCCCCAGTCTCCAGCTCCTCATGGTTTAGAGTTGCCTGTAAAGGGTTGAGGACATGGCTTGGACCCCAGAACGATGTAGGTGGCAGTGAGTGCCCAGTCCTGTTTTGGCATTGCCTACACTCCTCTGCCTGCCCAACACTGAACAGGTCTTCTTTGGTGCCCTCCATCTCCTCTCCATGGCCCTCAGCTCACAAGTCTCATCTGTCCCGTGAGACTCTCTTGACCCTTGTCCTTTCTTCATTTTAGAGTTGTTTCCCTATGCTCTGGACAGACATTTAAGCCATATCACTTAATTCTTGTGGATTAAGATTCTCTAAGTAAAATCAAAGAACTTCACAAAAGGTTTCAAAATGTTCTGGGCTATTTTCTGAGGACTTAGATATCTAACCTAGATCTGAAAGGCAGGAGAGGGCTAGGACCCATTGTTAGTTGGGAAAACTGGGGCCTAACTCAGTCATTCACAAGATGCAAACTCTGGGTCTAGTTGGTTCCTAGGGTGAGGAAGTGGCAGAGTTCCTTCAGTTCTCCTGAGAAGCTCTACTCCTACAGCGATTTAGAGATGATGGTCTCTTGCTGGGAAAAGTCTCTGTAGACTGAATGAAGTTCCTACCCAAAAGAGATGGAACAAAGGCCAGCCATTCCAAGAGCTATACTCCCTGAAGAGGGAGCAAGGGAGTGAGAGTAAGACAGAGGCAGAGATTTAAAAGAAACACTCAAAGTCAAGGATGAATGCCTGACTTCCTTAGTTCCTTTTGTGCCCTACTTCACAGTCCTGAGCAGTGAGGTCTTCATCAACTTCTTGCTGGTCCCTTTTCAAGAGTGGAAGAAATTTACTTGGTTTTTCTCAGGTTCTGGATGCTGGTTCCCTCACGGTTAAGGCACCCCATTGTCTCCTGCCTCTCTTATGTTTCTCCATATCCACTGCAAATTTGCTGACTCCAGCAGCTGGTGCTCTTACCCTGGCGTAATGTCAGCACCAGTCCTTCTGTCTGCAAATAGGGCATATGGAGGAGACAACCCATGGGACAAGGGACAAGGAGCACGTAAGCACAAGTAGGAGGTGGGAGCTACTATGGACTTTCATATCCAGTGTGAAGGTAAAATGAAGGTAAAATGAAGACATTTCCAAGCAAGCAAAAAATGGAGACTTCACTATCAGAAGACCCACAGTAATGAAAATACTAAGAGGATTCCTTTAGGCAGAAGAAAAGTGATTGCAGATGGAGCTCAGAGATGCAGAAGAATTTAAGAGGACAGGAAGAGCAAATATGTGATGAAAACTAAATGAATATTGACTGTATAAAGTAATTAAAATATATCATAAGATTTTAATTTTAAGACCGCTCACCACTGGTTTTATAATAGGCAACCGAAAATTTGCAGTGCATCTACTGGGAGGTGTAGGAGAAGCAGCAGATGCATGGGGTGTGAATCTTATCTGAGGGAACAAAGACAACAGGAGTTGCTCAGGAGAAGAAGCCCAGGCGGGTCACAAAGGAGCAAAGGGAGACAGCATAGCTCAGAGTTGAGGCCTGCAGGAAAAGAAAGCTGGAAATAATCTGGCTTTTTGTTTGTTTCTCCTTAATTTCCCTAGTCTTGTCTCTCCATTTTAGTCTTTATTTTACGCTACAGGGAATCAAGCTCCCTGAATAGTCTATGCCCTTCTCCTAACTCTCCTTGGGGAATTTTTTTTCTAATAGATTAAATCACAAGATAGCTGAGAAAAGTATAGACATCTTTTATGTTACCCAAGGGGTTGAACTCTAGGAGACTGCTGAGGTCATTGTAAAACTTACCAGCACCAGTGAGAACTAAATAGACCTAGATTCTACCTCACGCTAATAACCCAATGAATTAGACTTCAACCATCTCATTTATCTCAGTAGGATAAAACTTCTCTGACTCCCATCCTGCTGCCCAGATCAATAGACTGCTTTTCAACCTTCTTGAAGAAAACAATGATGTCACTTTGAAACCCCATTTGAGGATCCCTAATTTCACACGAGGGTTTTCAGGCCACAGCACTTGGAAGATGTCGCCTGACTTCTGCCCAGGGAGCCATCAAAGCACATGGATGACAGACTCACCTTGTGCACAGGAGCAGAGGGCCATGGTGCAGACGAGGACAAGGAGGGCAGCTGCAAGGCCCTTCATGATGCTGGGCAGGCAGAGAAGTGGTCAGAGTGAGCTGGGGCTTGGAAACTCACAACTCCTGGCCTCCTTCTGGGGTATGAGCTGTTGTCTCTCCTTTTTATAGGCAGACTGGACCATGGGAACATTGGAGGTGCTGATGCAAGACATTTTAACTATGGTGGTGTCATGTGAGTTCTCAGCCCAGGGTTGCCTATGGTTACTTGAAAGGTTTAGGGTACACAAACGAGTGGTTCACTTGTTGATTGAGGGGCTTATGGAGAAGTTGTATCTCCAGATGGGTGACCAGGAGTTGGAAGCACCCAGGGATTATGCTTAGGATTATGCATAATCATGTGATTATGTTTTCACATGACAGATATTTCTCAGAAATGAGTGGTCACAGCCTCCTTTGATAGAGCAGAATGCTTTAATGGATTTTCACAATTGTTTTTCCTTTTAAGAGAGTCACATGCTTCAATCTTTTATATACAGTTAGGCCTTTCGTGATCTAATGAGAAATCTTCCCCTATCCTAAGGCAATAAAGATATCCTCCTATGTTAACTTGTAGAAGCTTTATTGTTTTAGCATTAATATTTAAATTACAATCCATCTGGAGTTGATTTTTATGTTTGGTGTGAAGAAGGATTCAAGATTTATTTTTTGCCACATGAATACCCAATGGACCTTGGCAACTCATTGGTAAGACCATTGTATAAGTCAGGATTCCCCAGAGACACAGAACCAATGGTGTGTGTATAAAAAATAAGAAATTAGAGAATTGGCTCATTTAATTATGAAGGCTGACAAGTTCCAAGATCTGCAGGGTGAGCTGGCAAGCTGGAGACCCAGGAGAGCTGCTAGTGTAGTCCCAGTTTGAGTTCAAAGACCTGAGAATGGGCAGGCTTAAGGCCCAGGAAGAGATGATGTTTCAGTTTAAGTTCAAAGGCAGGAGAAAAACCTATGTCCCAGTGTGAAGGCAATCAGGCAAGAGGAATTCCCTCTTACAGGCAGGAGGGTCAGGCTTTTTGTTGTATTCAGAACTTCAACTAATTGAATGAAGCCCACCACATTAGAGAGGGCAATCTGCTTTACTCGGTTTATTGATTTCAATGATTTTGTGGTCTGCTTTTGGAATTTCTGTTCTGTTCCAATGGTTTATTTTCCTATCCTTGTGCTAATACATTATGTTAATTTGTTTTTCACTTTGAAGGAGATATCCCTGTATGCCCCTGACAACTGGACTCATAAAACCTTTCCTGAAATGACAAGTCCATAAATAGTTAAAAGATTTATCTCCCACCTCATGGAATACATACGTTTTTTTCTTTGTATTTTTCTTTCTTTCTTTCTTTTTGTTTTTGAGATGGAGTTTCGCTCTTGTCATCTAGGTTGGAGTGCAATGGCGCAATCTCGGCTCACCGCAACCTCCACCTCCTGGGTTTAAGCGATTCTCCTGCCTCAGCCTCCTGTGTAGCTGGGATTACAGGCATGTGCCACCATGCCTGGCTAATTTTGTATTTTTAGTAGAGATGGGGTTTCTCCATGTTGGTCAGGCTGGTCTTGAACTCCCGACCTCAGGTGATCCACCCGCCTCAGCCTCCCAAAGTGCTGGAATTACAGGCATGAGCCACCGCACCCAGCTGGAATACATATGTCTTACAGAGTGTCCAACATATGGCCACTTCTTGTCTATCATGCCCTATCAACATGATGTCACCAATGTAATGGATCAATGTGTTGTTTTGAGAGATACATGAAAATTCAGATCTCTTCAGACTACAGTATGCAGAAGATGAGAGTTAATAGTCCACAGGAAAACTGTAAGTGAATATTTTCCATTCTTATGAATGGGAACTTTTTCTTATCCTCTTTCCTACTTGTTATGGGACAGAATGCATTTGCCAAATCAATAGGTACATAACATGTACTTAATACCTGGCATGTGTCAGTACCTGGTTATAGAAGCTGCAATCAGGTTACTACCTGGTTGAGCTCACAGTGTTCTACAGTCATTCTCTAGGATCCATCCAGTTTCTGCAGAAGCCAGACTTGCAAATTAAATAGATATGATAATAACCATTTTCCTTGC
The DNA here is from genome assembly GCF_000001405.40 of Homo sapiens. Classification (NCBI taxonomy): domain Eukaryota; kingdom Metazoa; phylum Chordata; class Mammalia; order Primates; family Hominidae; genus Homo; species Homo sapiens. Next base: position 297,161 of record NT_187614.1, on the reverse strand, counting down.
ATTTTTTGTATCCTTAAGGGTGGCATTAGTCTCCACCATCCCCTCCACTAGATTGCAATATTGTTTCTAATCTACTCTTTTTTCCTGGGAGAAGGGGGCAGTTTCAGAGATTTCCACTTCACCTTCCCTCTAGAGATGCTTGTTCTATTAACCATTGCCACAACTCTCCATGGGTCAAGACCCCTTGATTGTCACTCCAACCTTGCTGGCTATAACGATATTTAGAACCCCTTGGCTTCTGTTTGTTAAATGCTGCTACCTAGCCTCCACTGCTTCAAGGCAAGAAAGCTCCACTGCTTCAAGGAGAGAGGGCCCCACTGCTTCAAGGAGGAAGAGCTATCAATGGGCCAAGTTTTGTGACAGCCACTCTTACCATCAGCCCTAGCCTATAAAGAAGGCGGGACCACTAACTTCTTAGAAATGCTGGTGCTCCTCTCACCAGGGAGTCCTGGTGGCTTTGGTGAATAGTGCATTCCCATGGAACATAATCTGGTGAGTCTTCTGGCCTCATGTAATGTATCCACTCCAGCATGACCACTTCCATGACTCTTTTAATCCCTTCCTTCTCCATCTGTCATGGCAATTCGGGTATTTTAACTTCACTCGGCATGAGCCATTGCTTTCTCAGGCTTCTGGAGCCTTTCTGACAACAAATCTGTACCAACCCCTGGGGTCCTTCTCAAGAGGTTACAGCCTATATCCGGAAAGAATACTCCCAAGTCAGTAAGTTATCTCTTATCGAGGCTTATATTCCAACTCCTTTTATCAAGCACCCTCAAAATCCAAACCCAAGTCTACTTCCCCTGCTCAGGCTGACACATGCTTGCTAAATTCTGCTAGTGCTTTAGAGTATAGTCCCTTTTCTCCCTTATTAGGAATATAATTTATTGACACAAGAATGTGTTACCAGAAGATATGGAAAATATGAATGGTTTCATTTCCACTAAGGAATTAAATCAATAATTAAAAACCATGGTTAGAAAACATCTTCATACCTAGCTGGTTTCATAAGCAAGTTCTACCAAACATTTATGGAAAAAATAATGGAAAGACAGCCTTTTTAACAAATAGTACCTGAACAATTGGACATCAAAGACCAAAAAACAAATCTCAACGTAAACTTCACACCTTCCACAAAAATTACTCAAAATGGATCATAGACTTCATGATCAGGGTGATTCAAACTCCCATTAAAGTTGGGGAAGTCAAATAAACTGGGACATGTGTGTTATGTAAGACATGACATTTAGAAAAAAATAAGAATTGAGCCCAGGAGGTGGAGGTTGCTATGAGCTAAGATTGCGCCAGGGCACTCCAGCCTGGGTGAGAAAACCAGACTCTGTCTTAAAAAATAAAGTAAAATAACAATAAAATAAATAGAAAAAATAATTTTAGGACCTAGGACTAGGTAAAAAAAAATTCACATTTGATACCAAAAGCATGCATAATCCATAAAAGAAAAAAGCAACAAATTAGATTTCATCAAAATTTTAAAATCTTGCTCTTCAAAAAGCCCTTGTCAAGAGAATGAAAAGACAAACTACAGACTGGGAAAAAGTAATTGCAAACCACTTAATTGACAAAGGACTTGTATTCAGAATATATAAATAATTCTCAAAACTCGAAAGTAAGCAAATGTACCATCCAGTTAGAAAATGGACAAAAAACATGAATAGACTGAGGAGAATACACAGATGGCAAATAAGTAATGGTATCTTGATTGTGTCGGGTTTTAAAATCCTTATTTTAAAGATACATACTGAAATATTGTGGTAGTCAGAATAACATTTCCCCCAAAAGAATATCCACATCCTAATCCCTGAGACCTGTACACAGCCAGAAGGAATTAAGGTTGCTAATCCTGACTTTGAGATAGGGAGAATATCCTGGAGTATCTGAGTAAGCCCAGCATAATCACAAGGATCCTTATAAGGGAGTGTCAGTATCAGACTGACACAATGTGAGAAGAACTGGACCATCCATTGCCCACTATAGCCAATCCATGTGGGCAGCCTCTAGAAGCCAATAAAGGCAAGAAATTGGAATCTCTCCTACAGCCTCCAAAAACAATTGCCACCCCACTAACAGCTTGGTTTTAGCCTAGTGAGGCCCATTTCAGACTTTTGACCTCCAGAACTGTAAGAGAATAATTCAAGTGGTTTTAAGCCTCTACATTTGTGGTAATTTGTTACAGAAGCAATAGAAACTAAAATAAATATTTACAGATAAAATAATGTTGTAGTGGTTTTTAAAGACGGCCATATTTCTGTGACACTCCTCTCATTGATAGATGAGATCTAGGTTCTCTCTCCTTGAATCTGGACAGGCTTGTGGCTGTTTTCACCGACAGACTGTAGTGGAAGAGACATGCTGTGACTTCTGTGGCTAGGTCATAAAAGGCCATAAGTATGACCCTAGTTTACTAGGAACACTCATCTTTGAGTCTCAAGGCTGCCATCTTGAAAGGGCATGTTGACGGCTCTAGTTGACAGCTCCAGCAGAGCTTGTCCTTCAAACATCCCAGTCCAGGCGCCAGACGTGTGAATGAGGATATCGTCTTAGAAGAGGATCTTACAATCCAGATAGTGAAGGTTACTTATGACAGGCTATTGTGACATCATCAGTTATATCACATCCGTATAGTTAGAGCAGTTGTGAAAGAGCATCAGCACCTTCCACTCTACAGGAGAGAAATAGGCAGCCCATGGTTCACAGATACATCCATTTTTGTGAGGGAGCCTGTGGCCATACCAAGTCCTGATCACCCACTCACTGAGGAAATTATTTCTTCAGAACAACTTGAATGGACTGAGCAAGCAATTTTCTCAGAAGTGTCCCCATTCGATGGAGAAGCTGAGCTATTCTCTCTTTTTTTTTTTTTTTTTTTTTTTTTGAGACAGAGTCTTGCTCTGTCACCAGGCTGGCGTACAGTGGCGCGATCTCAGCTCACTGCAACCTCCATCTTCCGGATTCAAGAGATTCTCCTGCCTTAGCCTCCTGAGTAGCTGGGACTACAGGCACGCACCACCACACCCGGCTAATTTTTGTGTTTTTAGTAGAGACGGGATTTCATCATGTTGGCCAGGCTGGTCTAAATCTCCTGACCTCGTGATCTGCCTGCCTTGGTCTCCCAAAGTGCTGGGATTACAGGCGTGAGCCACCGCGCCCGGCTGAAGGTAAGCTATTCTTGCATATACTTGGAACTTCTGTGTTGACCAAAGGGTGTTGGCAACCCCTGAATTATGTAACTCCCAACATGACACTAACATTCTGATTAAAATATTTTCCTCCAATCATCCCCAGTTTCTATCTTCCCACAAAATGGAACTCTCTATAAAGAGAAGGGGCAATGGCTTGAACCCAAGAAGGAGGTGCCAGCTTCAAATACGCAAGCTTGCTTGTCTTAACTATGCTGACACTCAAGCCCAGAATCCCTTGCCTGCCCAGCATCACACAGGCATTTTCAACTGTCTCCACCATTCTCCTCCCCCTATTGTGGTCCTCTGCTCCCAGACCTCCTTGGTACTGTGGGAGAGTGTCATCCCTTCTGCCTTATTCAGATGTTACCCTTTTTGGCCCCAGGTGAGACCACACCAAACATGCCCTGAAAATAAAGATCACCAGAGTTGAAAATGGAGCACTCAAAACAGGAATTCAAATCGCCCTGGCCATTCTCTTCAAAAAGTCTTTTTTTCAAAAGGGTCCAGGCTATCACATTCCACCAAGTGGTTCAGAGAGTGGGAGCAGGAGATGCTAATTTCCACTTTCCTGATAAGATAATTGAGGCCCAATTCACAGAGTAACTGGCAGCTCTATTTATTTCCCACTGGTGCATGTAAGCCTAAATTCATGTCAGCTATTCCGTAGAGGCCTGTCCTATTGGTGATATGTGACATATCCCAGCTTCATCTCTTTAGTATTGCGATATCACAGGACAGACAAATTTCCCTCCCAAAAGAGATGAACTGGAAGATGAGACATTTTAGTGAGCTAAATCCCTAAAAGAGTAAAAATAAAAATAAAAATGGAGTGATATAGACAGAGGCAAAGTAATTTGTAGGAAAGACATGTGTGTCCCAGTTCATCTGAATTCCCCAACTTAAGAAATGCTGTGTCCTTCTAGTTCCTTCTAGTTCCTTCTGATCTTTTTTGGGTTAAAGGGAGAGCAGGGGGCATGGAGAGGGGAAGTTGGTTTTCTATGGCTTCTCAATAACTCAGTCTCTTGCTGTGCCTTCTCCTACAGCTGGTGTTGACTCCACAGCCTCCTGCTGCTTCCCTTATACCCCCTAGAAGATCCCTCAAGATTTTGCAGCAGACTGTTATAAAACCTGCAGCCTGTGCTCTAAGCCCAGTGTTGTATAAGGGCCATTCCTCCTTCCCATTCCTGGGGGAGACACTGGAGCAGCCCCCATGGGTGTAGGGAGGTGGATTGGACACCATCCTGGGAATACCCAGCTCTCTGGGCCCCTCACAGGCACAGAAGAGTCTCTGAGGTATTTTCTGAACAGTCCAGGGTCATCAGGGAGACAGGAGAGGCTGGCCAGGGGCAGAGGAAGAGAGAGGGAGGACATGATGGCAGGAGGGTGCTGACTGAAGAGATTCTCATGAGATACTCTGGGAAACTGGAACCCTAAGGCATGGGAGCTGATTGCTGAGAAAGAGAGAGACTCTGAGAGGACAAGTCAGAAAGAGGGATGGAGGGGCCACAATGGGTCCAGAAATTTCCCAGCTGGCTAGATTCTTCTTAATCTTCTGCCTTTCCCCATAGCTTTCAGACTAAAAGAGGTCAGCTGGTCTGTGTCAACCCCAGAGATGCTGAGTCCAGGAATACATCAAAACCCAGAGCTAAATCTGAATAGCCCAGAAAAAAAAATTAAATCCATCAGTAGATTGGGGAACAGGGAGCTGAGCCAGAAGAATAGCACTTACAACCCCAGAAGCTACCTCCTTTATGGTCTAGTCCCCCCATAACCAAACCAAACTTAAATTTTAATTTATTTCACTTTTATTGTATATTTCCAATTTTAAATTGTTTTTATTGAATGTTTTCTCTAAGAAACCACATAGTACACAGTGATTCTAGATGGTGCTGAATGTTTGTGCTAAATCCTCTCTCTAGATATTCGACCAAATTCATCAACCACAGAATTTCTGGATATGCATTTTTCAATGAATATTTGATCTTTGCACTATGTTGTAATGTTTCTAATATAATAAAAATACTTTCCTTTATTTAAAAGTAAGCCATGGAATTCTAGCTATTATGTTGATTGCTGTCTTGAACATTAGGAATATTGGTTTGGTGGGATGAGGGGGGAAGTTGAGGAAAACTGGAAATGTAAGAAACAACAGAAAAAAGAGAAGACATGCTACCTGGTAATGTTGTCAGGCCTTACAATGGAGATAGCAGCCTAGAAAGCCAAAACTGAAGTAATGATGTTATAAATTAAACTATAATTTATATTCCCTAAAATAAAATCAGCACTTTATATGAACCAAAAAGGAAGACCTTCCTTCATATGCATCTTTACTTTTTTAAAAAATAAGTCAAGCTTTCTTAAGAAAAACGAAGCTGGGCGCAGTGTCTCAGGCCTATAATCCCAGCCCTCTGGGAGACTGAGATAGTAGGATCACTTGAGCCCAGGACATCAAGACCAGCCCGGGAACATAGTGGGATCCCATTTCAATAAAAGAATTTAAAAATTAGCTTGGCATGGTGGCGGACACCTGTACTCCCAGCTACTTGAGAGACTGAGATGGGAGGATCGCTTGAGCCCAGGTGGTCAAGACTGCAGTAAGCTGTGATCATGTTACTGCACTCTAGCTTCAGTGACAGAGTAGGAAAAAAAAAACAAGAAAAAAAATAAAAAATGACTTAAATTTATAGAGAAGTTAATATGAGTTAAGAACTTTCGTGTATTGGCTCATTTTATTCCTGAAAATATCACTATGACGCATATACCATTGTTACCCAATTGGCAGATGGGGAAACAGGAGTCTGGAGAGTTTACAGAATTTCCCATAACTCTATAATTAGCAGTGGTGGGATTTAAACCTGGGTCCATACCCTATGCTCTTAACCATCAGATCTCTGCCTCTCAACGTGTTATTACACCTAGAACAGATTTAACCTGACATTTCCTGTTCCATGATGTGAGCATTCTGGTTCCAATCAGCCAGGTCATCCTCTTGGGTGGGCAAAGTAAAATGACTCAAATCCCTCTATCTATTACCACATCTTCACTTTTCTCCTGCTTATCAAGCCAAAGGTCAGAGTGCAGGCCAAGACTCTCTGCTTGCCATCTCTCTCCCTTCTTCTTCCCCCTATCCAGGTACTACTGGGGCACATCAACAAATAAGTAGCCTACGTAAAATGTAACCAGATGATGAGAACACTCCTTCTTTCTTTGATGGCACCTCCAATCTCTACAGACTTTTCCCTTGGAGTTCTCTCATTTGCCTTTATGGGAGCAGCACAGATCACAGCTCTGCTGTGATCCAATACCATTACCATTTTATGATCATGGCTCTCACTGCAGCCCCAATCACCCAGGCTCAAGCAATCCTCCCAACTCACTCTCCCAAGTAGCTGGGACTACTATAGCACTATAGTACTCCCTGCCCTTGGCTATGATTCTCTCCTCTCCCTCCCTTTTCTCTCTCTTTTTTTTTTCTTTACGTCTATAGATAGGAAGGATGGGGAGAAACTTAGGGCTAGTCCTGCCATCTCCAGAGAATATTATCCCTGGAGGTAGTATGTTATGGTCTTTTTAGAATAAGAAAATAGCTTTTTGCAGCAAGATAAATCCCATTCAGCATCTTGTTAAATTACACAGAAAATTCTGGGAAGAGAGAGAGGGCAGTGAAACTGCCTAATGCTGAAAAATGAAAGAAAATAATTACTCATCAAATTACTCCAGAACTTTGCAACTTTGATAGAAAATCCACTTCTACTTCCCCGAATTTTTAAAGATATACGCAACTTATGTCAGAGTTAATATTCTTCATATACTAAGAACAAATTCATAAGAATATAACAAAACATATTACATACTTAATTGTATTGAACACTGTAATTTTGCTTCTAAATGAAATTAACGTTTTCCCTTTCCCATTATTCCCTCCTCACTATAGAGTTGAAAATGGCCATCCAGAGGAGGTCTTGGTGGCACTGAATCCAAGAGGAAGCCAGGGGTCTTGGGGTACAAATGAAGAGCGAGCTCAATGCCACGTCCTCCTCTATGCAGACATGGTCCAGGCTCCACCCACACTGGGACCTTTAAGTGTGCTTCCTCTGCCTTTCCAACACAAATGTTTATAAAGCTTTATTCAAAATAGCCCCAAACTTTATTCAAGATATTACCCAGATGTCTGTCAAGTGGTTGATAGGTGAACCAATTGTGGTACAGTCAGTTCTATAACATGACACATACATTCCTGTTTTTTTTGTTTTGTTTTGTTTTTGTTTTTGTTTTTGTTTTTGTTTTTGTTTGTTGAGACAGAGTCTCGCTCTGTTGCCCAGGCTGGAATGCAGTGGTGCGATCTCAGCTCACTGCAAGCTCTGCCTCCTGGGTTCACACCATTCTCCTGCCTCAGCCTTCCGAGTAGCTGGGACTACAGGTGCATGCCACAATGCCCAGCTAATTTTTCTATTTTTAGTAGAGACGGGGTTTTACCATGTTGGCCAGGCTGGTCTTGAACTCATGATCTTATGATCCACCCGCCTCGGCCTCCCAAAGTTCTGGGATTACAGGCACGAACCACTGTGCCCAGCCCATTTTGTGTATTCTTATATGGCTTATTCACTTAGTGTTTTTCATGGATAAAATCACTTGTAAGCAAATGGAAAAACTTGTGTTATGCTCAATTTTTTTCTAACATCTCAGTCATATTGTAACAAATTCACATTTCCTTTTTTTGTTATTTTATTTTATTTTAGATGCAGGAAGGGTACACGTGCAGGTTTGTTACATGGATATATTGCATAATGGTGAGGTTTGGGCTTCTAGTGACCCCATCACCCAAATAGTGCACACTTTACCCAAAAGGTTATTTGTCAGCCCTCACCCCCTCCCACACTCCCTGCTTTTGGAGTCCTCACTCTCTATTATTTCAATCTTTATATCCACATGTATCCATGGTTCAGCTCCCACTTAAAAGTGAGAACATGTGGTATTTGATTTTCTGTTTCTGAGTTATTTCACTTAGGATAATGGTCTTTCTCTCTATCCATGTTGCTGCGAAGGACATGATTTCATTCTTTTTACAGCTGCATAGTTTCCCATGGTGTGTATATGTACCACATTTTCTTTATCCAATCAACCATTGATGGACACTTAGGTTGATTCCATGACTTTGCTATTGTGAATAGTGCTGCAATAACATATGAGTGCAGGTGTCTTTTTGATAAAATGATTCCTCTGGATAGATGCCCAGTAGTGGGATTGCTGGGCAAATGGTAGTTCTATTTTCAATTCCTTGAGAAATCTCCATACTATTTACCACAGAAGCTGAACTAATTTATCTTCCCACTAACAGTGTCTAAGTGTTCTTTTTCTCTGCATCCTCACCAACATCAGTTATTTTCTTACTTTTTAATAATAGCCATTCTGACAGTGTGAGGTGGTATCCTATGGTGGTTCTAATTTGCATTTCTCTGATGATTAGTGATGTGAGCATTTTTCGTATATTTGTTGGCCACTTGTATGTCTTCTTTTGAGTAGTGTCTGTTCATGTCCTTTGTCCACTCTTTAGTAGGGCTACCTGAGGGATTTTGTTGATTTGTTTGAGTTCCTTATAGATTATGGATATTAGTACTTTGTTGGATGCATAGTTTGCAATTATATCTCTCATTTGGTAGGTTATCTGTTTATTCTGTTAATCATTTCTTTTGCTATGCAGAAGCTTTTTAGTTTAATTAAGTCCCATTTGTCTATTTTTGTTTTTGTTGCATTTGCTTTTGAGGTCTTAGTCATGAATTCTTTGCCTAGGTCAATGTTCAGAAGAATTTTTCCTAGGTTTTCTTCCAGGATTTTAATAGTTTCATGTCTTACATTCAAGTTTTTAATCCATCTTTAGTATTATTATAATTTTTGTATATGGTGAAAGATAGGGGTCCAGTTTCATTCTTCTGCATGAGGCTGGCCAGTTTTCCAAGCACCATTTATTGATTAAGGTGTTCTTTCCCTATTTTCTATTTTTGTTGACTTTGTTGAAAATCAGTTATTGTTTAAGTCTGTGGCTTTACCTTTGGGTTCTCTGGTCTGTTCCATAGATCTATGTGTCCACTTTTGTACCATTATGCTATTTTGGTTACTACAGACTTGTAGTATAGTTTGCGGTCAGGCAATGTGATGCCTCTGATTTTGTTCTTTTTGCTTTAGGATTGCTTTGGCTATTTGAGCCCTTTTTGGCTCCATATAAATTTGGCTCCATAGGAAAAAAACTGTTTTTTCTAGTTCTGTGAAAAATGACATTGGCAATTTGATACGAATTGTGTTGAATTTGTAGACTGCTTTGGGCAATATAGTTAGTTTAATAATATTGATTCTTCCTATTCATGAGCATGGGATGCTTTTCCATTTGTTTGTGTCATCTACAGTTTCTTTCATCAGTGTTTTGCTGTTTTCCTTATGGTGGTTTTTCACCTTCTTGGTTAAATGTATTCCTAGGTATAGGAATACATTTTTATTTTGTGGCTATTGTAAATGGGATTGAGTTCTTTATTTGGTTCTCCGATTAAGCACTGTTGGTGTATAGAAATGCAACCATTTCTGTACATTAATTTTATATCTGAAACTACTGAAGTCATTTATCAAGTCTAGGAGTATTTTGGCAGAGTCTTTAGGGTTTTCTAGGTATAAGATCATGTCATCACTGAACAGAAATAATTTGCCTTCCTCTTTTTTAATTCAGATGACTTTTATTTCTTTTTCTTACCTGATTACTTTGGCTAGGACTTCCAGTACTATGTTGAATAGAAGTGGTGAGAGTGGACATCCTTGTCTTGTTCCAGTTCTTAAGAGGAATGCTTTCAATTTTTCCCCATTTAGTATAATGTTGGCCGTGGGTTTGTCATGTATGGTGCTTATTATTTGGAAATATGTTCTTTTAATGCCTATTTTGTTTAGGGATTTTATCATGAAGAGATGTTGGATTTTATCTAATGCTTTTTTAAATCTATTCAGATGATCATATTGTTTTTATTTTTAATTCTATTTATGTGGTGAATCACATTTATTGATTTGCATATGTTGAACTATCCTTGCATCCCTGGAATAAAATCCACTGTACTATGGTGAATTATCTTTTCGATGTGCTTTTGGATTTGGTTTGCTAGTATTTTGTTGAGAATTTTTGCATCTATGTTCATCAGGGATATTGGCCTATAGTTTTCTTTTTTTGTTATTTCTTTGCCAGATTTTGATATCAGGATGATGGTGATCTCATAGAATGAATTAAGGAGGAATCTCTCCTCCTCGATTTTTTGGAATAGTTTCAATAAGATTCATACCAGCTCTCCTTTGTACAATTGGTAACATTCAGCTATGAATCCATCTGGTTCTGAACTTTGTTTTTCTTGGTAGATTTTTTTTAATCATTACTGATTCAATTTCATTACTCCTTATTGGTCTATTCAGGATTCTATTTCTTCCTGGTTCAACCTGGGAAGTTTGTATGTTTCCAGGAATTTATCCATTTCCTCTAAGTTCTCTAGGAACACAGAGGTGTTCCTAGTAGTCTCTGGTGATCTTTTGTATTTCTGTGGTATCAATTGTAATGTCACCTTTATCATTTCTGATTGTGTTTGTTTGAATCTTTTCTTTTCTTGGTTAATCTAGCTAGAGTTCTATCAATTTTTGTTTATACTTTCAAAGAACCAACTTTTCCTTTCATTGATCCTTTGTATGATTATTTTGGAACTAATTTCATTTAGTTCATCTATGATCTTTGTTAATTTTTTTCTTCTTCTAGCTTTGGGTTTGGCTTGTTCTTGTTTTCCTAGTTCCTTGAAGTATGACGTTAGGTTGTTAATCTGAGATTTTTTTTCTATCTTTTAGATGTGGGCATGTAATGATATAATTTTTCCTCTTAACACTACTGTTGCTGTATCCCAGAGGTTTTGGTATGTTCAGTCTCTATTTCCATTAGCTTCAATTTTTTAATTTCTGCCTTAATTTCATTGCTTACCCAAAAGTCATTCAGGAGCAAGTTGTTTAGCTTCCATGTACTTATGTGGTTTTGTTTTTTGTTTGTTTGTTTTTGTTTGTTTGTTTGTTTTGAAACCGAGTTTCACTCTGTCGCCCAGGCTAGAGTGCAGTGGTGCGATCTCAGCTCACCGCAAGCTCTGCCTCCCTGGTTCACGCCATTCTCCTGCCTCAGCCTCCCGAGTAGCAGGGACTACAGGCCAACCACGCCCAGCTAATTTTTTTTTTTTTTTGGTATTTTTAGTAGAGACAGGGTTTCACCGTGTTCGCCAGGATGGTCTCGATCTCCTGACCTCGTGATCCACCCGCCTCGGCCTCCCAAAGTGCTGGGATTACAGGCTTGAGCCACCGCGCCCGGCCCCATGTACTTACGTGGTTTTGAGAGTTCCTCTTGGTATTGATTTCTAATTTTATTCACTGTGGTCCAACAAAATACTGGATATGATTTCACTTTGTTAATATATTGAGATTTGCTTTATAGCCAAGTATATGGTCAATTTTAGAGAATGTTCCATGCACAGATGAAAAAAATTATATTCTGCAGTTGTTGGGTGGAATGTTCTTTCAATGTCTAATAGGTCCATTTGGTCAAGTGTTCAGTTTAAGTCCAGAGTTTCTTTGTTAGTTTTTTGCCTTGATGATCTGTCTAGTGCTGTCAGTGGGGTGTTGAATTCCCCGTCAGTATTGTATGACAGTCTATCTCTTTTCTTCGGTCTAGTAGTATTTGTTTTATACCTCTGGGAACCCAGTGTTGGGTATGTGTATATCTAGGATAATTAAATCTTCTTGTTGAATTGAACCCTTTATCATTATATGATGCCCTTCTTTGTCTTTTTTATTGTTGTTGATTTAAAGTCTGTTTTATCTGATATAAGAATAGCAACCTCTGCTCTTTTTTGTTTTCCATTTGCATGATGTTTCTTTTTCCTCTCCTTTACTTTGAGCCTATTGGTGTATTTACATGTTCAATGAGTCTCTTGTAGGGTACAATTTGCCAATCTATATCTTTTAGGCCTTTTACATTCAAGATTAATATTGACATGTGAGGTTTTGTTCCTGTAATAGTATTGTTAACTAGTTGTTTTGTAATCACTTTATAAGATCTGTGAATTTTGTACTTATGTGTCCTTTTACTGTAGCAAGTATCATCCTTTTGTCTCCATGTTTAGAACTCCTCTGAGTATTTCTTGCACAGTTGGTCTAGTGGTGACAAATTCCCTTAGTGTTTGTTTGTCCGGAAAAAACTTTATTTCTCCTTTGTTTATGAAATTTAATTTGGCAGAATATAATATACTTGGCTGACTTTTTTTCCTTTAGGGAAAAGACTTTATTTCTCCCCTGTTTATGAAATTTAGTTTTGCAGGATATAATATACTTGGTTGGCTTTTCTTCTCTTTAAGAAGGATAAAAGGCTGGGTGCGGTGGCTCACACCTGTAATCCCAGCACTTTGGGAGGCCGAGGAGGGTGGATCACAAGGTCAGGAGATTGAGACCATCCTGGCTAGCACAGTGAAACCCTGTCTCTACTAAAAATAAAAAAAAAATAAAAAAAATTAGCTGGGCATGGTGGTGGGCGCCTGTAGTCCCAGCTGCTTGGGAGGCTGAGGCAGGAGAATGGTGTGAACCCAGAAGGCGGAGCTTGCAGTGAGCTGAGATCATGCCACTGCACTCCAGCCTGGACAACAGAAGGCTAAAAATAAGATCCCAATCTCTTCTGGTTTATAAGGTTCTGCTGAGAAGTCTGCTGTTAGTCTGATTGGACTTCCTTTATAGGTGACTTGATCCTTCTTTCTAGCTACCTTCAAGCGTTTTTCTTTTTTTTTTTTTTTTTTTTTTTTTTTTTTTGAGACGGAGTCTCGCTCTGTCGCCCAGGTCGGACTGCGGACTGCAGTGGCGCAATCTCGGCTCACTGCAAGCTCCGCTTCCCGGGTTCACGCCATTCTCCTGCCTCAGCCTCCCGAGTAGCTGGGACTACAGGCGCCCGCCACCGCGCCCGGCTAATTTTTTGTATTTTTAGTAGAGACGGGGTTTCACCTTGTTAGCCAGGATGGTCTCGATCTCCTGACCTCATGATCCACCCGCCTCGGCCTCCCAAAGTGCTGGGATTACAGGCGTGAGCCACCGCGCCCGGCCCAAGCGTTTTTCTTTAGCACTGTATTTGGATAGTCTCATGACTATGTGCCTTGTTGATGTTCATCTTGTATAGAATCTCACAGTTTTTCTCTGAATTTCTTGTATCTTGATGTCTAACTTTCTAGCAATAAGAGAAATGTTCCTGAATTATTCCCTTGAGTATGTTTTCCAAATTGCTTACTTTTTCTCTTTCTCACTCAGGAATGCCTATAAGTTGTAGGTGTGGTTGCTCTACCTAATCCCATATTTCTTGAAGGCTTTGTTCCTTTTTTAAAATTATCTTTTATATTTTTCTGACTGGATTAACTCAAAAGATCAGTCTTCAAGCTCCAAAATTCTTTCTTCTTCTTGGTCTAGTCTATTGCTAAAGCTTTCCACTATATTTTGAAATTCCTTTACTAAATTTTTTCATTTCCAGAAGTTCTGTTTGTTTGTTTTAATATAGCTGTCTTTCATATCCTGAATGGTTTTCCTGGTTTCTTTCTGTTGAGTTTCAACTTTCTCTTGGATATCATTGAGCTTCCTTACAATCCATATTTTGCATTCTTTATCTGTTATTTCAGAATCCTCATTTTGGTTGAGATCCATTGTTAGAAAGCTAGTGAGAGCCTTTGGGGCTGTCAAAACATTCTGTCTGTTTCTACCACCAGAGTTCTTGAACCGATTCCTCCTCATCTGAAAGTACTGTTGCTTTTTATTTTTGAATGTGCTATTATTTGGATGGGAATTTTATCTTTTTTTTCCCTTGAGGGTATGACTGTCATGTATGCTGTGATTATTTGCTTCATTTCTTGGTGCTTTCAGGGGGCCAAGGCTCTGTATAGGTTCCTTGGTTATAGACAGCTTTTGTGCAGTGTTTTTCTAAAATGTTGCTTGTTTTAGCAATGTATTGGGAGTATGAGCTGACTCACTATCTTCTGTGGGGCTGAGTGTGGAAGTCTCAGGAAGCTTATCTCATACACTAGCACTATGCCCTTCTGATAGCGGGTTTTTATTTGGTGGAGCAGTTCAGTCTCCAGTCTAGTAAGTGGCACTTAATAAGAGCCTACTCACCCTCAGTAGCCAAGTGATAAGGAGAGGCACCTGCCAGATGGAGGGTGGTTGGGGAGTTCGTGTTGGGATATGCTGAAGTCTTGGGGTAGGGACAGGTGAGGTTGAGAGGGTCACAGCACCAACTCATCACCCTGGGCAGGCAGGAACACAATCTGCTTCCCTATCATGCCCCTGCCACAGGGCCTGCAATATTCAGTTCATACAGACATTGTCCTTTGACTCCTGGCTGCAGTGTGACTGAGTTCTGCAGAAAAACCCCTCTGGTGGCTACCACTGAAAGGGGCTCAGGGCAAAGCCTCTTCCCCCGGTCCAGCTCTGTGACTTGTCTGCCCTCCATTGCCTGCTTCTCAGTGTAGGAAGAGGGAGATGGGCCCTGACTTTTGTGCATGTCCAGGTAGCACAGGCTTATTTTCAGTGGGGGTGCAGCTTCTGCAAGTGGCACCTGGAAAGGCTGTCTCCACATGTGCTTGCACCAGCCTCCAGTGGGGAAAGCCTCTGCTGTGTCTGCAACAGTGGATGAGGGAGAAGGAAATGATCCCTCTCCACACCTATTCTCGGCCACCAGTGCCTCCCCCTTCAGTGATCAACACCATTTCCACATTTCCTTTGTCCCAAGGGAGGCTTTGACAGGCTGCACTGCATCCTCCCCTAGGGATGCCCACACTGAGGGCTAGATCTCAGGGGAACTCACAGCTCTCCAGGGACCCACTGATCCCCTGTGGGTGCCAAATTCAGAGTGAGTTCTGGAGTATGTTTGCAGGGGATCTGGTAATGCAACATAAGGGCCGAGGTTCCCTGGCAGGGCAGTGGCCCATAATGGGTGAACAACAAGTATGGCATCTGCTGTTTCAGGTAGGACCTGAGTGGAGTGCAGATCCACCAGCACAAGCTGGCCAGCCAATTCTCTCACCCTGGAAAGTTACCAAATTGCCACCAACAGAATTGTCTGTGGTTGTGAGGGCAGAGGGGCTCCCCAACAGCTTAGTGGTCAGCAGTTTATTGCAGGGATGAAGGGAGCAGAGAAGCATTCCCACTGACCTTTTCCATGGGACCCCAAGTTCCTCATAGGTCAATGTCTGCCAGACTCTTGCTGCTTTCCTTTCTTGTGCCCCAGCTTCTTCCCATGGGTTCTCTGACAGGTCCTGGCTGTCTTCCCTCAGTTTTCCATTTGGATCATGACCATTAACAGGTAACTTCGATCTTCTTTCTGAAAAGAACTCGCATCCAACATTCCTAGTCAGCCTTTTTTTTTAAATTAAATTGAAAATAATTTGCATTTTATAAATATGCATGATAGCAGAACTGACTATACATCTATACAATGGAGTACTACTCAGCAAGAAAAAGGACCCAACTACTGATACATACAATGATATGTTTTGAATGTGTGTCTTCAACCAAATCTCATATTGAAATGTGATCCCTAGTGTTGGACCTGGGGCCTGGTGGGAGGTGGTTGGATCATGGGTGCAGATTTCTCATGAATGATTTAGCATTATTCTCTTTGATACTTTCCTCACAATAGTGAGTTAATTATCATGAGATCTAGTCATTTAAAACTGTGTAGCACTTCCCCCCTCTCTCTCTTGCTCCTGCTCTGGCCCTGTGATATGCCTGATCTCCTCTCACCTTCCACAATGATTGTAAGTTTCCTGAAGCCTCCCCAAAAGCCAAGTAGATACCAGCTTCATGCTACCTGTATAGCCTGCAGAACCATGAGCCAATTAAACCTCTTTTCCTTATAAATTACCTAGTGTCTGATATTTCTTGATAACAACGTGAGAATGATCTAATACATACAAAAGTATGGATAAATCTCAAAAGCAGAATGATAAACAAATGAGTCCAGACTGGGAAAAAGCTACAAACAGTATTATTCCATTTACATAATAGAATGTATAAGGCAAAACTATAGAGACAAACGTCAGATCTGGTTTCCAAGGACTGGGGATAGGAGAAAGTGACTACAAAAGGAACACAAAGGGACTTTATGGAGTGATGGGAATGTTATCAATTTTGATGGTAGTGGTGGTTACATGACTGTCCATCTGTCAAAACTCATCAAGTTGTATACATAAAAATGATTAACTATATCTGTATTTAAATTATATGTCAATAAACCTGACTCCCTGCCACTCCCCCAACACACACACACACACACACACACACACACACACACAAAATCAGAGGACTGCAGATATGGGCCGGGGGGTGGGTAAAGCAAATTGAACTAAACTCCAAAAAGTGATGCACTGAACTTTAACTTTCAATAGCTATGTCTGAGTTAACATGACAGATTAGAATTCCAAGGAGCCCCAAATGCAGAGCAAGACTGTACCCATCTGCCAACTCTTTCCTACAAGTCCCCACCAAGAGCATCATTAGCATACTAAGGGCTGGGGGCAACAGAGCTGAGAGAGAACCCCTTGAGTTGTGTTGGGCCTCCACTAAGTTCAAAACAACTACATTCCAGAGGCAGGGAACAGAAAATAGAAAGGAGTTTTGTCTATTCAAGGTTCACCAAATTTTCAGCTACTGAAGGTAGAGGGCATGGCAGGAAATCTGAGATAAATCCATCCAAGGCACTCTAGGCTACTGAAAATAGGGGACAGGAAAGCTAAGAGGAATCATTCTGGAACACTTGGGCCTTCAGCTACTGAAGTCAGGTGCAGGAGAGTTTAAAGAAATCCCTCTGGGGGCATTCCAGCCCTTTGAAAAATTTAAAGTAGCTGCCTTCCAAAATCCGTGGTAAAAGCAAAGCAAAATCTCTTGAGGTGCAGAAAGCTAGGAACAGGACTATAAAGGGAAATTACCAGTGACCCTGATGGGCAAATAGACAGTAAATTTTTTTTAATTTCCTATGGTTCAGAAAGCTGGCAACACAAAGAGATCTTAAGAATCTTGCTAATACTCAGGTCCCAAGCCCTGCTGAAGGGAAAGTCTTGAGCCTGTCCTCAAAACGTTTAAAGCCCAGTGCAAATTGAGTCAAACTAAAGCCCAGATTTAGCTCAACTACAGATTAGACTGAATCAGTCCCTTACTCTAGCAGCCTAAAAGAAGAGGTATGCCTATTTTGGGTGTATTATTTGCTTCAATCCTAATTGTTTTTATATATAAAATGCCCAATACAATAAATTATGAGACATGCAAAGAAATAAGAAAATGTAACCTGTGATCAGGAGAAGAAATAGCTAATAGAAGCAGAGACAGAGATGTCCTGGATGTTAAAATGATCGAATGGGGACTTTAAAATATATATATATATATGGTAAAAATGATAAAAGATTTGGTAGAACAGGTGGCCAATGTGAACGAAGGGATGAGAATTTCACCGCAGACACTGAAATCTTTCAAAAGAACCCAAAAAAGGAAAGCTGGAAATGCAAAATAATATCTGATAAATGGTTGCATTAGCTAGGCTAACAGCAGACGAGACCGGGCAGAGAAAAAAATTGGTAGACTTGAAGATGGTTCAATAGAAAGACTCTAAAGTGAATCACACACAAAAACATGCTGAAAATAAAAAAGAGCACATCCAAGACACATAGGAAAATATAAAATAAAGTACCATACATGTACTTAGAATACTAGGCAGAGAGGAGTGAGAGAATGGAAAGAAAAAAATATTGGAAATCATAATTGACAAAAGACATACATCAGACTACAGATCCCAAAACCTTGGAAACCTCGAGCAAGATAAATCAAATAAAATGACAGTTAGGCACAACATAAGCAATGGCTGAAAAGGAAAGAAAAAGAGTAAACCTTAAAAGTAGCCAGAGAGAAAAGATACATTACATATAGGGAAACAATAATACAAATGATGTCTGACATTTCACCACAAATGATGGGAGCAGAGACAAGAGAACATCTTTAAAGTCAAGTTAGAATTTCTATGTCCAACTAAAATAGCCTTCAAAAATGAAGGTAGGGGCTGGGCATAGTGGCTTACTCCTGTAATCCCAATACTTCAGGAGTTTGAGGTGAGTGGATTGCTTGAGTTTAAGACCAGCCTGGGCAACCTAGGGAGACTACGTCTCTACAAAAAAATTAAAATTAGCTGGGCATGGTGGTGCATGCCTGTGGTCCCAGCTATTTGGGAGGCTGAGGTGGAGAGATGACTAGAAGCCCAGGAGTTCAAGGCTGCAATAAGTCTTGAACATGCCACTGCACTTTAGCCTGGGTGACAGAAGGAGACCCTGTCTCAAAAAAAAAAAAAAAATGAAGACAGAATAAAGACATTTTTAGACCACAAATACTGTTAAAAGAAGGTCTTAAGTCCGAAGGGAAATAATATCAGATAGAATGTAAGACATGCAAAAGTAATAAAGAGAACTAGAAAAAGGAAATATCTAGGTAAATATTAAAGATTCTATTTTAGCATCTTTACATAAAATAATAATATTATATAATAATATCAACCATTTCAGCAAAAATAGCATTAGTGTTATTTTGGTTTATAAGACAAAAGTGCAAATCATGGGATGGGGAAAATTGTTGAATACTGTGGTAAGAGCCTCTTATTATTTATAAGGTAGTATAAAATCAAGCAAAAAATAAAAAGAGATACTAAAAGATATTTGAGTCACAAAAAAATAAGAAAAGAAAAGGAACAAATAAAGTAAAATTTTAAAGGCAAAAATATAGAAAAATCTCAAAATAATCATGCTAAGTACAAGAAGCCAGATCAAAAAAAATATGTACTGTGGGATCCCATTTATATAAATTTCTGGGAAATGCAAAATAATCTACAGTGACAGAAAGTAGATCAGTTGTTCACTCAGGAGGAGTTGGTAGAAGACAGGAATTATAAACGGGCATGAGGAAACTCTCTAGGGTCATGGCCATGTTCATTATTTTGATTGCAGAGATGGTCTCACAGGTATACACATATGGTAAAGCTTATCAAATTATACTCTCTAAATTTAGGCAGTTTATTTTGTGTCAATTATATACCTCAATAAAGATATATACACACATATACATACATCTTATATGCCAAAATGTTAGAGTTAAACCCAACCGTATCAATAATTACATTAAACATGACTGGATTAATCTCACCAGACTAGTTTTCAAAAAAAGCAAGACCCAACTATATTTTGTTTATTAAAAAACGAATTTTAAATCTAAAGACACACAAAGGTTGAAAAGAAAAGGATTGGAAAATGTACACCAGGCCAGGCATGGCGGCTCACGCCTGTAATCCCAGCATTTTGGGAGGCAGAGGCAAGTGGATCATGAGGTCAGGAGATTGAGACCATCCTGGCTAACACGGTGAAACCCTGTCTCTACTAAAAATATAAAAAATTAGCCAGGTGTGGTGGCGGGCACCTGTAGTCCCAGCTACTCGGGAGGTTGAGGCAGGAGAATGGCGTGAACCCGGGTGATGGAGCTTGCAGTGAGCGGAGATCACGCCACTACACTCCAGCCTGGGGGACAGAGCGAGACTCTGTCTCAAAAAAAAAAAAAAAAACAAAAAGAAAGAAAGAAAGAAAGAAAAAGGTACACCATGCAAATGGTAAGCATCAGAAAATTGTATTAATATCAGACGAAGTATACCTCAAGAAAAAGAATATTACTAAAGAAGAAGAGAGAGATTTCCTAATAAAAGGATCAACTCATCGAGAAGATATGAGTCTTAATGAGTATAAGAACTTCAAAATACATGAAGCAAATATTGAAAGAACTAAAGGGAGAAACAAAAACTTCCCAATCATATCTGGAGATTTTAGTACCCAACTCTTAGTAACTGCTAAATAAACAGAAATCAATAAGGATATGTAAATCTTAACACAATGAACCAAATGGACCTAACCGACATTTATAGGTTATTACATCCAACAAGTGAAAAATACATACTTTTTCATATACACATGGAAAATTCACCAAGACACACTGTATGCTGGCCCAAGAAACAAGTCTCAGTAAATGTTCAAGAATCAAAATAATACCGAGTATATTCTCTGACTATAATGGAATTTGATTAGAAATCAATAACAAGAAGATATTTAACCCCCCCCAAATATTTGCAAATAAAGAATGTAATTCTAAATAATCTGTGGGACAAAGATGAAATCACAAGGGAAATTAGAAAATAACTGAATGATGAAAACCTGTCACATGAAAAACTACGGCATTATGAAGCTGAAGCAGCACTTAGAAGAGAATCTGTAGCGTTCAATGCTTCTATTCAAAAAGAAGAAAGGTGTAAAATAAAAGAATGAAGCTTCCACCTTAAGAAGCTAGGAAGAGTTGAGGAAACTGAACCCAAAGGAAACAGAAGAAAGAAAATAATAAGATTGTTATTCACTGAAACAGAAAACAGACTAAGAAAAAGAAAATCATCAAAGTCAAAATGAGTCATTGGAAAGATTGATAAAATTAATAAACTCTTGCTGCTTCTCAAACATTTTCCAGTAGGTTATTCACAAATTTGCATTAGAGACCAGCAGTGGATGCTCTCAGCATGTAGGTGTAGCCCTCTTGCCACTCGTAGGGGAGAGACATGGAGGGACGCACAGCCCCCAAGACTCAAGAGATGGAGGGGGAACCTGGGAGACCCAGACCTCCAGGAACTCATTAGACATACAGGACATAGGGATAGGTCCCTGGGGTGTTTTCTGCATGGACCCACAGCCTGTAGGGAGCCAAGGAAGAGCCACCTTCATGCAGAGAAGAGGAAAGGAAAGGATAGCAGAGGGAAGTCAACCCGAGAAGAAACTCATGAACAATTTTTTAAAAAATCTAGGTCTTGGGGCTGGGCGCGGTGGCTCACGCCTGTAATCCCAGCACTTTGGGAGGCCGAGGCGGGCGGATCACGAGGTCAGGAGATCGAGACCATCCTGGCTAACACGGTGAAACCCCGTCTCTACTAAAAAAATACAAAAAATTAGCCGGACATGGTGGCGGGCGCCTGTAGTCCCAGCTACCCCGGAGGCTGAGACAGAATGGCGTGAACCCGGGAGGCAGAGCTTGCAGTGAGCCGAGATAGCGCCACTGCACTCCAGCCTGGGCGACAGAGCAAGACTCCTTCTCAAAAATAATAATATCATCATCATCATCATCATCATCATCATCATCATCATCATCATCATCGTCTAGGTCTTGGGATTTGCGGGATGCTCCTGGCTCTGAAAATAAACTGTCTCTGAGATCCCCAGGGTAGAGAAACATGGGGAGGTTACAGGCATTCTGCTGCAGGATTGTCTCTTCTTTATTCACTTCTCTCTCTTACCATTGCTTCCTCCACAGAGGAGACTGGAAAGGTCTATGCCAACTCCAGCAAGGTGTGGGTCCAGGAATACATCAGCAACTGGAATTAAACCCCGGCAAGGTCTGGACCCAGCAAGAAAAGTGCTAGAGATGTGAACAGATTGGGCACAGGGACCCAAAACAGGCAAAAGTCTCTGCAACCTCAGAAACTGATTCCAGATCTGGGGGTCTAACTTCATTTTAAATGTACGTATGCTATTTTACTTATAATCCCTTTTTGATTGTGAATTGTGTTGTTTACTAAATGTTCTGGGAAGTCAGATGGCCTTCTCTTGTCTCCCTCCACCTTTCCCCTTCAGTCACAAAGGGATTGACTCCATTTCATGGCTGCAATGAGCTATCTAGGCAGACATTGTAAGAAATTCATCAAACCAGCACATATTTATTGACTATGAGTAGCCAGTGCTGGGTTCAGGCTTTGAAAGAATAAAATATTCCTCTCTTTCTTTCTTCCTTGCTTCCTCACTTCCTCCCTTCCTAACTTCCTCCCTCCCTGTCTCCTTGTCTCCCTGTCTCTCTAGCTCCAAATTTAATAAACACTAGTTTGAAAAGTATTCATATTAGTGAAGATGTGGAGCAACTGACATGCACACACTGCTGCAGGGAGTGTGAATTTGTCCTCCCACCTTGGAAAATACCATTGTCATCTTGTTGCAGCAAAGGTGTGCATGGCCGATGACCTAGCAGTCACACTCCTAGAGAGAGCCACAGTTACCCTTGCACGTTCACAGCAGGAAACATACACAAGAATACTCCAATCAGTGCTGTTGGCACTAGCAAAAATAAAAGGGGCAAATGGAAAATAAATCACGGTATGTTCATAAACCAAAATATTACCAGGAACGAAAGCAAGCACATTACAGCTACATATAGTAAATAGTGTGAATCTCAGGAGCATAATGTTGAGAGGGAAAAAAAGCTATGGAATAAAACATATAATAATTCCATTTATGTAAGTTTGAAAACAGCCCAGAGCAGTGGCTCACACCTGCAGTTCGAACACGTTGGGAGGCCGAGGTGGGCGAATCGCTTGAGCCCAGGAGTTCAAGACCAGCCTGGACAACATGATGAAAACCCATCTCTACAAAAATAATACAAAAACCAGCCAGGCATGGTGGCACATACTTGTAGTCCCAGCTACTTGCGAGGATGAGGTGGGAGGATCTCTTGATTTCAGGGAGGTCGAGGCTGCAGTGAGCCATGATCGTGCCACTGCCCTCGGCCTGGGTGACAGAGTGAGATCCTGTCTCAAAAAAATGAAATGAAGTTTAAAAACATACAAAGTTAAATATATTAATATTCAAATCTATATGGTGAAATGATCAGAAAGGCAAGAGTATATTATAAACATTATTCAGGAGAGAGATCACTCTGTGGAAATGACCACTCAGGGACCATCCCAGGCATCGGGTACAGGGATGCTTGTTGTATTGCTACTCTTTATTCTCAGTCCATATTTTATGCCTAGTTAATATCAAAATATATATTATATATAATTTAAAATACATATATATTATATATAAATAAATATTATATATATATTCTATATATATTTATATATAATATATAAATAAAAATATATATTATATATAAATATATATATAAACAATATTTATATATATATAAACAAATATATAAATAATATTTATATATATATAAACAAATATATAAATAATATTTATATATATATATAAACAAATATATAAATAAAACTATGGGCGAGGCATGGTGGCTCACACCTATAATCTCAGCACTTTGGGAGGCCAAGGTGGGCAGATCACCTGAGGTCAGGGATTTGAGAGCAGCCTGGCCAACATGGTGAAACCCTATCTCTACTAAAAATATAAAAATTAGCAGGCGTGGTGTGAGATGCCTGTAATCCCAGCTCCTCGGGAGGCTGAGGCAGGGGAATCACTTGAACCCAGGAGGCAGAGATTGCAGTGAGCCGAGATCGTGCCATTGCACTCCAGCCTGGGCAACAAGAGCGAAACTCCATCTCAAAAAAAATAATTAAAAAAAAAAGCTAGCCAGACGCAGTGGCTCACACCTGTAATCCCAGCACTTTGGGAGGCCGAGGAGGGCGGATGACCTGAGGTCGAGAGTTCGAGACCAGCCTGACCAACATGAAGAAACCCCGTCTCTACTAAAAATACAAAATTAGCCAGGTGTGGTGATGCATGCCTGTAATCCCAGCTACTCAGGAAGCTGAGGCAGGAGAATCACTTGAACCCGGTAGGCGGAGGTTGTGGTGAGCCAAGATCGCGCCATTGCACTCCAGCCTGGGCAACAAGAGTGAAACTCCGTCTCAAAAAAAAAAAACCTGTAAAAATCAGGCTGTAGAAAAGAACAGTTATTATTACCTCATTTTTGTTTAACTGTATATCTGTATTATACATAATGACTACATACAAAAACATGACTTGAAACTTACACATCAAAATATTGATAGTAAAGAGATTTTTTTCATTTATTTGATTTTCTTAAAAATTCTGTTAAAAAGCAGGCATCTTTTTTGTTAAAAATTATTTTAAATTGCATATAAGAATTTTACAATGAAATTGAAATTGTACACAACTTGTGAAAACATGGAATATGACTTTTTTTGGTATGATCCCACGTAGGGAGAAAGCAAACAGGGAAAAAAGATGAAGACACATCTAAGAATGTTATTGTGGGATCACAGGGGATTTTTGCTGACTTCTTTTTGCTTAAATATTTTCAAAATTTCTCCATAGTGTTGCTTTTTTAATAGTGAATGATGGTAAAAGTGTTTGCTTTGTTTTACTTTAGGAAGAAGGTGCCAGAGGCTTACTGTTTGCTTAAACTCACAGAAGGCCCTGTGCATCTTGTTTGCAGCTGAATCTCCAGTGCTCTGCTCATGGTATGTATTCAATACATATTTACAGAATAAATGAATGAGTAAATGAATAAAGAGAATAAAGAGTGTTAACTGAACAGATGGAAGGGATAAAGCAGAACATGTGGTCTCCAATTTTTATTCATTCATTCTCTGTCCATTATAGGCTAGAATGGGGATAATTCCCAAAGATACGAAGAAATCGAAGCCCAAGATGGGTGGCTTCTCAGTCCCTTGACTTGGATGAAGTCCTCTCTATCAGCTGAGAAAACACATGGTAGAGATTGATGATCTTTGCAGATTCTTGGGAGGCAGACAGGTTGTGGAATATTGAAGATGAGAAAATAGCAACCAGCTTTCCAAAAAAGGAGGGAGAAAGAAAATAGACGATAGACTCCATCAACTTCAGAGTGGTCAGCTGCCTCTAGACTAGTCAAGATTCTACATATACCTATACAATTCTTTTTTTTTTTTTTTTTTTGAAACGGAGTCTCACTCTGTCGCCCAGGCTGTAGTGCAGTGGTGCGATCTCGGCTCACTGCAAGCTCCGCCTCCCGGGTTCACGCCATTCTCCTGCCTCAGCCTCCCCAGTAGCTGGGACTATAGGCGCCCGCCACCATGCCCAGCTAATTTTTTTGTATTTTTAATAGAGACGGGGTTTCACTCTGTTAGCCAGGATGGTCTTGATTTCCTGACCTCGTGATCCGCCTGCCTCGGCCTCCCAAAGTGCTGGGATTACAGGTGTGAGCCACCATGCCCGGCCTATAATTCTTATTTTAAAAAACCTCTTGTTGGCACTTCAGAAAGGAAGTAGTCACTGCAAGTCAGCATGGTGCAGTTAGGCCGAATCAAGCTGGACCAACCCCATTTCCTTCTCTGGAAGCAATGAACATCTGGGGAAGGGTGTAGACAGAGGGCCTCATAGTCAATGGTCAATAGAAAATACTCTGGAATCAGCCGGGGAAACAATTAAATTCAGGAAACAGATACAGTCGTATGTTGCTTAACGATGGGCATAGGTTTTGAGAAATGCTTCATTAGACAATTTCATTGTACAGACATCACATACTTACACAAACCTAGATGGTGGAGCCTGCCACACACCTATATGGTACAGCAATTGCTCCTAGGCTACAAACCTGTGCAGCATGCTACTGTACAGAATACTGTAGGCAGTTGTAACACAGTGGTGAGTATTTGTGTACCTAAACATACCTAAACATAGAAAAGGTACAGTAAAAATAAGGTAGCATAGTTTTTGTTTAATGTATTGCTGCTGAACAAATTATGGTATTATAATCTTATAATAAGATGTGTAGTAGGCTACACCATCTAGGTTTGTGTAAGTACATGATGTCTGTATAATGATGAAATTGCCTAACAAAGCATTTCTCAGAACATATGCCTGTTGTTAAGTGTCATATATGTAGTCTGTCATTGATAAAAACATCATTATGTGGCACATAACTATATACACTGCTGCATGAGCCAGTGTGCAAAAACAACTTTACTAAAATAAGAATAGTCTAATAAAAAATAAAGCCATAATTCTCCCCATGCCTCCTTCTGCAACTCCAGCCTTTCTCCTTTGAATAGGGGAAGTGGGGCCAGTCAAGCAAGACCGCAGCTCTGGGAGGAGGGTGAATGTTATTTACCAAAACATGGGAGGCAGATGATTCAGTAACTTAGATGTGGGAGGCCAGAAGTTGGCATAGACACCCAAGGGATCATATGATTCAACTATACACCAACGAAAAATGACTGCATGTAAAAATTGGTAAAATTTTAATAAGATCTGTTTTGTTGATAATATTGTAGAGGCCGGGCACGATGGCTGGTTGGGCGCAGTGGCTCATGCCTGTAATCCCAGCACTTTGGGAGGCTGAGGCAGGCGGATCACTTGAGGTCAGGGGTTCAAGACCAGCCTGGTCAACATGGAGAAACCCCATATCTACTAAAAATACAAAAATTAGCCAAGCATGGCGGTGAGCACCTGTAATCCCAGCTACTCAGGAGGCTGAGGCAGAAGAATCACTTGAACCCAGGAGACGGAGGTTGCAGTGAGCCAAGATGGTGCCACTGCACTCCAGCCTGGGTGACAGAGCAAGACTCTGTCTCAAAAAATAATAATGATAATGATATTGTAGAACTGTCAATTTTCTAGTTTTGATGATCATAATGCATTTTTTATACGGTTGTATATGAAGTTTTATAAGCTTCCCATTGGGGGAAGCTGAGTCAAGATTGCACAGAAACTTTATGTACTATTTCTGCAATTTCTATGTCAGTGTAAAGTTATTTTAAAATAAAAAGTTACCATAAAAACAAAAGATTCTTTATGACCTGAAAAAATTATTTCCTCATCATTATTGTAACTTAAACAGTTTTATTATCTTCAAAATCAATATTTGGAGTCATAAAGTTGTAATTCAATATCGGGTAATTTCTAAACATTAACTCTATGTGAGATTCATGAGGGTGCCCTGAGACTGGGCTAGAAACAGAATAATCAAGGTGGAACAGGTCTGGGCGTGGTGGCTTATGCCTGTAATCCCAGCACTTTGGGAGGCCGAGGCAGGAGGATCACTCGAGCCTAGGAGTTCACAACCAGCCTGGGAAACATAGTAACACCTCATCTCTACTACAAAATTTTAAAAATTAGCCAGACATACTGGTGCACTCCTGTAGTCTCAGCTACTCAGGAGGCTGAGGTGGGAGGATTGCTTGAGCCCAGGTGGTCTAGGCTGGAGTGAGCCATAATTGTGCCACTGCACTCCAGCCTGAATGACAGAACAAGGCCCTACCTAAAAAAAAAAAAAAAAAAAAAGCAAAGTAAAACCTCCCGTGAAAAAAGCAAGAGCCAGAATGGGCTAGTTCTTGGGCTGCTCCTTCCCTGGTAGCTTAAATTAAGGAGAGAGGCTCTCAAGGAAGGACAAAGAAAGGGCTTGATGCATGGGAAATCACAATTTTGAAAATAATAGCTATCACTTATTCTCCCATGTGGCTTTCACAGGTTACCTAATTTCTCTATGCCTTGGTTTGCTTCTCTATAAAATGGAGATGATAATAACATCTACAATGCAAGTTTGTTGTGATGGTTAAATTAATTAATACATACATTTAAGCTCATAGAACACCACCTGGCACAGAATAAATGCTTAATAAAAATGGTAGTCATGCCAGGTTTGTGCTTTACATACATTATTTCTAATCTCACAACTACCCTGCCAGAGAGAAAACATCAATCTCCTCTTCACAGGTGTGGAAACTCATTCAGAGGGTAAATGACACTTGCAGCCAAATGAGTTAGTAATGTTGGTGAAGAAGTTAAGTCTTGGGACTTGGAATTGACATCCCGGTTTCAGGTCTCAGCCACTTAACAATGGGTTAACGCCAACAAGTTCCTTAACCTTACCAAGGCTTGCCAAGTTTATGTTCCTAATGGAACAAGAACATCAACCTCTTAGAGTTTAGGGGAGAATTAAATAACACATTATATAGAAAGCACCTACCAAACTTAGGAGAGGCAAAAATCCATCTCCATTTTCTTAAGATCCCACCTGGACTCAAGAATTAAATTGACATATGATAGATTAATAGGAGAAAAGTACACAAATTTAGTTAATACAAGTTTTACATGACACAAGATCCCTCATAAGGAACAGAAACTCAAAGAAGCAGTTAGGGTCAGTCACTTATACACTGAATTGGACAAAAAATAGGAAGTTGTGAAATGTGATAAGGCAAAGGGGCTGCGCTGGGTGATTAATTGGGTACAGAAATGACTAAGGTGATAAGGTTTGTTTGTATAGACTTCTCTCGGCTTCAGCTTCCCATCCTTAATAAGAATATTATTTTTCTTTCGGTATAAGGAGGACATCTTTCACATGGGCATTTCATTTCCTGCCTTTGATAAAGACAATAAAGGTCAAAATAAAGAAGGATCTTCTTGCACCTGCTGGGTTCTTTTTTTACATGCCTTTAATTTAAAATATGCCAGAACAGTGAATTTTGGGCGGCATATTCTTAACTCCTTCACAAATAAAGATCCTTATTTTTTCTCCTACACAAAAAAAAGGATAGTGGATTTGGTCAAGCGAGAGTGAGGTTCCTGGTAGGGATAAAGTGTGAGTGGGTTTATTATTCAATGATGATGAACAACTTACACAAGAGAAATGGCAGATTCCAGTGGCTGTAGGTAATTTAGTATTTTGGCTTTAGGTGTGTTTCTTGTCTGAGTGAAAGGCATTGCCTCCCATTCTTGGTGCACAGAGTAGCATGTCTGAGTCTCCTAGAGCATGGCTTAGCCCTACTTCCACCTGCTTCTTTCCAGATATGAATGACAACATCAGTAAGTGCTGCTACATCACCTGGAGGATCCCATGCAAGTATGTGATACATTATTATCTGTCTAATTCATGAAGTGTGTCCCAAACCCACCACCCTGTGAGTTTCACTCCATTAATCAGACTCAGTGGGATGGAGACTGTTGAGAGAAGCACCAACCGTCAGAGCACCTGCCAGGTGTTGCAGACACAGGGAGAGGCAGTAGAGGGCCAGCCTGGGGGCTTTCTGGCCTGGGCTGGAGTCTTCCAGGTGGAAGCAGTTCCCAGTAAATGGAGCAGCATGGTGGGGAAGGGAAGGAGAAGGCTGAAAGGAGGCTGCTAGAAGTGGGGTGGGGTGGACTTGGGAGTCCAAGTGAATGGAATCAGTGCTGCATTGCCCAATAGGCAACCGGCAGGTGCTTAGGAAATCAACAAATAATGCTTTTGAAAGAATACAATATTTGCAACTTCATGCATGTACACAGTGATCAAAGTGGCTATTATTTAAAAAAATCAAAAGTCCCTTATACAGTCTTATCATTACTTTTCAGTTAGTATTGGGTATTTGAAATTACATGCTGAAACACAGAATAACCTTTTTAGAGCCTAGGACCACTCAGGTCTTGCTCTGACCCTGGTTGGAGCTCATCCTTCGGGAAGGAGACAAAAGCCCCCAAATTTACCAGAGAATGGAAGAAAGATGGGATGATCCCTCCTCAGCTTTTGCATTCCTCCATTTTTGATCCTTCTACCCCTTGACTCATAATTTAGACACAAGTAAATGTCTCGCCTGCTTGGGTTTGAGGTAAACGTTAGTTCAGGGTTAATTGGATGAGCTGAAACACTCTGAGCATGGAGAGAAAGGATCTAGTCATGGCCAACCACTAATCCCACAGCCCCCGCCACTGCATGGTAGCTGTCCTGCCCTGAGATTAATCCCCAATGACAGTTTTTTCCTGATCTCCTCCACTGTGCTGAATTCCATTCTATTCTGAAGCTTGGCTCTGACACCCTCTTTGGGGTATGTGGAGGCTCAGGGACCCAGTGAGCTGTTGGTAGCAATATTAGACATTGACTTGTGAACATGTTACTTGAGCTTTGGAGAAAGTAAAGAAGGATATTGGAAGAAAGCTGTATTGGACCCAGCTGGATCACTGGACTCCAGCAAGTCAGGCTGGAGAGGAGGGAGTTGGCACGTGAAGCAAAAAGCTTAGAAGGACCCATGAGGTGGGGACTAGGGCCCCTATATATGGACTTTGGGTGGCCTTGAAATAATATGCAGCATATTAGATATAGATCTGCTCCTTGAAAGTTAGATTGTATGGCCAAACCCCAAACCCAAATATGGATTTCTTACTTCTAGGCATTTGTCTCTCATGGTTCTTTCTATCCATGGAGTTTGCAAACTCCACTTTCTCTTCTGCTTTCTCTCTCCTGCTTTCTCTGTCTGCTTTTCAAGATTTCTGTCAAATGCTACATCTTCTCCGATCCTCCCAGACCAAAGTGGCCCATCTCCACCTCCTCTGACACACCACAGCCTATGACACCCTCATTCCACATTTATTGGGCACTGCTCCCAGTGCCAGATACTGGGGTAACCTAGACATGTACCATCCCAGCCCTCAGGAGCTTACATTCTAGGGGGTGGAATGGGAAAGGGGGAAATGATCCTCAAGCGAACAAGTATACAAAGTAATTTCCAATGGTAACCAATGCTTTGAAAGACCTAAAACAGGCTATGGTGTGTGGGTTCTTTAGGAAAGGTCAGAGGAGGCCTCTCTAAGAAGGTGACAATTAATCTGAGCCCTACAAGATGAGGAAGATTCAGCCATAAAACAAGCCAGAGGTAGGAAAGCATCCAGGCAGAGAAACCAGAAAAGGCAAAGGCCCTGGGGTGGTTGTGTTTGCCTAATGAAAAGAAGGCCAGTGGGACTGGAAGTTCAGAGAGAACAGTAGACCTGTCAGAGCCTTGTAAGCCAAAGGTTGTCAGTAGATGGGCATGGCCTGATTTGGGTTTTAGAAAGAGTACTCTGGCTTCAGGACAGAGAACGGGTTTGAGGGGAGCAAGAAGGGAAGCAGGGGGACCAATTAGGAGACCATTGCAATAGTCCAGGTAAAAGACTGAACTAAGGCAGGGGCACTGAGAATGGAGAGGAGGCAACAGATTGCAGATATTCTTTAGAAAGACCAACTTATTGATGGACGCATGAGTGCAGGGGGCAGAGGGATGCTGCTCACTTGTCCTCTGTCCCTCATTGCCTGGTATGGCAGACACTCAGGGCTATTTTGTAAATTTCAATCCCAACTACAGTTAACCCAGTGGCAGAGCCTGTGCAGTATTCCTTTCCATGTGTCCAGGCAGTCACCATATTCTTTCCAGCTCCCTGGGTTGCCTCATCTCTAACAGGGTCCTGCTCCCTCAAATCCTGCCTGGCTGCCAAGAGAGAAGTATAGATCATAAAATTCAACCTCATCCCTCCTCTCCAAATCCTGAGGCTTGGCTTTTACTCTATGGCTTTGTGAAAAGCAGAAGCAATAATCCAACCACATGTCTTCTTAACAAGGAAATATTTTACTTTTAAATGGAAGGGCGCAGTTATTAAAGGGTCAAAGACCAACTCAAGGCAGGGATGGGCTGGGTAAGTTAGGGACTCTATTCTTTGAATCTTCAGAGGCCCAAATACAGGAAATGTCAGGGCAAAGAAAAGAAGAGGAAAGAAAAGGTTGGTAGGAATTTGACAGGTCTGTTTGTGACTGCTTAAGATGATGCTAAGGCCTTTTTGGGAATAATATTTAAAATTCTAAGGAAATTGAACACTTAAACAAAGGATTTTTAGCAAAGCAATTTTACTTTTGCGCAGAGGGGTGTTTCTCCTTGGCCAGTCGCCATGGGAGCACACTTGAATAAAGGGGCATGAAAGCCTTTATTTCTGACGCAAGTCTTGCTTTTGTATTTTTTTTTTTCATTGGCCAGGATTGGGTTGTACGCTTTAAACTAATTCTGTTTGGCTAAATATTTGAACTTTTTTGTTTCAGATAAGGTGGGCATGTAAGAGAGAGAGGGGAAAGGGGAAGGGGTGTCTGTAATGAGCTAGAGAGTTAGTCTTTTTTTTTTTAATAAGGAAAGGAATGTGAGCTGGTACTGCTAACACCTGGTATTGTGGCGTGTCTGGGCATGTAACAAAGGCAGAAAGGAAGAAAAAAAGACAAAAAGGAAAAAGGGGTGGGGAGGTACTATTAAAGAATAAAGGATTGATTAGGCTATTTGAAGAGAAACTTCATCATATCTTATAGCCTGAAGCTGACCTGGCCATGCTTTAAAGGAAATGAACCCAAAGAAGGGCTTTGGATTTAAAGGAAATGAACCCAGAGAAGCCTCGAAGGGGGCTTCTCTTTCCAGTGCATTCCCAGGAGCAGCCCTAGATGAGGCCACTGCAGACCACCGCTAAGCTTTTGGCATGAGTCTCACACTCCCAGGAAGAGAGGCAGATGCCTCATGATAGGCATAAATCAACAGCCCCTGCGTATGTGTCACTGATAGCTTGAACGAGGACAACTTTGGGGGGAAACTATATAGCAGCTTTCATTTTGGTCTCCCGTTGTGTCTTTAATTTTGAGGGCTGGTTCTTCCTCTGCCCCTGTATAAAACTCAAGGCAGGACCCATGATTTTTCTAGTTGCTCTCAACTAATACCAACCAGTCCCTGATATG
Organism: Homo sapiens; assembly: GCF_000001405.40. Classification (NCBI taxonomy): domain Eukaryota; kingdom Metazoa; phylum Chordata; class Mammalia; order Primates; family Hominidae; genus Homo; species Homo sapiens. The sequence goes on along the minus strand of NT_187614.1, from coordinate 264,600 downwards.
TGCTAGTACCTCCTGCCTCAAGACTTTTGCACAAACTACTTCCCTTACCTTTGTCTCCCTTTTCCTCACTTGTCAACTTAGCAAACATTGCTCATTTTATAATTCTCAGCTTAAATGCTACTTTCTCAGAGAGGCATTCTCTGGGCCCCCAATATATTCTTTTCCATGGTGTTGCTTATCACAGTGTATAAGTACATGTTTATTTGTGTGATTATTTAATTTTGTCTCCAGGAGGAAAGGAACATAATCTTTTTGGCTCTTTGTGTGATACTCTTGGTGCTGAGCAGAATGCCCAGCACGTGGTAGATGCTCAGTAAATTTATATTAAATGGATGGACGGATGGATGGATGGATGGATGGATGGATGGATGGACAGATGGATGGATGAGAGGTGGATGGGTGGATGAACAGATGGACAGAGGGACAGATGGATGGATGGATGGATGGGAGATGGATGGATGGATGGACAGATGTATGGATAGATGGATGGACATATTGATGAATGGACAGATGGATGGGTGGATATTCTAACAGGAAGCTCCCATTGATTTTACCTTTTTCCTCAAGTTCCAATATGGCTCGGCACAGCACTGTTACCGATCCTGTCTTTATTTAAGTGTTTTTGTGTTTTGTTCATTGTGATTTTTTCAGTAGTAATTTTGATTTTTTAAATAGTTCACTAAAATATTACTTATTTTTACTACTGAACTTTTTGGTGTCCCCTTGGGTTTTCAACACAAGCGCAAGGCTAGTGCCTCATTTACCACCATCTGGTCCTGACCTGCCCATAGTAAGCACTTAATAAATGATAATGATTGTTAAAATAATCACTGTTGTAATAAGAAGAGCAAGATATAATAAGACAATCACAGGCTTTAGAGTCAGGCAAACTTGGGCTCCAACCACTGACCTTGGGGAACTTGGGTTCCAACTGCTGACCTCAGGGGTGAAAAAAGCTAGCAGGGCCTGAAAAGAGGAGGAAGGCTGGGTACTTCCCAAGGGAGAGGAAGACTTCTGGACACCTATCAGGTGTGCAGACACAGAGAGAAGCTGAGCACCTTTTGGCCTGGGCTGAGCCTTCAAAGAGATGGAGGAGGTGGTCCCAGTGGGTAGAGAGGGGCCAAGTCTGGGACAAAGAAGAAGAAAGAGGGAACTGCCTGAAAGGATCGCATGAATCACCGTGGAGGACACTGGCTCAGGTGTGTATAGGGTCCTGGGGAATAGGGAGCAACCCCTCGGAAAGGAGACTTGCCCAAAGCCAGAAGTCTCCAGGATTCCATGGGGAAGGTAGGAATTTGTACAGAGTCTCAACTCCTCAGCCTCTTGTGCCTCATCTTCATCATCCAAAGGGTGCAGTACATTAGTGACAACTCCACAGTGCCTGAAGCCATGACTACACAAGACCCAGTGAAAAATGAAAGTGTTAGGCCCCTTGTTAAAAAACTACTAACTCCTAAACAACAACGGCAGCAGAGCCTGAAACCAAGAGCAAGGACCTGTGTAACTGCACAGGTCACACGCCCATGATGCCAGCCGTGATCTAGAGCTCACAGCACAGTCGCCACACTGCAGTTGAGGTATCCCAGTTCAGGATGCAGCAGGAGCAGAGCCCAAGGCTCCTACCCCATCCTCTCACCTCTGCCAGCCCTTGGGAATTTCTCTGCCCAGGATTTAATCCCAGGCCCACTTTCTCTCAGCTCTCACTCATTGTGCCAAATTATGACTCCCAGCCCTCTGGGGGCCCAAGGAAGCCATAGGCTCCAGGTCTCAGTGTAGATTTGGTATCAGAGCCTTGGAGAAAACACCAAGGGCTGTTCCATGAAAATTGTGCTGGACACAGCAAGAACTTGAGCGGTTTCTTTGGGCCCTGACAGTTGGGACCTCAGAACTGAAGGAGAGGAGAGTCAGAACCATGAGCACGAAGCCAGAAAGAGCCCAGGAGTGGGGAATGAAAGATTCTTTATACTTTGAGTCTTATGTGACAGAAAGCTCTCTCAAAATTTCCTCGAGCAAAACCAGAAATAGTTTATTAGCTCATAAATTCAGAGTGGATGGCAGGCGTACAGCTCAGGGAAAACCAGCCCCAGGGCATGCAGTTCCACAGGATCCTGGTATCAATGGCATTGCTCTTCTGAAGGCAGACCACAGGACCTCCACTTCCTGAAGGAGCTGCTGCTTTTCTGTCATTAGAATCTGAAAAATCCCTGGGAAGGACCCCAGTTGTCTGACTGGGGAGGTAGGTGCACATCTATTGCAAAGGAGGAGGTACTGTGATGGGCAAGAGCCTCACAGAACCTAATAGCTACATGGGCAGTTCCTCCAAGAAGAGGGCATCTTTCCAGAAGAAAGGAAGGTGCTGAAAAAAACAAACACATGCCCCCTACTTTACTTAAAAAGAAAATACTTGATCACAGAACTTGTCTTAAAGTATTGATAGCCATGCTAAATGTTAATCGTACCCTTGAGCATTTATCCTGGAGAATGAAGACTTACATTCACATAAACAAAGCAGTACATGAATGTTTATTGCAGCATTATTTATAATAGCCCAAAACTGGAAACACCCAGATGTCCTTCAGTGGATAAATGATTAAACAAACTGTGGTTCAACCATATCATGGAATACTATTCAGCAATAAAAAGAATGAACTATTGGCACATGCAACAACCTGAATGAATCTCCAGAGAATTCAGCTGAGTGAATAAAGCCAATCCCAAGAGGTGACATACCATATGATTCCATTTACATAACATTCATAAAATGACAAGATTATAAACATGGAGAACAGATTCGTGGTTGCCAAGAATTGAGGAAGGGGTGGGATGGGTGGGAGGGAGATAAGTGTAGCTATACAAGGGTTACATGAGGGAGCCTTGTGGTGAAGGAACTTTTCTGTATATTGATGATATCAATGTCAATATCCTCTACTATATTGTACTATCGTTTTGCAACATGTCACTTTTGGGAGAAACTGGTGTCAAAGTCAAACAAAATATAGAGATGAATCTCTAAATTTAAAATGTCTTATTTGGGACGCAAGAATTACAATTCAAGACATACATACTGTCTGGGTAGTCTTTAGTATGTCCAAAGACCAAAGAGTAAGCTAGAGGTTTTATTAAAAAGAGAAAAGTTACATATTGTTTTGCAAGAAAGTTCATTGGCACTAGTAAAGTTTTAGGAAACTGGCAAGTTGTGATTGGTGAGTGATAGCAGTGGGTAAGACTAGTCTTAGAACCACAGCAGGTTGTTTCAGTAACTATTAGATAAAATGGGTTTCAGGATAGCACAGGCTGAAACTTCAGCAGCCAGGCTTGCAGAGGACTACATTCTTGGAGCAATGTTATATGTCCCAGACAGGCTTGCATGCAGAGATTTACATTATTAGACCAGTGTTGGTTTTTTGTTTTTGTTTTTGTTTTTTTTTTTTTGAGACAGTCTCGCTCTGTCGCTCAGGCTGGAGTGCAGTGGCGTGATCTCGGCTCACTGCAACCTCCGCCTCCCAGATTCAAGCAGTTCTCCTGCCTCAGCCTCCTGAGTAGCTGGGATTACAGGTACCCGCCACCATGCCCAGCTAATTTTTGTATTTTTAGTAGAGACGGGGTTTCACCATGTCTATTGGGCTGGTCTGAAATTCCTGACCTCGTGATCCACCCTCCTTGGCCTCCCAAAGTGCTGGGATTACAGGCGTGGGCCACTGTGCCCGGCCTAGACCAATGTTATATGCCCTCAGTGTTTTCTCCCCCTGGCATCTCAACTCTGTTTTAGTTGGGTATGACAAGAATGACCCAATTGTATGGTCAACTTTTACACTGTGTAAAGAGTACACTACCCAGGATCTCTCTGTATTATTTCTTACAATTGCATGTGAATCTACAATTACCTCAAAATAAAAAAGTCCAATTTAAAAACATTAATGATCATGCTTATGTGTACATTATTTGTATACTATAGACACATCCAAAATGTGCCTCAATTTGATCATGTCCATGCCTTTGTCTTAAATAGTGAGGTCTAGTATTAGAGAGACCTTGGTTCAAATGCCAGCTTTGCCCTTTACTACCCATGTGGGCATATAGCAAATATTAGCAAATTACTCTATTGCTGTATGTCTCCATAGCCTCATCTGGAAAAAGAGCTAATGACTGTGCCTATTTCACAAGATTGTAGTTAAGATTTAATTATATAATAATTGTAAAACATAAAACAGTAAGTAGCCCATATCTCATTGCAACTATTTACTATCCTTATTGGCAGTTACAGCTGACTAGGATCTTCTTCCTCCCTTCCCTGCCTTTTGAAGCAGTATACAGTCTCTGTCCTATTTCTGAGACCTGCATCAAATGCTATCCCTTTCAGAAATGTTTCTCTTCATCCCAGTCCAAAGGGATGCATCTGGACCTCCCTTGAAATCTCCAATGGGCACAAAGGCTCCACAGCTCTGGATGGCAGAAACTTCCTCAATCCTCTATCTCTACCCTAACTAGAATAAAGCATCTTTACTAAGATTTATGTAGTCCTTCTCTAACAAGTACCTAGTTTAATTAAAAGCAACAAGCCTCAGCCGGGCACAGTGGCTCACACCTGTTATCCTAGCACTTTGGGAGGTGGAGGTGGGAGGATCACTTCAGCCCAGGAGTTCAAAACCAGCCGGGGGCAACATAGCAGGACCCCATTTCTAAAAAAAAAAATTTTTAAGTTAGCCAAGCATGGTGGTGCATGCCTGCAGTACGGGCCACTTGGGAGGCTAAGGTGGGAGGACCACTTGAGCCTGGGAGGTCAAGGCTGCAGTGAGCCGTGATTGTGCCACTGCACTCCACCCTGGTGAACAAAGGAAGAACCTGTTTCAAAAAAATTTTAAAAATAAAGCAACAAGCCTCCTCTTGAATAAGGAACTATTACTTTTGCGTTCAGCAAATTTATAAAAAAGATAAATCTATCCTTATGGCCCAAAAGGAGGATTATCAGTTAGCTTTTGCTACATCATAAATCACCACAAAATGTAGTGACTTAAAACAGCAAACAGCTATTCTCACAATTCTGTAGGTTGGAGGGGTAGTTCTCCCGGTCTGAGCCAGCTCAGCCAGGGTTTGAAGGCCTAGGATAACCTCTCAGCTGGGACAGCTGGGATGTCTGGGGACCTTTCTCTCCTTGTGGTCTCTCCTCCTTTGGTAGGCTAGCATAGGCTGGCACATGCGGTGGTATAAAAGTTCTCAGCAGTGAAATATTAATAATGCAAGTATCAATGCACCAGCACTTTTCCGGCCTCTGTTTTCATCACATTTTCTATTGTCTCATTGTCCAAAGACAGTCACATAGCAAAGACCAGATTCAGTAGGCGAAGGGACTTCCCAAGGGTAGGCACACTGGGTGGTAGGAATTACTGCACCCATTTTTGCAAACAGTCTATCAAAGGAAGGAATTAGTTAAATATTTAAACCAAGATCTAATTTCAGATAACCAGTGTGAGTTAGGAGAAACATTTGGCGCAAAACTGAAACCAATTCATTTGACTTGGTATCACCAAATACACATACAGTGGCTGGTATACAGGAATGGTCAGAAGATATTTAAGGGACTCCATCTCTGTGCAACCCTAGAGCAGTTTCAATTGCATGGCATAGCGCAGACTTTAGCTACAGGCCTCTTTAAGGAGACATTGTTTGGATTGGTTTTGTTTCTCTAAAAAGGACCTGGGCCCAGTCTTACACAAGAAACAAGAAGATGAGTTGGCAGGCTCTGTTATTCCCCTTATCACTTAAGAAGAAAGTTTTTCTCGTGTAATAGGCCATTTAAGATCATGCACAAGGATTCCCAGGCAAGATGCCTGAATAGGAACAGCTCTGGTCTGCAGCTCCCAGTGAGACCAACCCAGAAGGCAGGTGATTTCTGCATTTCCAACTGAGGTACCCAGTTCAGCTCATTGGGACTGGTTGGACGGTGGGTGTAGCCCATGGAGGGTGAGCAGGAGCAGGGTGGGGCATTGCCTCACCCTGGAAGCACAACACAGTCTTACAAGCCTACTCTGGACCAAGCGGCTGACCCCTTCTTCCAACCCCCTTCTCACTATCTCTTTTGCCTAATAAAGATGGAGGGCTATGTAAAGCTCAGGGCCCTTGTCCACTAGAGGCAAAGTGGCCCCTGACTAAATATATTCTTTTGTCTCTTGTCTTTTATTCCCACGTTCACCCCCTTTGTTCAGTCCCCCTAGGTCTGTATAAATTACACAAGGGGTCAGGGAACTCCCTCCCCTAGCCAAGGGAAGCCATGAGGGACTGTGCTGTGAGGGACAGTGCTATCCGGCCCAGATACTATGCTTTTCCCATGGTCTTCGCAACCCACAGACCAGGAGATTCTCACGGGTGCCTACACCACCAGGGCCCTGGGTTTCAAGCACAAAACTGGGCGGCCATTTGGGTAGACACTGAGCAAGCTGCAGGAGTCTTTTTGTACCCCAGTGGCACCTGGAACACCAGCAAGACAGAACAGTTCGCTCCCCTAGAAAGGAGGCTGAAGCCAAAGAGCCAAGTGGTCTTGCTCAGCAAATCCCACACCCACTGAGCCCAACAAGCTAAGATCCACTGGCTTGAAATTCTCGCTGCCAGCACAGCAGTCTGAAGTCTACCTGGGACATGCAAGCTTGATGGGGGGAGGGGTGCCCACCATTACTGAGGCTTGAGTAGGCAGTTTCCCCTCACAGTGTAAACAAAGCCACCTGGAAGTTCGAACTGGATGCAGAACCCACCTCAGTGCGGCAAAGCCGCTGCAGTCAGACTGCCTCTCTAGATTCCTCCTCTCTGGGCAGGGCGTTTCTGAAAAAAAGGCAGCAGCCACAGTCAGGGACTTACAGATAAAAGTCCCATCTCCCTAGGACAGAGCACCTGGGGGAAGGGGTGGCTGTGGGCGCAGCTTCAGCAAACTTAAACATTCCTGCCTGCCAGCTCTGAAGAGAGCAGCAGATCTCCCAGCACAGCACTCAAGCTCTGCTAAGGGACAGACTGCCTCCTCAAGTGGGTCCCTGCCCCCATGCCTCCTGACTGGAAGACACCTCCTAGCAGGGGTCAACAGACACCTCATACAGGAGAGCTCCGGCTGGCATCTGGCGGGTACCCCTCTTGGATGAAGCTTTCAGAGGAGGGAGCAGGCAGCAATCTTTGCTGTTCTGCAGCCTCCATCAGTGATACCCAGGCAAACAGAGTCTGGAGGGGACCTAAAGCAAACTCCAGCAGACCTGCAGAAGAATGGCCTGACTGTTAGAAGGAAAACTAACAAACAGAAAGCAATAGCATCAACATCAACAAAAAAGATGCCCACACAAAAACCCCATCTGAAGGTCACCAACGTCAAAGACCAAAGGTAGATAAATCCACGAAAATGAAGGAAAACCTTTGCAAAAAGGCTGAAAATTCCAAAAACCAGAATGCCTCTTCTCCTCCAAAGGATCACAACTCCTCGCCAGCAAGGGAACAAAACTGGATGGAGAATGAGTTTGATGAATCGACAGAAGTAGGCTTCAGAAGGTGGGTACTAACAAACTCCTCCAAGCTAAAGGAGCATGTTGTAACCCAATGCAAGGAAGCTAAGAACCTTGATAAAAGGTTACAGGAACTGCTAACTAGAATAGCCAGTTTAGAGAAGAGCATAAATGATCTGATAGAGCTGAAAAACACAGCACGAGAACTTCGTGAAGCATACACAAGTATCAATAGCCGAATTGATCAAGCAGAAGAAAGGATATCAGAGACTGAAGATCACCTTAATGAAATAAAGCATGAAGACAAGATTAGAGAAAAAAGAATGAAAAGGAATGAACAAAGCCTCCAAGAAATATGGGACTATGTGAAAAGACCAAACCTACATTTGATTTGTGTACCTGAAAGTGACGGGGAGAATGGAACCAAGTTGGAAAATACACTTCAGGAAGCCAGGAGAACTTCCCCAACCTAGCAAGACAGGCCAACATTCAAATTCAGGAAATACAGAGAACACCACAAAGATACTCCTCGAGAAGAGCAACCCCAAGACACAAAATCATCAGATTCTCCAAGGTTGAAATGGAAGAAAAAAATGTTAAGGGAAGCCAGAGAGAAAGGTCTGGTTACCCACAAAGGGAAGCCCATCAGACTAACAGTGGATCTCTCTGAAGAAACCCTACAAGCCAGAAGAGAGTGGGGGCCAATTCAACATTCTTAAAGAAAAGAATTTTCAACCCAGAATTTCATATCCAGCCAAACTAAGCTTCATAAGTGAAGGAGAAATAAAATCCTTTACAGACAAGAGAGCCTGCCTTACAAGAGGTCCCGAAGGAAGCACTAAATATGGAAAGGAAAAACCTGTACCAGTCACTGCAGAAACATACCAAAATGTAAAGATGATTGACACTATGAAGAAACTGCATCAATGAATGGGCAAAATAACCAGCTAACAACATAATGACAGAATCAAATTCACACATAACAATATTAGCCTTAAATGTAAACAGGCTAAATGCCCCAATTAAAAGACACAGACTGGCAAATTGGATAAAAGAGTCAAGACCCATCAGTGTGCTGTATTCAGGAGATCCATCTCACGTGCAAAGACACACATAGGCTCAAAATAAAGGGATGGAGGGATACTTACCAAGCAAATAGAAAGCAAAGAAAAGCAGGGGTTGCAATCCTAGTCTCTGATAAATAGACTTTAAACCAACAAAGATAAAAAATGACAAAGAAAGACATTACATAATGGTAAAGGGATCACTGCAACAAGAAGAGCTAACTATCCTAAATATATATGCACCCAAAACAGGAGCACCCAGATTTATAAAGCAAGTTCTTAGAGACCTACAAAGAGACATAGACTCCCACACAATAATAGTGGAAGACTTAAACACCTCACTGTCAATATTAGACAGATCAACTTGACAGAAAATTAATAAGGATATTAAGGACTTGAACTCAGCTCTGGGCCAAGCGGACCTAATAAATATCTACAGAACTCTCCACCCTGACAGAATATACATTCTTCTCAGCACCACATAGCACTTATTCTAAAATAGAACACATAATTGGAAGTAAAACACTCCTCAGCAAGTGCAAAAGAACAGAAATCATAACAGTCTCTCAGACCACAGTGCAATCAAATTAGAACTCAGGATTAAGAAACTCACTCAAAACTGCACAACTACATGGAAACTGAACAACCTGCTCCTGAATGACTACTGGGTAAACAACAAAGTTAAGGCAGAAATAAATAAGTTCTTTGAAACCAATGGGAACAAAGACACAACGTACCAGAATCTCTGGGACACGGCAAAAGTAGTGTTTAGAGGGAAATTTATAGCACTAAATGTCCACATTAGAAAGTGGGAAAGATCCAAAATTGACACCCTAACATCACAATTAAAAGAACTAGAGAAGCAAGAGCAAACAAATTCGAAAGCTAACAGAAGACAAGAAATAACTAAGATCAGAGCAGAACTGAAGGAGATAGAGACACAAAAAACCCTGCAAAAAATCAATGAATCCAGGTGCTGGTTTTTTGAAAAGATTAACAAAATAGATAGACTGCTAGCCAGACTAATAAAAAAGAAAAGAGAGAAGAATCAAATAGACACAATAAAAAATGATAAAGGGGATATCACCACTGATCCCACAGAAATACAAACTGCCATCAGAGAATACGATAAACACCTCTATGCAAATAAACCAGAAAATCTAGAAGAAATGGATAAATTCCTAGACACATACACCCTCCCAAGACTAAACCAGGAAGAAGTTGAATCCCTGAATAGACCAATAACGAGTTCTGAAATTGAGGCAGTAATTGATAGCCTACCAACCAAAAAAAGCACAGGACCAGATGGATTCACAGCCGAATTCTACCAGAGGTACAAAGAGGAGCTGGTACCATTCCTTCTGAAATTATTCCAATCAACAGAAAAAGAGGGACTCCTCCCTAACTCATTTTATGAGGCCAGCATCATCCTGATACCAAAACCTGGCAAAGACAAAACAACAACAACAACAAAGGAAATTTCTGGCCAATATCCCTGATGAACATCATTGCAAAAATCCTCAATAAAATACTGGCAAACCAAATCCAGCAGCACATTAAAAAGCTTATCCATGGCTTCATCCCTGGGATGCAAGGCTGATTCAACATATGCAAGTCAATAAATGTAATCCATCACATAAACAGAACCAATGACAAAAACCACATGATTATCTCAATAGATGCAGAAAAGGTCTTCGATAAAATTCAACAACACTTCATGCTAAAAACACTCAATAAACTAGCATTGATGGAACATATCTCAAAATAATAAGAGCTGTTTATGACAAACCCACAGCCAAAATCATACTGAATGAGCAAAAGCTGAAAGCAATCCCTGTCAAGAAATGACAATATGTTGTGTAATCAACATACTGATTGGTGAATATTGTGAAATCTATTCCTTATATTCTTTCACTAAAAAAATATGCATCTAATACTGTGTCAGGCTCCTCTGTACACCACTTCCATTCTATCAGCTTTATCTCTGACTCTAGCCACCACTACAGCAGCCAGTTGCACCCAGGCTCTGCCCAGCTCAAGACGGTATAATCTGACAGCACCTCACCTTGTCCATCATGCACACCCCACTTTTCCTGCACCGGGGATTCTCTGATGCTGAGGTATAAGAAGGATCAGCTCATTACTCAGGCACGTACAACCTGGAAGTCTGGACAAGTAGTTCCTACCACACCTGAGTTTATGTCAATGAAGTGACTTTTGGAAAGCCTTAGGGATGAGAACTGGTTGCCATGGGAGCCAACCATGAGAGGATTGGAAATTTCAGCCTCTACCCCTAAACTCCAGGGAGGGGAGAGAGGCTGGAGATTGATCTGATCACTAATGGTTAATGATTTAATCAATCATGCTTATGTAATAAATCTTCCATAAAAACCTAACAGAATGGGGTTTAGAGAGTTTCCAGGTTGGTGAACTTGGAACAGTGTTCAGTGGAGGCACTGAGAGGATGGTACACCTGGAGAGGACACAGAAGCTCCAAACTCACTCCCCATGCCTTTCCCTATGCATCTCATTGACCTGGCTGTTCCTGAGTTGTATGCTTTATAATATAACCCTGTAAGTAAACTGTTCTTCTGAGTTCTGAGAGCTACTTTAGTAATTATGGAATCTGAGGAGGGGGTCTTGGGAAATTCTGATGTGTAGCCAAGTCAAACAGAAGTTGTGGGTAACCTGGGGACCCACTATTTGAGATTGGCATCTGAAGTGTTGCCAGCCTCACGGGACCGAGCCCTTAACCTGTGTGGTCTATGCTAACACCAGGTAGTCTCAGAAGTGAAGCATTGAGAATAGTAGTAGAGAATAAATGGGAGTTTTCTTTTGAAGGAATAATAAGATTCTGGCTATATTTTTGGAAGTAGGGCCAAAAATACTTATTAATGAATTAGATATGGGGTATGAGATAAACAGAGGAGTCAAGGATATCTCCAGACACTGGACGAGGACTATTCCTTTCCCAGAGACTAAGCGCAGGGCTGAGAAGGAAGGCAGGCTACCCCAACAAGGCGACATTTTAGCTCCCATGTGCTCATCCTTGCCCTACACTCTCCCCATTATATTCTAGAGTAGCTCAGCTTATGCTAGACAATCATGCTGTGTGAGTACACATCATGGGCTGTACATTACGGGATGTCGTATGAGCTGTGTTTACCAGCAGAGATCACAGCTCTACAAGTTGAAGTGTTCTCTCTGGTGGTCCCCATGTGTACAGGCTATTTGAGCATCTGAAGGTGGTTAGCTCCTGAGGAAAAAAAACTCCACTGTTTAGAGGATGAATGAATCTCCCAGAGGGAAGGATCCATCATAAAGTATTTGCTCTCTCTGCCTGTACTTATTGGAACAACTCGGGAAGTCCACAAGGACAGTCCAAGTCATCTTTGTCGTCTACTTCCTATTGCATTCTCAGCCTTGTTTCCTTTTTAGAAAGAGCCTGTTAACTATCATAAGTCAAAAAACAGCATTCTGACCTCTGCCCTGTAACTTCCTCTTCTTCTTATAAATACAAGGGCAGAACTGGCATCCCGAGAAGCCAGGAAGCAGTGAGCCCAGGAGTCCTCGGCCAGCCCTGCCTGCCCACCAGGAGGATGAAGGTCTCCGTGGCTGCCCTCTCCTGCCTCATGCTTGTTACTGCCCTTGGATCCCAGGCCCGGGTCACAAAAGGTGAGTCCAGTGAGCTTTCTCTCAGATGACCAGGTTCATGGTAACTCAAGCTCTGTGGCAGAGACACATTGCCCTCCTGTAACTACTCTCCATCCCAGACGTGGTCATGGTACTCATTTAAAAGCAGCACCAGAGTATAGACCTGGTTCTGTCTGCAGGCTTTGGACCCTGGGAGGGGAATATACACATATGGCTGGTCCAATGTGGGGCCAATCATTTCCCTTTTCACAGCAAAAATTATTTGATACCTTCCCTTAGCAGACATAGGACTATTAAGTGCTAGATTAAAAGAAGTGTAGTAAAATTACAAATTTGTAGAAAGAAGCATAGAATTGTATGATGCTAAAACTGTTACATACCATCTAGTAGTATCTATCATATCATTTTGGAGAAGAAATGGAACAAGCCACACAAATGACTCAACCAAGGTCACCTAACCATCGTATTTTTTTGTTTAACAAATGCACTTCTAGTACTTCCTATGTACAGGGCAGGCACTGTTCTAAGTGTCTTACAGATATTAACACATCAGTTCCACCTAACAACCCTGTGGGATATGTATTAGATTTTAAAAAATGCAAATTTTTTACTTTTGTAGGGAAGAAACAAAACATCAATTTTTATATGGTTTTTCATATTATTATTATTGACATTTTACAAATGAGAAAACTGAGGCACAGAACCTTAGATAACTTGGTAGATCACACAACTATTAAGCGGTGGAATTAAAATATGAGCTAATTAGGAAGTAGTTATGGAACGACAAGGCCATTTAAGATCTTTTTTTTACCTTACCCAAACCATATTGAGCATATTAAAATATACCCACATGTCTCATTACATATAATTCATTTAATGTAACCATATAAGAAATAAGTTGAAAACACTGGAAAGCAATTGGGGGACTAATTCGGCAGCTGAATCGTTATTGCCAAGTCTTTATGTTTCAAAATGTTAAGTAAATATCAACTTTAAAGCCAGCTTTAAAATTATTAATAGTATATTTAATATAATTGTTAAATTATATTAAATGCATAGTCATTAAATTATATTAAAAGTATATTTAATATCCTTATTAAATTATATTTAAAGATATTTAATATAGTCATTAAATTATATTAAAAGTATATTTATTTTTAAATATATGAAAAGTACACATATATTATATTAAAAGACACATGCACATGTATCTTTATTGCAGCACTAATCACAATAGCAAAGACTTGAAACCAACCCAAATGCCCATCAATGATAGACTGGATAAAGACAATGTGGCACATATACACCATGGAATACTATGCAGCCATAAAAAGAAATGAATTCATGTCCTTTGCAGGGACATGGATAAAGCCGGAAACCATCATCCTCAGCAAACTAACACAGAAACAGAAAGCCAAACACCACATGTTCTCACTCGTAAGTGGGAGTTGAACACTGAGAATGCATGGACACAGGGAGGGGAACATCACACACTGGGGCCTATCGGGGAGTGGAGGGTAAAAGGAGGGAGAGCATTAGGACAAATACCTGGTGCATGCAGCAGCCCTAGATGATGGGTTGATAGGTACAGCAAACCACCATGGCACATGTATACCTATGTAATGAACCTGCGCGTTCAGCACAGGTATACCAGAACTTAAAGTCAAATAAAATTTAATTTAATTTAACTTTAAAAAAAGAAAAAGTCTATTTAATAGTTATTACATTATATTTAAAATATATTTAATAGTTATTAAATTATATTAAAAGTAAATATTTATTATATTTTATTTTATTTTGAGATGGAGTCTCATTCTGTGGCCCAGGCTGGAGTACAGTGGCACCATCTTGGCTCACTGCCACCTCTACCTCCTGGGTTCAAACGATTCTCCTGCCTCAGCCTCCCTAGTAGCTGCGATTACAGGCACATGCCACCATGCCTAGCTAATTTTTGTATCTTTTTTTTTTAGTAGAGACGGGATTTCAACATGTTGGCCAGGCTGGTCTCAAACTCCTGACCTCAAGTGATCCGCCCGCCTTGGCCTCCCAAAGTGCTGGGATTACAGGCGTGAGCCACCGCACCCGGCCAAATTTTAAGGCTAGCTTTATTCTGTGAGACAGTCAATTGTGGAAATAAACTAACTTTAAGGATTAAAATTTAAAAGAAAGGAAAAATGTTTAAAGCTTAGTTTCATTTGCCTAACAAGCATAAGGCAGCTCCACAATCCCATTTCCAAAGCACTTGGCGCTAGATGAATTTTGGAATGCAGAATTTCTCAGGTTTTAAAAAGTTAATATGATATGATGCAGCAATTCTATTTCTGGGTATATATCCAAAATAATTCAAAGCAGGTACATGAATTGATTTTTATACACCCATATTCATAGCAGCATTATTGATGACGGTAGCCAAAAAGTAGAAGCAAACTAAGTGCCCATCAAAAGGTTAGTAGATAAACAAAGTGTGGTTCATACATACAATGGAATCTATTTGGCCTCAAAAAGTAAGGAGATTCCCTTGAATGTTGAAGTAAGAAAAAATAAAAATTTAAGTAAGGAGATTCTGACACATGCTACAACATGGATAAACATCAAGGACATTATGCTAAGTGAAATAAACCAGTCACAAAAGGACAAATAGCGTATGATTCCACTCACATGAGGTACTTAGTCAAATCCACAGAGACACGACACAGATAGTGATTGTCAGGGATTAAGGGGAGGAAGCATGAGGAGTTGTTGTTTAATGAATACAGAGTTTCAGTTTCACAAAATGAATGAACGGCCGTGAAAACTGCATAGTTATTTGAGTGTATTTGATGCTATTGAACTGTATACTTAAAATAGTTCAAATGGCAAATTTTACGTTATATATATATATATAACCACGATTTAAAAATGATTTAGTAAAAAACTTAAACATATATTGATGGTACTTATCCCTGATGAGGCCTGGGAACAGTATTTTAATCAAACACAGCAACCTCCTGTAACAAACACATGAATATTTCTACTAACTGGGATAAATAATGACCATAATAGCTGCACTTCACTTAAAGGGATACTGTGCCACCATATGAGCTGATGAACACCTCTCTGTTTCCAGAGCCCTGTGGATTCCAGAAATGTGTAGAGAGACTTGTAGACTGTGTCACATCATGTAGACATTCCATTAACTGAACCATGTTAGATTTTGAGGTTTCTTTTAGTATTTCAGAGTCAACACGTGTTTTCATGTCTACATTTTCAAAAGGTCCCTGAAAAATCTCAGGGCCCTAAAGGAATAAATGGGCCAGGAGTCAGGCCTAGAGCCCAGACAGGTGGTGGTGGTCCAGCTTCAGGGACCTTTCTGCCTCAGGAGGAGGATGAGCAATGGGGTGGGTGGAGATGCTGAAACAATGCTGCCGCCCAGTGATTTCCTTCCCTGTCCTGTCTGCTTCTTCCAGATGCAGAGACAGAGTTCATGATGTCAAAGCTTCCATTGGAAAATCCAGTACTTCTGGACAGTAAGTGATCAGATACGGCATATATTTAAAAGCAGCCAGCAGGTGCAGGTCTGCACTATGGGATCCATTGTCCCTGTTTACAGAATGGGAGGAGAATGAGAGGGTCCTGAGGGTGGTGAACATCTCCAAGGAAGATCAGGACGGGCTATGGGAACCCCCTCCATAGATGCCTTCTCTGTTCCCCTCTGGCTGCCCCAAGAGTCTGCTCCTTTGGGGCAGAAGGTGCTCTCTGATGCCTGCAGGTGTCTGCAGATGCCTTCCCCTTCTAGGGGAAATTTTCCTGGTCCTGCTGTGGCCCACCCTGAGTGCCCTCAGACACACAGCTCAACTCTGATGAGGGTCTGAAGCAGGGAGATGCCAGCAAGTGCTGGTCACGGAGGAGGAAACATCTCTTCTGAGCCATGTGCCTTCTCACCCTCCACAGTGCTCTGGAGGAGAAAGATTGGTCCTCAGATGACCCTTTCTCATGCTGCAGGATTCCATGCTACTAGTGCTGACTGCTGCATCTCCTACACCCCACGAAGCATCCCGTGTTCACTCCTGGAGAGTTACTTTGAAACGAACAGCGAGTGCTCCAAGCCGGGTGTCATGTAGGTGCCAAGCTCACCAAACATGTGTTGAGGGAGAAGGACTCTGTAGCATCTTGCAGGGAGGACCTGATAGACTGGTGTCCATCAGGGCCCACCCTCTGGATCCTGCCAGGTATGGGGCAGCTGTGTCCTTAGGAAGATCCTGCAGGGCATCGGGGATGAGACACTCCCAGGGGGAAAAGGGTGGGGAAGGAAGAAGAAAGCAGGCACAAGTCTGCCCAAGGATGCTCCCATGAGTCACTAGGGAGTCCCACAGGCTGAGGGGGTCTCAAGAGCACAATGGCCCTGAGCTGCCATCAGCAGAGAATGAAAAAAAAAAGAAAAAAAAACTGGCTATATTGACTGGGAAATCTGAGGGGCAGGGAGAATGGGGCCCCCTGTCCCCATGTGCTGGACACACCTCAGTTTGTAACTTTTCTCCCCCTTGTTCCCTAGCTTCCTCACCAAGAAGGGGCGACGTTTCTGTGCCAACCCCAGTGATAAGCAAGTTCAGGTTTGCGTGAGAATGCTGAAGCTGGACACACGGATCAAGACCAGGAAGAATTGAACTTGTCAAGGTGAAGGGACACAAGTTGCCAGCCACCAACTTTCTTGCCTCAACTACCTTCCTGAATTATTTTTTAAAGAAGCATTTATTCTTGTGTTCTGGATTTAGAGCAATTCATCTAATAAACAGTTTCTCACTTTTTTTGTGTGATAGGGTCTCTGTCACCCAGGCTGGAGTGCACTGGTACATCTTGGCTCACTGCAGCCTAATCTCCTGGGCTCAAGTAACCCACCTACCTCAGCCCCACAAGTAGCTGTGAAACAGGGTGTTAGGACAGAGAAAAGAGACATACAAGGTGGGGAAGCTCGACAGCAACATAGGTTTATTGGACAGAGAAACCTGTGGAAGGGGAACACCAGCGAGTGCTGGAGCCCCCGTCCTGCGTACAGACTGGGGCAATTATAGGTCTGGACAGGGGAGGTGGGGCAGTGTGGCTAGCTGCCTGGCAGGATGTAATAAGGGAGCCATTTCCTGCAGTCAGGCAGTGTGGCCTGGGATCTGCTTGGCAAAATGCTTTTCATGGCCTGAGCCCCTATGGAAGTTTCCTCCCTGATCAGGGTGTACAAAATGGCAGGGGTTTACTTGATGGCGCCACTTGGGCTAACAGAGGAGAGTTCCCTGACTTCCTCACAGGACTTGTGACGGGGTGTGGCTCATTTGCAAGGCTGCTGCACGTTCAAATCCCCTGTGGGAGGGGGAACATGCAGACAGGCAGGTGCAGGAGCCAGGGCGAGCGCTTTTGGGCTCCATCCCCATGGTAGCATCTAGGGGTGTGTTACAATTAGTGCTCTTTAGCAGTTGCTTTTCGTGGATGGCTATTCCACTCAGTGGAGAGTCAGGGTGACAGCCTTTTATATTCTGCTCTCTTGGTATCCGTCTTTGTCTGGCATCTAGGAAGAATCAGGTCACATCAACCTGAAGGATAGTGAAGGTGGGGATTTTACTGAGTGATGGAGTTGGCTCTCAGAGGAATGGATGTGGAGCTGGAAAGGGGATGGAGTGGGAAGATGATCTTCCCCTGGAGTTCAGCCATCCCCGGCTTATCTGCTTTCCAACCGTCCTCAGCCGAACTCCTCCTGACATTCAGATGCTCCTTCTCTTCTCTCCTCTGCCATGCCATTTTGCTACTCTGCTGCTCTTCTGTTCCTCTGCTTGTAGAGCTTGGGGTTTATATGGGCACAGGATAGGGGTGTGGCAGGCCAGAGTGGTCTTGGAAAAGGCAACATTTGGGCATGAAAATGGGAATGCTTGCTCCCATTTAGGGCCATGGATTTCCAGGCTTCAGGGTGGGCCTTTGTTGGGGAACTGCCCTCTTCTACCCAGTATTTCCTTGCCTGTATCTGTATCATTTCCCCCCTCTAAGAGGCCCATCTAATTGCCATTAGAATATGGACAATGACCAATCTTAGCTACTTCCTGCTGACAGAGGACATTGTTTTTGGGGAAAACAGAAGTCAGATTCCTCCCAGAGGTCTATCTAAGGATCCCTGGGGAAAGGGAGTCATCATCCAAGGCTCCGGTTGCCTGACCATTTGGATTTTCATGACCTCAAATTTGAGAGAAAAAAACAAGTTTTATAAGGTGTTAAGTATGCATGGGTTAAACGTGTATTATACAAAGAAATAATCTAGTGCCAAAGATTACAGAAATAGGAAATGTAACATACTCACAACATTGTACCCTGAGCTGTTTCACCCTGGTGAAAGAAATTAAGACTTGTATGGGTGTGGTTAAATTTTAAAAGAGAGATAACTGTTCTTGCCACCAAAGATTACCGAAATAGGAAGTGTAATATACTAACAACATTGTACCCTGAGCTGTTTCACCTTAGTGAAAGAAATTAAGACTTGCATGGGTGTGGTTAAATTTTAGAAGAGAGATAACTGTTCTTGCCACATCTGTAGGAGTTAACAGATGCACCTTAGGAATTCTGGGGTTTGTGGGTTTGCATGGTGACCCTTAAAGCTTCTGCCTCTTTCTTGTGTCTCCCTATCTGTACTGTAAAAGACCAAGGTGGCCTCTTTCAGGAGGTCTCCTAAAGTACTCCCCGACGCCAGGGCCCATTTCTGCAACTTCCCTCTGATATCAGGGGCTGCCTGAGTAATACATTTATCATTTAGGATTAGTTGTCCCATGATGGAATCGGGACACAGAGACCCATGCTTTACAAAGGTCCCTCTTAGCCTCCCCAAGAAGGCAGTGGGATTTTCATTAAATCCCTGGTCTCTCATGGATATCTCGATATAGTAGAGAGGCTTAGTTCTAATCCTACATAAGCCCTCTATTATGCACACCTGAAACTCTCCTCTTGCATTCTCCCATCTTGTCATTGGGATCCCATTTAGGGAGATTCATTGATACTCCTTCTCTTCCAGTTGGATAATATTCACCCCCTTTCCTGGGTGCTACGTATGATACAAACCTCATCCCCAGATCTCTCTGTCACTTGCAGAGTGGCCTGCTTCTCAGTGTTAGTCAGGGTTTGGTTCAAAGTAACATGACGTCTTCCTAGGAGAGCTCAGATACTTGGGTTAAGTTCTGAAAAGCCTCTATATATCTCTCAGGGTCATCTGAAAACTTGCCAAGATCCCCCTCAATTTGCTTCAAGTTCTGTAGAGAGAAGAGTACCTGGACCTTATGGGGTAAATTCACCAGGCATCTGTTGGAGGGGAAAGAATGAGACTGGGGCTTGTCTAGGGTGAGAATTTCTAGGAGGGGGCAAGTGAGAGACTGAAGCTGGATAGGGAGGATGGGGTGGACCTGGAGGAGCAGGGCTGGAGGGAGCTGGCTCCTCTGCTGGGGATGCCTCTGGGATTTGTTTTTTTAGTTCCCTGGGATTGCCCCTTGCAGCCTCTCCCGAGATGGCAAACCGGTCTGGATTAATTCTACATTGTCAGCTAAGGTCTGGATTGCCCTGCACGGTATAGAAAGCCTGCACATATGGGCCTCAGAGCATTTGCCCTCACGTTTACAGAAAAGCTCCAACTGCTGGATGATATCGAAATGAATGGTTTCTTCCTGAGGCCAAGCCAGTCCTTCATAATTTGCCCAAACCTTTGTGCAGAGGGCTATGAGCCATTTTCCTCCAGAGTCTGAGGGTCAAAGCAGTCCCAGTGGTTCAGGATACACTCTAGAGGAGTATAAGCTGGGGGTGGTGAAGACAGCTGATCGCCCATTCTGAAAGACAAGAAATAGAGGTGACCCTCATTTCCTTCCCTTCTTTTAGTGATAACTCAGGGTTTGATGGAGAGAAAGCAGGCATCCCCGTTTTCTGTCTTTTTGTCCCCATGTACCAGTGACCTTGGCAGATGCCACCCATGGGTGCTGAAGCGGCTTTTACTCATGTTAACAGGGGGGCCTAGGGGGGTGAGAGTATCCACTCTTACACATTATGCCCTATCTCCCTTGCTGCCAACAACCTTTGAGTTCCCTGGGCCTCATCTATGTCATGGAGCATGGCCTCCTTTCAAGAAGCAAGGTTTTAGTCAGCAGGAATTGGCCCTTCCCATTTACATTGTGCCTGTTGCCAGGCTTTGGATCCCTCAGATCTGGTTTTCCTTTCTAGGGCCTCAACCTGAAGGCTGGAATTGAGTTTCAGACAAAAAAGGTATTTCAGGGGCTGCATGAATCTGTTTAGATCAAGTCTCAAAGGGGCCCTGCCGAATTTGCAGCTATCGGCCAGCAGGGGTCGCTCCTCTGTTATTTTCCCTATTAAAAGCAGCGTGCTGGGGAAAGGAACCCTCTCACTTAGAAAAGAAAAAGGAAACCGCTTATACTACTAAAAAAGAGGGAAGGAACTTCTTGCTCTGTGCAAATGGGTTCCTTTATTGTATTCCGCCCCTGGTTCAGACCAGTAAGGACCCCTCAACCATGGGAGGAGAGGCTCTGTTGGTGCAGTGAGTGGGAGGCACCGGCCAGCCAGCTGCACTAGGGCCCCAGCGGCAGCCAAGGTTTTCTCCCGCCCCTCGTGGCCACTGGGTGCAGCTCATGTGCAGAGCTGGGAGGAGAGGGGAGAAGGCGGGGAGGGGAAAAGGAGGGGAAGGGAGAAGGAGGGGAGTCACTCATGCACTGCGCACACCTGCGGCTGGGGATGGCACCTCTAAGAAGAAACAGAAACTACATTGTTGTGAATTGCACATCTGATGGCTGAACCAAGCATACCTTGTACTTAGTAACATCTCGCTAGTTGCAGCAAAGCCCTTAATACTATAAAAGAAGAGATAGGAGCCATTTCAAGCCATGAAAGAAGATACCACAGCAAAGTCTGGGGTTCTTGGCCTACAGAGTTCAGTCTTGGAGCCTTCCAGCAACAAAAGATGGCTTCTGTTGCCCCAGGACTTTATTCCATCCCGTGCAACAGCTAGACCTCCATGAAGAGAAACAGAGCCAATATTCCTTTTACCCAAAGGAAAAAGAGAGGTGGCAGAATCTTGGAAAAGAGGCAGATCCGACAGTTCTAAATCTGTACTCATCCTTGTGCTGTATCCCAGACGAGCCCCCAGATGAAATGGGAGAGTTCCCTGACCCCCTCACGGGACTTGCGACAGGGGTGTGGCTCATTTGCTCCACTGTCACACACTTTACCCCTTATAGGAGGGGGAACACACAGATGGGAAGGTGCAGGAGCTGGGGCAAGCACTTTTGGGCTCTGGCCCCATGGTAGCATCCAAAGGTGTGTTACAATTAATACTCTTTTAGCAGTTGCTATCTGCAGACGGCTACTTCCTCTCAGTGGAGAGTCAGGGTGACAGCCTTTTATACCCTGCCCTCTTGGTACCCAGGTCCTTGTCTGACATCCTGGAAGAATCAGGTCATCGTTCAAGAAGACTTGAACGATGGTGAATGTGGAGATTTTAATGAGTTATGGATGTGGCTCTTATGGGATGAATGGGAGCTGGAGAATGGATGGAGTGGGAAGATGATCTTCCCTTGGAGTTCAGCCATCCCGCGGCTGATCTCCTCTTCAACTGTCCCCAGCCGAACTTCTCCTGACATTCAGACGCTCCTTCTCGTCTCTCCTTCTCTGCCACTGCCGTTCTGTTCCTCTGCTCATGGAGTTTGGGGTTTAAAAGGTAAAGAGGCAGAACTATTGGATCTGTCTCTTTTCCAAGATCCTGCCGCCTCTCTCTTTCCTTTGGGTAAAAGTAATATGGGCTCTCTTTCCCTTCATGGAGGCCTAGCTGTCATATGGACACAGGATAGGGGCGTGGCAGGCCAGAGTAGTCTTGGAAAAGGCAACATTTGGGTGCAAAAACAGGAATGCCTGTTCCAATTTAGGGGCGTGGGTTCCCAGGCTTGAGGGTGGGGCATTTGCCAGGGAACTGCCCTCTTCTACCCAGTGTTTCTCTGCCTCCCGTCCATATCAACTGGGACTACAGGTACATGCCACCATACTCCACTAATTCTTATTTGTTGAAGAGACAGGATCTGATTATGTTGCCCAGGCTGGTCTTGATCTCTTAGGCTCAAGCGATCCTCCTGCCTCAGCCTCCCAAAGTGCTGGTATTACAGGTGTGAGCCACCATGCCCAGCCTTTACTTGAATTTTAAGAGGAAAAAGAAACTAAAGGAATTACTGAACTTTGGATAAGCATTATCTTCAAAACAAGGGACATCATAATACAATTTTTACAAAACTAAAAATATTACTCATCCAATTTAGATTGAATATGCATCAAAGATGTATTTAACTCATTAGTGAGAGAACTATTAAAATAATTCAAAGATCATTTGAGTAACAGAGATTTGTATAGTTTACTGGGGATGATGTTCTGAAATAAGTTTGTTAAATTAGAGCACACATTAATATCCTGTGGATAGGGCAATAAAAAAACCTGTAACCTCTGGGATTATCTTTTTTAATAGACAGAAATCATTTGCATCTGGCTACACACAAGTTTAAAATTTAACATGTACTTTCTCAGAATCTAGGGCCTGATCAATGGTAAACAGAAATCAATCAAAAGTTCATTCCCCTACAGATTTAAGGAATGCCGGGTTGGGCCTGTTAGTCAACATTGTAATATGACCTTGAAAACCATGCAGTCATCCTTTTACCTGTTTTTTTTTTTTTTTTTTTTTGAGACAGAGTCTTGCTCTGTCACCCAGGCTGGAGTGCAGCGGTGCAGTCTCAGCTCACTACAACCTCCGCCTCCCGGGTTCAAGCAATTCTCCTGCCTCAGCCTCTCTAGTAGCTGGGATTACAGGCGCATGCCGCCATGCCCAGATAATTTTCGTATTTTTAGTAGAGACAGGGTTTCACCATGTTGGCCAGGCTGGTCTCAAACTCCTGACCTTGTGATCCGCCCGCCTCGGCCTCCCAAAGTGCTAGGATTACAGGTGGGAGCCACTGCGCCTGGACCCTTTTATCTATTTCTAAGTTTTTTATTAGATATAAATTTAGTTAGCAGAGGAAGTTATTCGAGTTACGGGTGGCAAATCTGTACAGGTCTGCAGCAACCTCAATTCTTCCCTCCTCAGGAAAAAGAATTCAAATGAGGGGCCTAAGTGAGAAGAGACTGAGGCAAGTGTTAGAGCAGGAGTGAAAGTTTATTAAGAAGCTGTACAGGCCGGGCGTGGTGGCTCATACCTGTAATCCCAGCACTTTGTGAGGCCTAGGTGGGAGAATCACTTGAAGTCAGGAGTTTGAGACCAGCCTGTTCAACATGGTGAAACACCATCTCTAATAAAAATTAGCTGGGTGTAGTGGCAGGTGCCTGTAACCCAAGCTACTCGGGAGGCTGAGACAGGAGAATTGCTTGAGCCCAGGAGGCAGAGGTTGCAGTGAGCTGAGACCACGCCACTACACTCCAGCCTGGGTGACAGAGTGAGACTCCATCTCAAAAAAAAAAGAGAGAGAGAGAAGATTTAGAGCAGGAATAAAAAGAAAGTAAAGTACGTTTGGAAGCAGGCCAAGCAGACATTTTGGAGGTCAGGTGTGGGGTTTGACCTTTTGAATCAGGGTTTTACATGTTGGCATACTTCTGGGGTCTTGGGTCCCTTCTCCCCTGATTCTTCCCTTGGGGTAGGAAGCACTAGCACAATGCCCTACTTGGGAGGGGAGCATATGCAGTGTGTTTACTGGAGCTGTATGCATGCTCACTTGAGGTGTTCTTCCCTTTACTGATGGAATGCCCCCAGAAGGTCCTAGATGAGTTAAACTCCACCATTTTGCCTCTTGACGCGCATGCATGAGCTCACTCGCCCAACTCCTGGGATCTTACCAGGAAGATGCTGATGACCATTTTCAGGTTTTTTCTATCTATAGGCACATTGCCTTTCCCTGGTGCTGGCTGCAACCAATTATTATTCTAGAGAGACAGTTAACAACCTCCTGACCATCACCTGATGGTCACCTGACATTCCTGGTTGGGAGGAGCCTCTCCTGCCCTGTTTATGTATGACTAGCTACCTACAGTAACAATTTCTAAGAGATTTCGCCTCTAAACTTAAAGAACATTAAGAAAAACATTTAAAGATATAGTTAATATTAATTTTATATACATCTCTATTAAAGTATATAAATTTATATGTATAATTAGTACACCTTGGAAAACTGTCTCATAAAATTCAAAAGACAGCACTGAATTCTAAACAATTCCAAACAACAAAACATTTTTTATTTAAAAAAAAGTTTAAGCTCTATGCTTACTTTTAGTGTGATTTGTCTAAGAAATCAACAGGAGAAAACTGATCAATAACCAAATAACTTTTATAACACTAAATCACAACTGTGTTAGAAAAATGCCCTGAGAAGGTGATAAAAGCTTGAAATTATTATAACCCTTAAGAAAGTAAACACAAATTCATATTACATCTTATATCCTCCCTACTAAAAGAGCTAATCTTGAAGTTTTAACTACAGTTTAGGAAACGGTGTTTTGGCTGGGTGTGGTGGCTCACATCTGTAATCCCAGTACTTTGGGAGGCTGAGGTGGGAGGATCACTTGAGCCCAGGAGTTGGAGGTTACAGTGAGCTATGATCAAGCCACTGCATCCCAGTCTGGGTGACAGAGCAAGACCTAGCTCAAGAAAAAAATTAAAAAACAAAAATAAAAACTGTCTTTTATCATTTGCCCAGATGACACAACATTGTCATTTACTTAATATTTAACCCATGATAACCTCATGTAGATTCTTATTTTCCAGCAATTTTTAATTGACCTTGTTAAATCAACTTTAGCCTAAAGCTGCCTTCTCACTTATTTTAAGTTCAGCCTAATCTGTACATAGTGAACTGTAACCTGAATCGAGGTGTAAACAGGCTGTAACCTACTCTCGTGCCAATCACTGAGTTTTGTCCAGTCAAAGGGGACCACCTATTCAAACCATGTTTGAATAAGGTAAACACCCAGCTGTAATAAATTCAGCTGTTGCTGTACCTCACTTCCATTTCCTGTGATCACTTTTCTTTTTCTGTCTATAAATCTTCTACCACGTGGCTGTGCTGGAGTCTCTATGAACCTACTCTGGCTCAAGAGGCTTCCTTATTCGCAAATTGTTCTTTGCTCAGTTAAACTCTGTTAAATTTAATTTGGCTAAGGTTTTTAGCAACCTTTTTTCTTATTAACCAAGAGAGTAATACTTGTCTTCCTTTCATTATCATCATTCTGCATTTGTACTTGCAGACTCACACCATTTGTTTTATAGTAATGAAACCAACTTTGCAAAAATTATAACAGTGAGAAAACCATGACAATGGGAAGATCTGATCTAGCCCACTCTCTTCTTGCCTTTAGCTTTCAAGCTGCCAGACATTTAGTTTATAGTTTAGATGATTAGCCCTTCCCCAAAACTCAACCACTTTTGTAAAGCTAATGAGAGACTACCAGGCTAGGAGGATAGAGGAGCCTGAATTTTGCTAAGGTGAAAGTGCAGACATAAATGATTGCCAGCCATTATTGTGGAGGTCACAAGATATGCAACTTCCCAATTTCTCCTGCAGATAACATCACTACTGTAGAACCTAAGTTTGGCCTTCTGAGATACCTTTTCAGGTTTTTTTTTGCATTGAGATACTGATGATGGTTCCACCTGGACCCACCAACAGCTCCTGCGGCACCACCCAGAAGCCATTCAGCCTACAGGAGGTGAATTTCCCACACCTCTATGATTGCACCCCCCAAGCAGTCAGCAGCAAGCTCCCTTTGCCTAGCCACATTCATCTCCTCCCCCAAACTACCTTTCAAAAACTTTTAACCTGTGAGCCTTCGATGAGATTGATCTGAGTAATAACTCTTTACTGCAATGCGATGGTTTTTGTGCAGCAGGTACGGTATCTATCTCACCGTTGGAGACATTCTTCAAGGACCTTGTAACTGCACACTTGGAAGTTTGTTAAGGGGGTAAATCTCATGTTATGTGGCTGATTTGTTTTGTTTTGACACAGGGTCTCACTCTGTCACCCAGGCTGGAGTACAGTGGTGTGATCATAGGTCACTGCAGCCTGCAGCACGCCCAAGCACAAGAAATCCTCCTGCCTCAGCCTCTCAAGTAACTGGGACTGCAGGCCCGTGCCACCAAGCCTGTTTTTTTTTTTTTGTAGAAATGAGGTCTCGCTTTGTTGCTTAGGATGGTCTGGAACTCCTGAGCTCAAGCTTAAGTGCTGGGATTACAGGCATGAGCCACTGTACCTGGCCATGTTTTTTTTTAATGTCTCACACACACACACACACACACACACAGCCTGTTGTATGGGGGCGGGGGAATGAGGAGAGCCATTAAATAAATAAGCACTTAAAATAGAATGTGACTGGTGCTATCGTAGATTTAAGTACCAGATAGATGCTGTACCAGAAACACTGAAAAGGGACACCTGGCCCAGCCTCGTGGGAGCGACAGCCAAGAAGTCTTTCTGGCAGAGCTGACTGCTGAGTAGAGTTAATGGGTTGCTAGGAATTAGTATTGCACAGGGCCAATTTACCCATTAGGCATTTAGTATTGGGGTCCTGAAAAAAAAATTAACTCCAAAAGAAAAAAGTATAAAATCTAAATTAATAGGTGCATCACTATTTAAACTTAATATGCATTTAAATGCCATTACATTAGAAACTAGAGGAGTTGTGCATATAAGGAGAACCCTATTCTGAAGGACTTTCTACACTCATACACAAACCTTGGAGTTGACTCAAGTCCATGAGAAGCCACTGGCAGATTCTGTTTGAAAAATCACAGCCAAGTTCGCAGATTAGAGAATTCCCTCTGGTGGCCACCCTTTATCATAGGCTTTGGAGGCACTTGAAGGTCCAAGATGGGGTGGTTAGAACTTGACGTGGCATCATCAGTGCCTGGGAAGGTCTTCTAGCCTCTAATCTTGAGATTTTCCAGTTCTCCATTTTCGTGGCCAGCTTGACTCATTCTTACCTTTGAAGTCCCTTTGTTTGGGAGGCCGAGGCAGGTGGATCACCTGAGGTCAGGAGTTCGAGACCAACCTGACTAATATGGTGAACACCCCCGTCTCTACTAAACATACAAAATTAGCTGAGTGTGGTGGCACATGCCTGTAATCCCATCTACTCAGGAGGCTGAGGCAGGAGAATCGCTTGAACCCAGAAGGTGGAGTTTGCAGTGAGTGAGAATGCACCACTGCACTCCAGCCTGGGCAACAAGAGCAAAACTCCGTCTCAAAAAAAAAAAAAATCCCTGTTTCATAGTAGGTAGTTATTCAGACATGAGCAGGGCAGGAGAGCCCCCTGCCCCACCAGGAATGTCAGACAACCATCAGATGATGGTCAGGCAGTTGTTACACTGTCTCTCTAAAACAGTAATTGGTCAAAGCCAGCACCAGCAAAGACAGTCTCCCAATAGATAGAAATATCTCAAACTGGTGATCAACAGTTTCCCATTAAGATCTCAGGAGTCAGGCAAGTAGGCTCAAGTATGTGCACTAAGAGGCAAAATGGCAGAGTTCAACTGGTATGTGACCTAGGAACACTTGACTGGTCAAGAAGGAATGCCTCAAGTGAGCATGCGTACAACTCCAGTAAGCACACTGTGCATGCAGCCCCTCCCTAGTGCTGGCAGACCACTGCGCATGCGGAATGCCAGCATATAAAACCCCAATCCAAAGGTCAAACCAGGCACTTGAATCTCTCCAGTCACCTGCTTGGCACTTTTCCAAGTGTTCTTTACTTTCATTCCTGCTCTAAATCTTGTCTCGGTCTCTCACTCTGCCTTATACCCCTCAGTTGAATTATTTCTTCTGAGGAGGCAAGAACTGAGGCTGCTGCAGACTGATATGGATTCACCACTGCTAACACCTCCTGGTTGGAACTACAGGAATAGAACTGGAAAGGGAAAAAAGGCAGCATTCACCACATCCCAATCCTGAATCCAAGAGTCTAAGATAGTCCCCCACTCCTATCTCAGGCTTAGAGGATTAGATTAATCTCCTGGAGGGAAGACTCTTCCTTGAAACATTTTTTTTTATCTGCCTGTAGCTATTGGGATAATTCGGGAAATCCACAGGGACAGTTCAAGTCATCTTTGTCCTCTACTTTCTGTTGCACTCTCAGCCTTGTTCTCTTTTTAGAAACTGCATGGTAACTATTATATAGCTAAAGAAGAGCATTCTGACCTCTGCCCTCTGCCCTGGGACTTCCTGGATCCTCCTCTTCTTATAAATACAAGGGCAGAGCTGGTATCCCGGGGAGCCAGGAAGCAGTGAGCCCAGGAGTCCTCGGCCAGCCCTGCCTGCCCACCAGGAGGATGAAGGTCTCCGTGGCTGCCCTCTCCTGCCTCATGCTTGTTGCTGTCCTTGGATCCCAGGCCCAGTTCATAAATGGTGAGTCCAGTGAGCTTTC
Source organism: Homo sapiens (assembly GCF_000001405.40). Taxonomy (NCBI): domain Eukaryota; kingdom Metazoa; phylum Chordata; class Mammalia; order Primates; family Hominidae; genus Homo; species Homo sapiens. The sequence goes on along the minus strand of NT_187614.1, from coordinate 235,964 downwards.
TCCCAGGTGACCAGGTCCATGGTAACTCAAGCTCTGGGACGGAGACATGTTGTGACTACTCTCCAGCCCAGACATGGTTATGGAACTTATTTAAAAAGCACCAGCAGGGTATAGACCTGGCTCTGTCTGCAGCCTTTGGACCCTGGCGGGGAAAGGTACACAGATGACTGGTCCCATTTGGGGCCAATTATTTCCCTTTTCACAGCAAAAATTATCTGATTTTTTCCCTTAGCTGATATTTTAGCTGGAACAAAAGAACTGTAATTAAATTGTAAATTTGTAAAAAGAATCATACAATTTTATGGTGCTAGAACTGCTATCTACCATCTGGTGTAAAATTATGATTTGTGAGAGGAAAAGGAACCAGCCAGGTAAGTGACTCACCCAAGATCACTGTCTCACTTGTTCCTGTGGAATCTTAATTTGTGGAGGTGAATGTCAACGCAAAGAGGTCAATGACATTGAAAAAAGAATGTATTATTTACATTTCCCAAGAGAAGGAGGTACACCGTGCCACACGGGGCCCCAAGGGAAGCATCCAGGGCAGGAGTCACGGGCAGGAGTCACGGGCAGGAGTCACAAACAGGAGGGAAGGGACAACCTATGCCAGAACCTTTATTGGGGTTTCTCGGGGGAAAGCAAGGCAGCACAGAGCATACACTTTAGGGCTGGGTAGTCTGAATAAGCCTTTCAGGCTTTGGGGTATAGGGATAGTCTCTAGCTGTCTAGTACTCATCCTTAGGATGATTTAGAGCAGTGGAAATACTGGCTTGGTGTGTGTGAGTTAGCAAAGGAGGTGGATGGGCATATGGGCTCAGGATTTTTTGATTTGTATATGAAAGGTCTAAACCCTTAGCTATCTCTATGAATTGGTTAGCCCTGCAATGGGCAGTCTCTCCCGAGCTGTCAAGATTTTTTTTTTTTTTTTTTTTTTTGAGATGGAGTTTCACTCTGTCTCCCAGGCTGGAGTGCAGTGGTGCGATCTCGGATCACTGAAAGCTCTGCCTCCCAGGTTCAATGAATTATCCTTCCTCAGCCTCCAGAGTAGTTGGGATTAAGGCATGCGCCACCAAGCCCAGCTGATTTTTGTGTCTTTTTAGTAGAGGCGGGGTTTCACCATGTTGGCCAGACTAGTCTCCAACTCCTGGCCTCAGGTGATCCGCCCACCTCGGCCTCCCAAAGTGTTGGGATTACAGGTGTGAGCCACCGCGCCTGGCCACTGTAAAGATTTTTTTTTTTTTTTTTTTTTTGAGATGGAGTCTCACTCTGTCGCCCAGGCTGGAGTGCAGTGGCACGATCTCAGCTCACTGCAAGCTCCGCCTCCCCGGTTCACGCCATTCTCCTGCCTCAGCCTCCCGAGTAGCTGGGACTACAGGCGCCTGCCACCACGCCCGGCTAATTTTTTGTATTTTTAGTAGAGATGGGGTTTCACCATGTTAGCCAGGATGGTCTCAATCTCCTGATCTCGTTATCTGCCCACCTCGGCCTCCCAAAGTGCTGGGATTACAGGCCTGAGCCACCACGCCTGGCTGCATTTTTCTATTTAGCATAATACAGGTATGCAATCCCTTATCAAAATCCTATCAGGCTAGATGTATTTTGGAATACAGAATTTCTCTGGTTTTTAAAAGGTAATACACGCTAGGCATGGTGGCTCACCTATAATCCCAGCACTTTGGGAGGCTGAGCTAGGAGAATTGCTTGACCACAGGAGTTCAAGACCAGCCTGGGCATCATAGCAAGACCTCATCACTACAAAAAGGTAAACTATTAGCTAGGCATTGTGGCTCGCACCTGTAGTTCCAGCTTCTCAGGAGGCTGAGGCAGGAGGATCACTTGAGCCCAGGACCTCAAGGCTGCAGTGAGTTATGATCATACCACTGCGCCCCAGCCTGGGTGACAGAAAAAGACCCTGTCTCAATTAAAAAAAAAAAAAAAAGTAATACATACCTAGATGGTACTTATCCTTGGTGGGGCCAAGGAAGACTATTTCAATCAAACACAGCAATTTTTCTGTAGCAAACACATGAATATTTCTGCTAACTGGGATGAATAAATACCATAATAGACTCACTTCACTTAAGGGGATACTGTGCCACCATAAACGCTGATAAAACCTCTCTGTTTCCAGAGCCCTATAATAAAAAATTATTCCAGAAATGTGTAGAAAAACTTGTAGACTGTGTCACATCATGTAGACATTCCATTAACTGAACCGTGTTAGGTTCAGTTGCTTTTAGTATTTCAGAGTCAATACAAAGTTTTCATGTCTACATTTTCAAAAGGTCTCTGAAAAGTCTCAGGGCCCTAATGGAATAAATGGGCCAGGAGGCAGGCCTAGAACCCAGACAGGTGGTGGTGGTCCAGCTTCAGAGCCTCTCTGCCTCAGGAGGAGGATGAGCAATGGGGTGGGTGGAGATGTTGAAACATACTGCTGCCACCCAGTGATTTCCTTCCCTGTACTGTTTCTTTCAGATGCAGAGACAGAGTTAATGATGTCAAAGCTTCCACTGGAAAATCCAGTAGTTCTGAACAGTAAGTGATCAGATACGGCATACATTTAAAAGCAGCCAGCAGGTGCAGGTCTGCACTATGGGATCCATTGTCCCTGTTTACAGAATGGGAGGAGAATGAGAGGGTCCTGAGGGTGGTGAATATCTCCAAGGGAGATCAGGACAGGGTAGGGGGACCCCCTCCATAGATGCCTTCTCTGTTCCCCTCTGGCTGCCCCAAGAGCCTGCTCCTTTGGAGAAGAAGGTGCTCTCTGATGCCTGCAGGTGTCTGCAGATGCCTTCCCCTTCTGGGGGAAATTTTCTTGGTCCTGCTGTGGCCCACCCTGAGTGCCCTCAGACACATGGCAAAACCCTGGGGAGGGTCTGAAGCAGGGAGAGGCCAGCAAGTGCTAGCCGAGGAGGAGAAACATGTCTTCAGAGGCTTGTGCCTTCTCACCCTCCACTGTGCTTTCGAGGAGAAAGATTTGCCCTCAGATGACGCTTTCTCTTGCTGCAGGCTTTCACTTTGCTGCTGACTGCTGCACCTCCTACATCTCACAAAGCATCCCGTGTTCACTCATGAAAAGTTATTTTGAAACGAGCAGCGAGTGCTCCAAGCCAGGTGTCATGTAAGTGCCAAGCTCACCAACCATGTGTTGGGGAAGAAGCAGCCCACAGCATCTTGCAGGGAGGACACGACGGATGGGCGTCCATCGGGTTCCACCCTCTGGATCCTGCCAGATACAGGGCAGCTGTGTCCTTACGAGGATTCTGCAGGGCATCAGGGATGAGACACTCCCAGTGGAGAGGAGATAGGGAAGGAAGAAGAAAGCAAGCACAAGGCTTCCCAAGGACACTTCCATGAGTCATTAAGGAGTCCCACAGGCTGAGAGGGTCTCAAAAGGACACTGTCCCTGAGCTGCCATCAGCAGAGAAAGGAAAAAACAGGCTGTGTTGACTGGGAAATCTGAGGAGCAGGGAGGATGGGGCCCCCTGTCTCCATCTGCCCACACCTCAGTTTGTAATCTTTCTCTCCCTTGTTCCCCAGATTCCTCACCAAGAAGGGGCGGCAAGTCTGTGCCAAACCCAGTGGTCCGGGAGTTCAGGATTGCATGAAAAAGCTGAAGCCCTACTCAATATAATAATAAAGAGACAAAAGAGGCCAGCCACCCACCTCCAACACCTCCTGTGAGTTTCTTGGTCTGAAATACTTAAAAAATATATATATTGTTGTGTCTGGTAATGAAAGTAATGCATCTAATAAAGAGTATTCAATTTTTTAACTTTGCTTGAGTTTTAAGAGGAAATAAACTAATATAAAACTGAAGCAACTGCTGAGCCCCAACATGATTAAATACAAATTCACCTTATATCTCATCTTCTCCCTTCTACTGAAATAGCTAATCTTCAAAGGGTTGGCTACAATTTCAAGAAAGTTTCTTTTACTCCATCATTTACCCAGTTCACACCATTTTCTACTTTACTTAACATTTGATCCATTATAATCCCATAACAATTCTTATTTTTCTCATAATTTCCTTTTGATATTTTTCTATTAACCCAAAGAGAAATACTTTTTGTTTCCTTATCATTCCACATTTGCACTTGCATATTTACACCATCGGTTTCATGGTAACTACTTCATTCTTCGAGACAGTCTTCAAGGACCTTCTAACTTCCTATTCCAACTTGCAGAAATGCTTTCTGGACCTGCCAAAATAATAATAATAATAATAATAATAATAAGTCATACTGGGATTTCTTCTCATCACACACCTGAGTTCATTCCACCATGACACGTAGCCCAAAACTTCCTCTTCCTCTTCCTTCCTTCCTAAAAGGGTTTATTTTTCATTTTGCTAGAATATCTTTGAACTGCCTTCTGCTTTAAAAGATGACAAAAGCAAACACTCTCCTTTGCTCCATGGGTGCCAGGGCAGGCATCCCCAACTCAGGCTTGGCCAACCTATGCTCCCTTTCAGAGATCTGAGCCTGGAACAGGTGTTGCAGAGAAGCAGAAAAAGAGAGGACTCACACCAGTTGACTCTTGTGGCATGATTTTGGATGTGGCATTGGAGCTGGTCTCTCTAGGATTCTACCTCGGCCTCCCAGGTTCAAGCAATTCTCCTGCCTCAGCCTCCCTACTAGCTGGGATTACGTGCCTGCCACCAGACCTGACTAATTTCTGTATTTTTAGTAGAGACAGGGTTTCGCCTTGTTGGTCAGGCTGGTCTCAAACTCCTAACCTCAGATGATCCACCCACCTCGGCCTCCCAAAGTACTGGAATTAACGGCATGAGCCACTGCACTCAGCCTCTACCTACTTTTCAAGCCTTCCTGATACTACCTAAAATCTTTGCAGTAAAGTCCTTTTTGCTTAATCAACCAGAGTCAGTTTGTATAGCTTTCCAACAAAAAACTCCAACTGATATGAACAATAAACTTTCTGGGACTTTGAAGGTCTAAAAACTTTGGTCTTTAAGTGTGAAAATGGTTCAACTGAATATGAAAGTTCATGTTGAAAATAATTTTCTCTCAGAATAATGTAGACATTCTTCAATTGTCTTCTAGCATCTCAGACAGGGCCAAAATTCCAAAGCCAATTGATTTCTTATTCCTTAGTAAGAAAAAAAATTTTTAGACCCTCTGGGAATTTTTAGAATTTTTTTCTTTTTCTATTGTCTTTATTTTTATAATTTCAACTTTTATTTTGGATTCAGGGGTTACGCGTGCAGGTTTGTTGCCTGGGCATATTGCATGAAGTTTGGGGTACAACTGATCCCATCACCCAGGTACTGAGCATAGCACCCAATAGTTTTTCAACCGTTGCCCCCTTCCCTCCCTCCCTCCTGTAGTAGTCCCCAGCGCCTATTGTTGCCATCTTTATGTCCATGTGTAACCAATGTTTAGCTCCCACTTACAAGTGAAAACATGTGGTATTTGGTTTTCTGTTCCTGCATTAATTCAGTTAAGATAATGGCCTCCAACTTTATCCATGTTGCTCCAAAGGACATGATTTCATTCTTTTTATGGCTACATAAGAAGTAGCTCATGGTGTATCTGTACCACATTTTCTTATCCAGTCGACACTGATGGGCGCCTAGGTTGATTCCATGTCTTTGCTATTGTGAATAGTGCTCTGATGAACATACGAGGGCTTGTGTCTTTTTCTGTACAATGATTTTTATTAATATATATCCAGTAATGGGATTGCTGGGTTGAATGGTAGTTCTGTTTTAAGTTATTTGAGAAATCACCAAACTGCTTTTCACAGTGGCTGAACTAATTTACATTCCCACCAACAGTGTATATCTGTTCCCTTTTTCTCTACAGCGTCACCAGCATGTTATTTTTTTGACTTTTTACTAATAGCCATTCTGACTGGTGTGAGACAGTAACTCATTTTGGGTTTGATTTGCATTTCTCTGATGATTAGTGATATTGAGCATTTTTTCATGTGTTTGTTGGCTGCTTATATGTCTTCTTTTGAGGAACGTATGTTCATGTCTTTTGCCTATTTTTTAATGGGGTTGTTTTTGGCTGTTCAACTGTTTAAGGCACTTACAGATTCTGGATATTAGACCTTTGCTGGATGCATAGTTTGCAAATATTTTTTCCCATTCTGTAGGTTTTCTGTTTACTCTGTTGATGAGTTTCTTTTGCTGTACAGAAGCTCTTGAGTTTACTTGAGCACTTGTCAATTTTTGTTTTTATTGCAATTGCTTGTGGGGATTTAGTCATAAATTATTTGCCAAGGCCAATGTCCAGAATGGTGTTTCCTAGGTTTTCTTCTAAGGTTCTTATAGTTTAAGGTCTTATATTTGAATTTTGAATCCATCTTGAGTTATTTTATGTATATGGTGAAAAATAGGGGTCCAGTTTCATTCTTATGCACATGGCTAGCCAGCTATCCCAGCACCATTTATTGAACAGGGAATCCTTACCCCTTTGCTTATTTTTGTTGACTCTGTCAAAGATCAGATGACTGTAGGTGTGCAGCTTTATTTCTGGATTTTCTATTCTGTTCTACTGGTCTATGTATCTGTTTTTGTACCAATACCATGCTGTTTTGTTTACTGTAGCCTTATAGTATACTTTGAAGTCTGGTAATATGATTCCTCTAGCTTTGCTTTTTGTTTAGGATTGATTTGACCATTTGGACTCTTTTTATTGGTTCCATATGAATTTTAGAATAGTTTTTCTAGTTCTATGAAAAATGACATTGGTAGTTTGATAGAAACAGCATTGAATCTGTAGATTGCCTGGACAATACAGCCATTATAATGATATTGATTCTTCCAGTCCATGAGCATGGAATGTTTTTCCATTTGTTCATGTCATCTATGATTTCTTTCAGCAGTGTTTTGTAATTTTCATTGTAGAGATCTTTCACCTCCTTGGTTACATGTATTACTACGTTTGTGTGTGTGTGTGTGTGTGTGTGTGGCTATTGTAAATGAGATTGCATTCTTGATTTGGCACTCAGCTTGAATGCTATTGGTGTATAAAAATGCTACTGGTTTTTGCACATTGATTTTGTGTCCTGAAACTTTACTGAAGTTGTTTATCAGTTCCAGGAGACTTTTGGCAGAGGCTTTAGGACTTTCATATCATTGGTGAGGTTGTCAGCTTAATGTCTGGCAGACAGAGTAAGGGGATAGGGATGGGAGTAGTTTTCTTGTCCTTGACCAGAAGTTATCCAGGGCACTGCCCAATTCTCTCTCTGGTCCACTGTCCCCTCCAAGAGGTTCCCACAGCAAATATCCTTTTTTATTTTGAAAACTGTGCTTGTAGCTTTATCCTGGGGCAAATGCCCTACCTGACTATCCTGAATGGGAACTAGCAAGGTCATAGCTTATTCACTCAATGCAAATGTCTTCTCCCAGTACCCACTGACTCTGATCTTCACATTATCCAGGGTTCTGCTGGGAAAATCCTCTTTTTCTATGATCTTCTCCTTGACCTATATGAGGATACATGTTTTTTCAGCCTTCTTGTGATCTGCCATCAAGCTGACCCATGTTCTTTTTTTGTTCTTTCTTTTTTTTGAGATGGAGTCTTGCTCTGTTGCCCAGGCTGAAGTGTAGTGGCGTGATCTTGGTTCACTGTAACCTCCACCTCCCGGGTTCAAGCAATTCTCCTGCCTCAGCCTCCTGAGTAGCTGGGATTACAGGTGCCTGCCACCATTCCCGGTTAATTTCTGTAGTTTTTATAGAGATGGGGTTTCACCATGTTGGCCAGTCTGGTCTCAAACTCCCGACCTCAAGTGATCTACCTGCCTCGGCCTCCCAAAGTTCTGGGATTACAGGTGTGAGTCACTGCACCTGGCCCCATGTTCTTTATATAAAACAGAAATGTCTCACCTTATGGTAGACCAATGTCATATTTTCTGACTCCTTACTGCTACTATGAGTTCTATTTATTTTTATATTTCTTCTGTCATTTCAACAAGATTTACAGAGATGAAAAAGACAAACACAGATGCTCAGAGTTCTGGCTTACTTTGTTTTGTTTATTGAGACAGGCTGTCACTCTGTCACCCAGTCTGGAGTGCAGTGGCACAATCTTGGCTCATTCACCTTGGCTCAACCTCCTGGGCTCAAGTGATTCTCCCACCTCAGGCCCTTGAGTAGCTGGGACTACAGGCGTGCACCACTCCACACCCAGCTAATTTTGTTTATTTTTTTAGAGACATGGTCTCACTTGTTGCCCAGGCTGGTCTTGAACTCCTGGGCTCAAGTAATCCTCCTGCCTCGGCTTCCCAAAATGTTGAGATTACAGGTGTGAGCCACCACACCTGGCGTCTGGCATACATTTTGATCCAGTTATGACCTTTTATGTCTCTCTCACTGCTCCACTGAATGCTGTTGAATTCAGAAGCTTTGAGTTGAAAGCAGCTCACTGGTACCTAAATATATGACTAGGGGATGGCAATCCGGAAGCTTCTGGATTCTCCATGGAGATTTTGTCTCAGAGCCTTAGAAAAAAATTTAAATGGTTATTCAATTAAAATTGTCCTAGACCTAAGTAGGATTCATGTGGTTTCACTGGGTTCTCTCTGACAGGTCAGGTTTTTAGCTTAGAAGGATGAAATGAGGAGGGAGAGCGTCTGGGCAGTGTGGATGCCAAAGGGCCACTTATGAAGGTGTTGGGTCATGGCAACTCAACAGAAATGAGGGATGAAAACCAAGACTTTCCATTCTTTTTTTTTTTTTTTTTTTAGATGGAGTCTCACTCTGTCACCCAGGCTGGAGTGCAGGGGTGCCATCTTGGCTCACTACAACCTCCACCTCCTGGGTTCAAGTGATTCTCCTGCCTCAGCCTCCTGAGTAGCTGGGATTACAGGGACCCACCACCACGCCCAGCAGATTTTTGTATTTTTAGCAGAGACGGGGTTTTTCCATGTTGGCTGGGCTCGTCTCAAACTCCTGGCCTCAAATGATCTGCCTGCCTCAGCCTCCCAAAGTTCTGGGATTATAGGCGTGAGCCACCCACCAGACCCAGCCCAAGATTTTCCATTCTAACCAAGCATCTAGCCACTCACAGAAGGTCTTTGAGGTCTTGAAGGGGAAAAAAACATGCTATGTGCAGGTTAATTGCATAATACATACTCTGTTCTCGCAGTTCCTCAGAAACAGCATGTTCTTTTTTGCTTCCTTGCTTTGTGTGGTGCCCTCTGCCAGGCATGCCCTCCTCTCAACTCTGCCCAGCAAAACTCAACCCAACCTCAATGGCTTAGATTAAATGCTACCATAAAACCTTCCCCCTTCATCCCAGCCAGAAGGACCCACCTCCATTTCTCTGGAATCTTGAAACATGTATTTATTGCCACTCAAAAAGATTTTTATTGAGTGGCTGCTTTAGGTTATGCATTGTGCTAGGCATTAGGAAAACCATGAAAACCAAACAAAGTAGACTATTGCCCTTCAAGAATATGTCAGTCCAGGGCCGGGCACGGTAGCTCACGCCTGTAATCCCAGCACTTTGGGAGGCCAAGGTGGGCAGATCTCCTGAGGTCAGGAGTTCAAGACCAGCCTGGCCAACATGGTGAAACGCCGTCTGTACTAAAAACACAAAAATTAGCCAGACGTGGTGGTGTGCACCTGTAATCCCAGCTACTCGGGAGGCTGAGGCAGGAAACTTGCTTGAAACTGGAAGGCAGAGGTTGCAGTGAGCCGAGATCATGCCACTGCACTCCAGCCTGGGTGACAGAGTGAGACTCTGTCTCAAAAAAAATAAAAAATAAAAAAGAATATGTCAGTTTATAGAGAAGACTGAAAATAGGAATAAGAATGATGCTTGGGTGCAAAAAGTCATATCTAATTCATTGCTAAGTCTCCACATTTTTATGCAACATCGGAGCAAAAAGAGGAGGACATTTATACTAGAGGCAACCAACCTGGGACTCAAGTATCCCCAGGCCCTAGTTGGACTGGCCAGTGACTGAAGGGACCAACATAAGATTGAACCACAGCATTTAGAAAGCTGTGTGATAGATAGGGCTTCTGAAACTTTAGCATGCATAAAAGCCACCAGGAAGGCTTGTGAAAACACAGATTGTGGGCTCCCACCCCTAGAAATCTGGTTCAGTAGGACAGGGGTAGGGCCAAAGTGTCAGCATGTTTAACAAGTTTCCAGGTAACGCTGATGCTGCAGAATGCAGTGGAAATTTGAAGAGGACTTTGTAACTTCACCATTGTTTGCAGTATTCTGAAAGGCACATATTTCTTTAGTAATCAAAAAATAAAAGAGTTGAAAAATGCGTCTTAATTGTCTTTTCAAGGATGTGTAACAAAATGGGCCAGCTCTTCACTTGTGTTGATATCTGATTTTTTTATGATGAAGCTCATCAAAGCTGTTTAATTATAAAAGAAATATGGAGTTGGAAAAAGTTTTACACATGGTTAAATAGTCTGACGATCAATTTGGAATTTTTAAAAGTAAAAATCTTGAGCTGGGTGCAGTGGCTCATGCCTATAATCCCAGCACTTTGGGAGGCCAAAGTGGGCAGATCCCTTGAGGCCAGGAGTTTGAGACCAGCCTGGCCAACATGGCAAAAACTTCCTCTCTACTAAAAATACAAAAATAAGCCAGGTGTGATGGTGCGCACTTGTAGTCCCAGTTACTTGGAAGGCTGAGGTGGAAGGATCACTTGAGCCCGAGAGGTCAAGGCTGCAGTGAGGCAAGATCGCACCACTGTACTCCAGCCTGGAGTGACAGTGACAGAGTGAGACCCTGTCTCAAAAAAAAAAAAAAAAAAATTGGAAATTGTACAAAATAGCTAGAAAAAAAAGTGCATAAAAGTCATCTTAAAAATCTAAATAGAGGGCTGGGCACAGTGGCTCATGCCTGTAATCCCAGCAGTTTGGGAAGCCAGGAGTTCAAGACCAGCCTGGCCAACAGGGTGAAACCCCGTCTCTACTAAAATACAAAAATTAGCCAGGTGTGGTGGCAGGCGCCTGTAATCCCAGCTACTCGGGAGGCTGAGGCAGAAGAATCACTTGAACGTGGAAGGTGGAGGTTGCGGTGAGCTGAGATCATACCACTGTACTCCAGTCTGGGCAACAAAGCAAAACTCCGTCTCAAAGAAAAAAAAAAAATCTAAACAGAGCTTCACAGAAATCATCAAGACATAAAATAGGAAATAGAAACATTCATATTTTTATTCTTTTTAGAACCAGAGACAAGATTTAAAAGTAATATAACTCATCCCCTCAACTGAGGGCTCAACCAGGGCCAGGGCAGAGAAGATGATGCACATGGTTGAGGCCAGTGGGACCAGAGGCCAGAATACAGCCAGTGTGGCCAGGAGATTTGTTACATACAGGGAACTCAGCAAATAAGTACATACATTGAGGTTAATGGGAGCAGGAGTCCCCATTGTTAGAGGAGGGAGGGAAACATAGAAACAGGAAAGACTGAAATAACTCTGTGGTGTTTACTTGGAATTGGACATAGTGGTATAAACTTTTGTTTTTTCATATAGCTAGAAAGAGGACATAGAAATTGCTAATAATAGGACGAGCGCAGTGGCTCACGCCTGTAATCCCAGCACTTTGGGAGGCCAAGGCGGGTGGATCACCTGAGGTCAGAAGTTCAAGACCAGCCTGGCCAACATGGTGAAACCCCATCTCTAAAAATACAAAAATTACCTGGGCAAGGTGACCTGTACCTGCAGTCCCAGCTACTCCAGAGGGTGAGGCAGGAAGATCACTTGAACCCCGGAGGTAGAGGTTTCAGTGAGCTGAGAATGCACCACCTCACTCCTGGGTGACAGAGTGAGACTCCATCTCAAAAACAAAAACAAAAACAAAAACAAATTGCTAATAATATATGAAATAGATATACTTGAAATAGACATAAATTTAAATACATACTTATACACATATGCTTACATATATTTCCAGGTTCTAGCCACTAAAAGCTCAGATCTAAAAGTGATGCCATTCCCATAGCAATGAACACACCAAGCACTCAGATTTTGGTTTCTCAAAATCATTTTTCAGTAAAAGAAACTGAGACTCATGGAAGAAATGGCTAATTCCAGAGCTGGGCCAAGGAAAGTACAAGATGAGTCTGGAACATCTATTTGTGCCAAAAAGTAAGAAAACAAGATTAAAGAATAAACCCTAAAATTTTCTAGAGAGGGGAAACACCAGATCACCACAAATGAGTTTCAGAAGAAACATATTCTTATATTCCATTGTAGAATTCTATACCCAACAAAAATATCAATCAAGTATGAAGGCTAAATAATGACTTCTTCAGGCAAGCATGAACTCAGAAGGTTTATGTCCTACAGATCCTTCCTGTACTATTCAGTTTTTTAAACCAATATATGTATGTGTTGCTTTGAAAAACATTTTAAATATTTTTAAAATAGGCTCTTCATACTCAACAGGGGGCAACAGGAGGACATTTAAGGTCTCTAATTATGTTGCCATCAAATTTCATTCATCTGGTTGTATTGCAATTCTCCTTTACTTTTTTTAGTCCCTCTTTGAGTTCTGAGACCTCTGGGATCAGGGTCATCTTCAATCCCTCCCTCCAAGCCTAGCCCAGGACTTGGCATATGATACTGTGTCAAAGAAGTGATGTGGTCACAAAACCTATTCCTTTTTCTTCCTAAGCATACAGATGATGTATATTTTCCATCCCTTTGTCATTATGTTGGAGCCAGGTTACTTGATGCTGGCCATGGAATGTGGGTGAAAGTAATTTGTACCATTTTCAGAACTGATCCACAAAAATCTCCCAATCCTCCTCTGCTTCTCCCTTTTTGTATCAAGCTTGGAGGCCTTGTGCTGAAAATGGTGGCATCCAAGGTAGAAAAAGGCCTGGTTCCTGAATGAGTACATGGAGGATCCCAACACACACACCATCATCCCACTACTGACCCACACTGGACTGTAACATGAGCAAGAAATAAACTTTTATTTAATTAGTCTGCTGGATTGTTTATGATAGCAGTTGGCACACACAGACTAATGTAGGTAGGAACTCAATACTTGCTGGAAAAGTACAGGAACTTCCTGTAAGTCTCCTAGAAACAACTTGGCAGGTTGGCTAGTTTCCACAAAAACAAGAAGTAAGCATTATTTCTTTCCAACTCACTTTTCCTATAAACAACTTGTTTCCTGAGATTGTTCCTGATAACAATTATTATCATTTAACTTGAAGGGTTTACATAATGTTGTTATTGATGATAAGAAATATAGAAAATTTTTAATTGATGACTGTCTCCACAACTAACCATGAGATTTCAGCCATTTCCTATAAGATACACATATGTAGACCTGGCTCAATTTGTTTATTCATCCTTCTTTTAAAATGTATATTCATAAAGCACCTGGTATACACTAGGTTCTGCGTGAATGGGCAAAGATAAATAATAGATGTTCTCCATCCTGATGATTCAGATGAGGAGAGGAGATTAAATAACCATCTAACCACATCAGCAAGCAGAATGGGGGATGTACCTCCAAGAACAGCATGGTGAGGGCACTAAGCTGAGAGCCTGCGGAGATGAGATCTGTCCTGCATCCAAATCACTGTGTGCACATGAGAAAGTCACTGGTCCTTTCTGATTCCCAGCTTCCATTCAGTAAATGGCCAGTTTAGACAAATCAAATGGCAGATACATAGCATGCAAGCTGCACTGCAACAGAAACTGCACGTTGGTCACAGCGTATCTTCCCAATGTGCCTGGATATGGCCTCAGAATCATTTCCAACACAGAGCTCCAGTCCACCACTAATCAATGAAACCTACTAGCTATCCCTGAATTAGACATTTTCTAGGGTTCCCACCAAGCTTCTTTGCAGCAAAAGTCAGAGAAACCAGGAGAAGGTCCCAAAGAGATCCACTATCTGATTTCAGAAAGGACTAAGACTAAAGGCTTTATAGAAAACCCATAAGCTTTTACAGAGCTCCGTTGGGAGTCCCATGTTTCTTTATGGCATAATGGGTGAGAACACAGACTTGGAAGCCAAACCACCTGAATTTGAACCCCAGTTCCATTTACCAACTGTCAAAAGCTTAGGCTTTGATTCTGAGCCTGTTTCCTCAACTGCTGTTCTAAAGATTAAATAGGCTAATATTCATAAGGCAACTGGGACAGTGGCTTGTGTGTATAGCAACCATTATATAAGTGAATTATCTACTGAGCACCACAGCACTTCTTCACTCCATGGTGTGGTGACCAGAATGGAGATGAGACAGAGAACTGCAGGTTCTGCTTCGAGTTTAAGTTAGGATTTCCCTTGACCAATGAGACCTGACTTGGAGGAGTCCTGGCCTCATTCCATTACCCCAAACACCCTCTAGTCTCTAGATGAACAGATCCTGAATGTCCAGGCCCCACGTGGCCTGTTCTAAGGCCTGAGATGGAATTGGATACAGGACACATCCAGCCTTGAGATCTTTTGCTAAGTGTGACACAGTGCCCCCAGCCCTGTGCTCATGTTCATGCCTAGGGAAAGGCTTCTATCAAAAGAGTTGAACTTCTTCCCACTGGGGATGGAAGACCATTTCCTCCCTTAAACCTTGGCTCTCCCTGCTTCCTTCAGGCCACCAACAACACATGTGCAGGATATGAAATTGCTGAGGCATCACTGCTTTCCTACTTCCCTTCCAAGTCTCAGCTCCCTTATTTTAAAAAATATTTGGCCTCAATGATCATTTCTCAACAATTCCTCACCGCAGGAGCCTCTGAAGCTCCCACCAGGCCAGCTCTCCTCCCACAACAGCTTCCCACAGCATGAAGATCTCCGTGGCTGCCATTCCCTTCTTCCTCCTCATCACCATCGCCCTAGGGACCAAGACTGAATCCTCCTCACGTGAGTGCAATGCCTTGTCTTCCTTCCAACCTAGAGCCTGCAGGGAAATAAGCAGGAGTGAGGTTGGGGCTCAGGGGAAGACCAGGAGCAGGGACTCAGAAAGGAGGGCTGGTATCTTCTTGAAATTGTGTGTATAGCAACATTATATAAATGAATTATCTACTGAGCACCACAGCACTTCACCCCATGGTGTGGTGAGCAGGATGGAGATGAGACTTAGGACTGTAGGTTCTGCTTAAGAGTTTAAGTTGGGATCTTCCAGCCTTGACCAATGAGACTTGACTTGGGAGACTCCAGGCTTCATTCCACTACCCCAAATGCCCTCTAGTCTCCAAATAAACAGATCCTGAATCTCCAGGCCTCACATGGCCTTGATCTCTTATCATTGCCCCCCAGGACCAGTCCCCCCTTGCCCTCAAGGACATGGAGTGAGACCAGCCTGCCTCTCTACTCCCTCAATTTCTCTCTCTTTGCCGCTAAGCAAAAGAGTGGCCCACCCCATTTGGGGTATATTTCCTCAGGGAGATTAGGAGCAGTGTCTTGAGCCCCTCAAGGGCATTTTTCTATTGGCCTCCTGAGGTTTGGGCCCAGCCTGCTTCCAGCGTCACCTGTGCCCAGTGAGTGCAGCATTGCTTGGGTATGGGCTGGGGGGAAACACGACAGTGTGGGGTCCATCCTAGGCCCCCTTTTCTCAGCTGATTTCTTAGAATAAGCTGCCTTTAGAGATAACCAAAACTATTTATCACTCTTCCATTTTACCTACTCTCCTTTTCAGAAACTGGGGGGAAACCGAAGGTTGTTAAAATACAGCTAAAGTTGGTGGGTATGTGCACAGTTTGACTTGCCCTCTCCGATGTCATTTGTCAGCTCAGAGGAACAAGGTGGGAGAGTATAGGAGCTCTGACTGGGTCTCAGGAAACAGGGGCCCCTTATGCCGTTCTTTGGATCGTGAGGATGCTGCCTGGAATGGAGCTGGAAAACAGGATGAGACCCTTCCACCCAGACATCTGGCCACCCTCAGTGACCTCTGAGGCCATTGTGATGCACATCCATGATTCTATGAAGCAGGGTCACATAACATGCACACACCTGATTTCTCCACTCCATAACCACAACATGTGCCTGTTTGTACAGGGCTCTTGGCCTACAATGTCCTTCCTGCTACCTCTATAATTCAAGCTTGGGGTGGCTGCTGTCACCTTGCTTCTCCTATAAAAGCCATGAAACTTCTCAATCAGAAAATAGATGAAAAAATCACCCAATCCAGTGATTTTTAAAACTTTTTAGACCACAAAACCTTTTCTTCAAGCAATATCTTCCACAGAGGCCCAATATGTAAAACAGAAAAAATGGGTTGAGTAGGGTACAAGACACCACTCTCAAATGCAGCAAGGCCTCCACAATAGTCCCTGAGGCCCCCAGAGCTCCAGGGAGCTCAGTGTAAAAACCACTGATGCAGTCCAAGGGCCTCATTTACAGAGGAGGGAACAGGGGGAAAGTAAAATGGCCACAGTACACAGGAAGCACAGGCAAGGTTAGGTTAGGATTTGGGTGCCCTGACTCTGTGGCCTTTGTCCTTGGGGCTTGCTGTGGGCATCCTGCTCTCTCTGCAGGTTGTCGGTTCAATGGGGACATGGGCAGGGTGGAGCACTAGGAGGGGCTGGGTTTGCATTCCCAAATGGCATGTCTCCAAATCCCTATTGGGATTTCTTCCAAATATTCCTCCTATTTGGAGCACCTTTCCCGAATAAGGCATGAAGGCTGCATGATATTGGCCAAGTCCCTAGCCTTCTCTGCCAGTCGGCCCCCAGAGATGGTGTAAGAAGATCTGAGTGTGCTGCTCTTCAATCCTGGAGTTGAAAGTCATCCACCAGTCTTTCCAAGAGGGGTTGAAGAAAAGGAGGAAGGGTGATTGATGATGAGGGAGGAGAAAAAGAAGAGCCCAGGAGTACCATGGAGAAGGAGAAGAGAAGATGAGGAAAGCCTACTCTCCCCTCCAAGTTCTGAGGGGCTGTCTCCTCCTTCCTTCCCTCCTCCATGCCCTCAGCTTGCAGGAGCAGCCAATGGTATGGCCTTTAACAAGGGGCCCCTCCTCAGCATCTGATGCTCTCTCCTCAGGGGGACCTTACCACCCCTCAGAGTGCTGCTTCACCTACACTACCTACAAGATCCCGCGTCAGCGGATTATGGATTACTATGAGACCAACAGCCAGTGCTCCAAGCCCGGAATTGTGTAGGTGGTACACACACATCACACTGGGGGGAGAGGGAGCCAGCAGGGCCTCCTGGAGGGAAGCAGGGAGTGGTGGTGGAATGGGGACCCCCAGCGTACCTCCCAGGTGTGACTACATGGGGAGAGGCAGCTGAGGGGCAATCTGAGCGCTTTCTGGCTGGAGCCTGCAGGAGCCATGGGGAAACTGACCCCATGGATGGGGAGATGACAGAGAAGGGAGAAGAAGGCAAGAGGGCACTTCCTCAGGGGGACACAGAGACTAGATGGGTCTAGGGGTCCTAGGAACCGAAGAGTATGTCTCAGAGAGGAGACTGGCTCTAAGCTGCCTCTGTGGAAGAAAGGAAAAGCAGTATAGGTCAGGTGGGGAATTTAGGAGGGAGGGAAGATGGGCTGTCTCTTCCGGCCACTGGGCCCCTCGGTTTGTGATCCTTCTCCCTCTTGCTCCACAGCTTCATCACCAAAAGGGGCCATTCCGTCTGTACCAACCCCAGTGACAAGTGGGTCCAGGACTATATCAAGGACATGAAGGAGAACTGAGTGACCCAGAAGGGGTGGCGAAGGCACAGCTCAGAGACATAAAGAGAAGATGCCAAGGCCCCCTCCTCCACCCACCGCTAACTCTCAGCCCCAGTCACCCTCTTGGAGCTTCCCTGCTTTGAATTAAAGACCACTCATGCTCTTCCCTGGCCTCATTCCTTTCTACGGGATTTACTCATTGGCCATGCACTGAGGACACCAGGGTGTGGCACCCTCGGCATCAAGCCTCGCTCTGCAGAAGTTTTGCTGGAGCCTGGTACAAAAAATAGGTCAGGCCTGCAATGCAGGTAGTGAGAAGCAGAAAGTGAGAAAGAAAAGCAGTGTAAAGACCGTCTCCTCCTCAGCAACAACAGTAGCAGACCCCGTTTTCTTAATGCTTTCTATACTCCAAGCACTCTGCTAGGCAGTCTGTATGCATTATCTTATTTAAGCTTCATGACAAGTGTAAAAGCTACAAATCATCATTTGATTTTTTAGGTAACACTTCATAAAGGGCTCTCTATAGCAGTCAAACTCCATAGTCCTTTTTTCTGTGCTGTTTTCAAGGCCTTTCTTCACTGCTGTCTGGAATAGGAATGATGCATGAAGACATTTTATCCAACCCCTCCCCTTCGCTTACACACATCAGATTATACTATATTGTTTTACTAACTTTTTTATCCCCTAGAAGGCTTAGCAGAAAGCCTAGCCCATACCAGGTGTTCAGGAAATGGATGGATGGATGGATGGATGAAGGAAGGGAAGAATGTGTGGATGGAAGGATGAAGGGAAGGAGGAATGGATGGAGGGAGGGAAGCAGGGAGGGATGAAGGGAGGGAGGAAGGGAGGAAGGGAGGGAGGAAGGGAGGGAGGGATGGATGGATGGATGGAGAGAAAGAGGGAGGGAGGGATAGAGGGACAGATGGAATAAGACAGAAATCAAGAGGAGGACTATGCTCCAAGAATAAGCTCTCAAACCTATCTTCAGGGCCCAAGGAGGAGCTCTGTGTACTTGGAATAAGAGCTTGCCCAGAGTAGGGATTATGACCACCCTTTCCTGGCCTCCAGCCTTCCACAGATAAGGAAGGGCTTGTGGGCCACATTAAGGGCCATATGGGGGCCTGCATGCCAAAGTCACAACCAGGCTTCTCAGGCCTTGTCACCTCCATAAACAGAGGTCAAGAGGATGCCCCACATACGTACCCTCCCTGCCCTCACAAAAAGCCACAGCTTCACCACCAGGTGAAGCCTTGAACCCACCAGGAGTAACTGCATTATACGGTTTACCTATCTATGAGCAGTCATGCCAAGCAGAAAGCCCCATAAGGATCTGCACAGTCCCTGTTTCTGCCCCTGCCTCCCACTGCCCTCAACACCTGAAACACATCACCTATGCCTCTAAAGCTTGCTGTCCATCAACAGCAAAATCCCTTATATCTTTGATCTCTTCTCTAAATGCAGCTTTCAACATGGAAAAGGGTCCTGAGGCACCTGAAGAGAGAGGAAGCTGTGGGACAGGTCCAGCCAGAGCCCAGGCCAGAGGGGCAGAAGCTGGAGTCCTGGAGCACAGACGCAGGTTGTCAGGTGCACAGAGTTGGAGGGTCCCCTGCTGGTCATGGTTGGCCATGGGGGCACCCAGGAGGGATCAGCGAGCTGGCTACACCTAAAAATCAGTCCAAAGTCCGAGGTCCAAAGAGATAAATAAAAACATTGACAAATAAGTCAAACGGTCCAGCAACAAATGGGGACCCAAGGATCAGGCACATTGTTTTTTTTTTTTTTGGAGTATTAGCATACACTGTGACATGAAAGAGTGTGAGCTCAATCATGTGGCCTTGGACTGGGAGAGGGCATTTCCTTCTCAGAGGCAACTAAGCCCTACCTTTGCCTCAGTCTGGGCTCTGTAATCCTGCTTTGTGCTCATCTCCCCAAGACTGATCACCTGGGGGAAGCTGGGGTGGTTCAACCCTGCCTGCCCTTCCCCAACATACAGATGGTGGCAGGTAACATGGTGAAATCAAACAGATCTGGTTTTTCATCCGCCTATCCACCCAGGTGACCTTGGACAATTTATTTAGCCTCTAGGCCTCAGTAGTCCCAGGGAAGTAATAATCGCTACTTCACTATTTTAAGGATTATATAAGATAGGGCATGTAAGGTAGCTGACACACATTCGCCCATTTCTTCACGTGAATTCAGATTCTACTGAATTCAGCTCTGCACCAAGTCCCATCCTCTGCTGCCCTCTGTTTCAGCAAACACTGAGGCCTGTTGTTTCTCCTCCTCTACCGGCTCTGATGCGGTCAAGGTCCAGAGAGCTGAGTAGTTGGCAAGCGGACCACCAGCAACAGACAACATCTTCATTCGGCTCTCCCTGAAGCTGTACTGCCTCGCTGAGAGGATGAAGGTCTCCGAGGCTGCCCTGTCTCTCCTTGTCCTCATCCTTATCATTACTTCGGCTTCTCGCAGCCAGCCAAGTGAGTCCACTTGTCTCTGTAGGGCAGGAACGAGAAAGGGGGATGGAGCAGCTGGCAGGGAGGTAGTGCCAAGGGCGCTGTCGGGTCTCTGGCCTCATAAGACCCTGTGGGCTCTCCCCACCTTCATGCATAGCTTCTGACCTCCAATTCTCCCCTTTGTAAGTAGAGCTGGGGTTGGTCCGGATCTTTCTGGGGTAAGTAGTTCCAGGAAACTGGGTCACCATTTCCTCAGGAGTCCCAAGCGTGGTGAGCAGGAATGATCATTCAGGAGGAGAGGCCAAGAAAGCAGCAGAAAATGCAACAAGAAGTGCATGCAATGAAAGGGAGGGGGAGGCACGCGGATGAGAAAGAAAAGTGGCAGGTGCCCTGGAAGAATGAGTGGCGAGAGGAAGGAAGGTTCAAACAATCATGTGGGTCTAAGTCCAGGAATTGGGAGTCTGAACCGAGAGAGCCCTTCCTCAACATGGCTGGCACAGGTTGCTGGGACTATCAGACAACCAAAATGAGTCCCAGTGGAATGGCTGCTTGGGAATCTATGGTCCCCTTCTCCATCCCCCAGCCTATGACTAAATAAAATCTGCAGAAAAGAGGAAAGGGGTTGAAAGGTTTTGGAGCTGTGGGGAAAGGGAGAATTGGGGCCTATGGAGGAGGGGGTTTGTTTTGCCCCTCCGTATCTCCTCCCTCTATCATTGTTTACGAGGACCTGGTGACGGGGGTGGGGAGGACAAAGACGTGTACCTGCCCTAGGCTGCCCCAGCCATTCTTTTCGCTTTTGTTTTTTTGTTTGTTTGCTTGTTGTGTTTTGTTTTGTTTTGTTTTGTTTGTGATGGAGTTTCGCTCTTGTTGCCCAGGTTGGAGCGCAGTGTCGCGATCTCGGCTCACCACAACCTCCGCCTCCCGAGTTCAAGTGATTCTCCTGCCTCAGCCTCCTGAGTAGCTGGGATCACAGGCACACACCACCACGCCCAGCTAATTTTTGTATTTTTAGTAGAGACGGGGTTTCACCATGTTGGTCAGGCTGGTCTCAAACTCCTGACCTCGTGATCTGCCCACCTCGGCCTCCCAAAGTGCTAGGATTACAGGTATGAGCCACCATGCCTGGCCTCTTTTCTCTCTTAAGGTCACCCTGGCATGTAGTCTGGCCTGACTCTGCCTGTGTAAACACAAAGGAGCAAGGGTCAAGTGCACCATGTAATCTGCCCACATACTCTCAGGATGACCCTGGTCTTTGTAAACTTTGCTTTGAGAACCAGTGATATGAGCATCACTTACAGAGGGACTGTGTGGGAGGGGGGAACAGTGCTCTTTGGGAGAGTCAATCAGGCCAGTGCAGTGGGTTCAGGCTTCAAGAAAGAGAAAATGGCCCACCCAAAGCATGGATCAGCAAGATGGTGCTCTCAAGATGTCCCAAGCTTTGCCACTCACTGGAGGCAAAGGGGTCAAGCTACAAAAAGATTTGCACTCTGAAGGTTTGGGGGCTGGGAGAGATCTCTGGACTGACCTCTTGTGTAGTATCCCCAATTGATGGGTAGTCAGGACAGCTCAAAGGAAACACAGTGACAATAACCAATCAAGTCCAGTATCCTGCATACATCAAAGAGATGGGGGGAAGCGCCATTTCCAAGGCAAGAAGAGCAGTCATTACTACCATTGGCTCTTAATTATAATAAGCACTGATTGAGCCTTTCTGTGTGCCAGGCTCTGAGTTAAGGGCTTTCCAATCATTTTCTCACCGAATTCTAACCATGATCCTAGGATACAAGTAAGTATCATTTACCCCCACTTAATAGATGAGGAAACTGAAACCTAGGGAGATTAAGAAATTTGCCCATGATTCAAGTCAAAATTCAAATCAAGTCAAAATTCCAACCCAAGCTGTCTGACCCCAAAGCCTAAATCATATACTTTTTCCTCCTGCTCTAACTTCTGTCTCTAAAGGCTCTACTCTCTCACCCTTCCCCCTAACCTCCGCCTCTCCAATACCTCTAAGATAGAGTCCAAATTCCTCAGTAGCTCAGCAGGTATGTGACCAGACCCTCCTCCTCTCTCCAGTTTCATCTCTGCCCATTCATTTCTTCCTACCTTGCATGCCAGCCACCCAAACTGCCCAGCACTCCCAAGACACACTGAGCTTCCCCTACCTTCAGGCTTTCCTGCATTTCTTTCTTCCAGATTCTACAAGTCCTTTGTGTGTCTAAATCCTTTTTTTTTTTTCTTTTGAGATGGAGTCACTCTTTCGCCCAGGCTGGGGTGCAGTGGCGCAATCTTGGCTCATTGCAACCTCTGACTCCCGGGTTTAAGTGATTCTCCTGCCTCAGCCTCCCGAATAGCTGGGATTACAGGCATGTGCCACCATGCCTGGCTAATTTTTGTTAGTAGAGACGGGGTTTCACCATGTTGGCCAGGCTGGTCTCAAACTTCTGACCTCAGGTGATCCGCCCGCCTCGGCCTCCCAAAGTGCTGGGATTACAGGCATGAGCCACCACACCCAGCCGTGTGTCTAAATCCTACTCATCCTTTACGAATCAATGCAGGCCTCACTTGCTTTGAGACTTCTTCCTCAACCACCAAGGATGGGTTAGGGGCCCTTCATTCTGTTCCCATAGCACCTTATGCCAAAGTCTGTTCTATCCTGGACCACATTCTGTGGTAGTGTTTGTTTAACTTTTCAATTTCTCTTTCAACCCTGACTAGTCTGTAAGTTACTTAAGGGTAGTGACTGTATCTTCCTCATGTTTTTACCCCCATAGAGCCCAGCATATAATACTAGCTCAACACATGTTTGCCCGATCAAGTCACCAATAAACAAAAGAATGAGCCAGCTTCCTCCCGGTTCCTTGGCAAGTGTGAATAACCAAGTCATTTGTAGTTGACACTCAGCTCAGAGGCTGAGGGTTCTAAATGTATGTCCCCCAAAGGGATTCATCTTATGCACTTCATTACCAGTCAAGCTATCATTGGTCTCCTCTAACAGACGGCTTTGCTATCAGAGGAGTGAAACACAAATGGTGGGAGACAGAGGTGGGCAGCTGTGGTCTCCCCTCTGCTTCCCTGGCTCAGCTTGCAATGTGATTCCTTCAGAAGTTCCTGAGTGGGTGAACACCCCATCCACCTGCTGCCTGAAGTATTATGAGAAAGTGTTGCCAAGGAGACTAGTGGTGGGATACAGAAAGGCCCTCAACTGTCACCTGCCAGCAATCATGTAAGCACGTCCTTTTAGATATTTCTGTGGAGAGGGACAGGGAGCCCAGGGGCAGGAATGAGATACATGGGATCAAGAGGTCTCCATGCTAGAAGCAGTGGAGCAGTGGCTAAGGGTTTGGCCTTTGGCTCTCAGGGGCCTGGGATTAATTCCTAATTTTGCCACTTTTAGCTATGTGGTTCATTATGAAACCCAAGCTTGAGGGTCTAGGCTGAGTGGAGAAGGGACTGAGAGAAGGGATGGTAAGGTTCTGAGGCCAGAGAGAGAGGCTGTCTGAGGGAACCCAGCCAGGACAGGCCCAGGGAAGCTTTAAAGAACATAAGGTGAGCTCCATGTGAACCAGAGGTGGGGGTGGGCACCGGACTCCTGCCCGAGTCTGCAGCCCATGACGGTCTAATTCTGCCTCTGCAGCTTCGTCACCAAGAGGAACCGAGAAGTCTGCACCAACCCCAATGACGACTGGGTCCAAGAGTACATCAAGGATCCCAACCTACCTTTGCTGCCTACCAGGAACTTGTCCACGGTTAAAATTATTACAGCAAAGAATGGTCAACCCCAGCTCCTCAACTCCCAGTGATGACCAGGCTTTAGTGGAAGCCCTTGTTTACAGAAGAGAGGGGTAAACCTATGAAAACAGGGGAAGCCTTATTAGGCTGAAACTAGCCAGTCACATTGAGAGAAGCAGAACAATGATCAAAATAAAGGAGAAGTATTTCGAATATTTTCTCAATCTTAGGAGGAAATACCAAAGTTAAGGGACGTGGGCAGAGGTACGCTCTTTTATTTTTATATTTATATTTTTATTTTTTTGAGATAGGGTCTTACTCTGTCACCCAGGCTGGAGTGCAGTGGTGTGATCTTGGCTCACTTGATCTTGGCTCACTGTAACCTCCACCTCCCAGGCTCAAGTGATCCTCCCACCCCAGCCTCCTGAGTAGCTGGGACTACAGGCTTGCGCCACCACACCTGGCTAATTTTTGTATTTTTGGTAGAGACGGGATTCTACCATGTTGCCCAGGCTGGTCTCAAACTCGTGTGCCCAAGCAATCCACCTGCCTCAGCCTTCCAAAAGTGCTGGGATTACAGGCGTGAGCCACCACATCCGGCCAGTGCACTCTTAATACACAGAAAAATATATTTCACATCCTTCTCCTGCTCTCTTTCAATTCCTCACTTCACACCAGTACACAAGCCATTCTAAATACTTAGCCAGTTTCCAGCCTTCCAGATGATCTTTGCCCTCTGGGTCTTGACCCATTAAGAGCCCCATAGAACTCTTGATTTTTCCTGTCCATCTTTATGGATTTTTCTGGATCTATATTTTCTTCAATTATTCTTTCATTTTATAATGCAACTTTTTCATAGGAAGTCCGGATGGGAATATTCACATTAATCATTTTTGCAGAGACTTTGCTAGATCCTCTCATATTTTGTCTTCCTCAGGGTGGCAGGGGTACAGAGAGTGCCTGATTGGAAAAAAAAAAAAAAGAGAGAGAGAGAGAAGAAGAAGAAGAAGAGACACAAATCTCTACCTCCCATGTTAAGCTTTGCAGGACAGGGAAAGAAAGGGTATGAGACACGGCTAGGGGTAAACTCTTAGTCCAAAACCCAAGCATGCAATAAATAAAACTCCCTTATTTGACAGCTTGATTCCTAACCTCCTGCTTTTTTTTCTGCTAGGGTGAAAGAAGCTTAATCTCAGTTTTTTTCAGGGGCTTCTCCACATTTCTTGAGACTTTTGTCAAGGTTGGGGGCCATTTATATTCAATCTTCCCCTCTGTCTCCAGCTTAACAGCAGACAGCTGACTCAGCTCGCTTGGATTCAACATTCTCCCAAAACGCTGTTGTGAAGACAAAACAAAAGCCAGGTAATTAAGACCGGATGGTTAAGACAGGTAATTAAGACCGGATGGTTAAGAGAAACAAATAAATGCAGTGAAGTGTCAAGCTGAAAACGGGCCAATGAATTGGATTCTGGTAAACTGACTCATAACTGCCCCCCAGTGGCCATGTTGTTAAAACCCGAGCCTCCTCCCTTGGCCGGCGCGGTGGCTCACGCCTGTAATCCCAGCACTTTGGGAGGCCGAGGGGGGCAGATCACGAGCTCAGGAGATCGAGCCCATCCTGGCTAACACGGTGAAACCCTGTCTCTACTAAAAATACAAAAAAATTAGCCGGGCGTGGTGGCGGGCGCCTGTAGTCCCAGCTACTCGGGAGGCTGAGGCAGGAGAATGGCATGAACCCAGGAGGCGGAGCTTGCAGTGAGCCGAGTTCGTGCCACTGCACTCCAGCCTGGGCGACAGAGAGAGACTCTTGTCTCAAAAAAAAAAAAAAAAAAAAAAACGAGCTGCCTCCCCAGCCCAAGCTCATCTTCCCAGGATGGCCATCTCATCTAGCTGGCCAATCAGACTCTCAGAGAGATTTGAAATTTGGACCTGAGAAACTCAGTCTGGTTGCTGCTAGAGCAGAAGTGAGTTTCTGGCAGTGTCCCAAGGAAAGAGGTCTATGAACTTCTGTCCTGAGGTCCCTGGAACTGCCTCACTTCCTGCCCCAGCTCCAGGCTGGGAGGTTCAGCTGGTCTTTCAGTTCCATGAGATGTCCCAGCATCTTTCCTTTAAAAAAATTTCTAGGCCAGGCGCGATGGCTCACACTTGTAATCCCAGTTCTTTGGGAGGCCAAGGCGGGCAGATCACTTGAGGCCAGGAGTCTTGAGACCAGCCTGGACAACATGGCCCATCTCTACTAAAAATACAAAAATTAGCTGAGCATGGTGGTGGTCGCCTGTAATCCCAACCACTCAGATGGCTGAGGCATGAGAATCGCTTGAACCCAGGAGGCAGAGGTTGCAGTGAGCTGAGATCATGCCACTACACTCCAGCCTGGGCAACAGAGAGAGACTCCATCTCAATTTAAAAAAAAAATTCCTAAAGGGCCATGGTGGCAATTTAGCACCTCAGGAATAACTTACTGGTTTAGGTCAGTTCTTGGTGGGGGATGATGGACGTATGTGTGTTAAAATAGACATAACAGGGGCTGGGCAAGGTGGCTAACGCCTGTAATCCCAGCACTTCCAGAGTCTGAGGTGGGCGGATCACTTGAGGCCAGGAGTTCGAGACCAGCCTGGGCAGCATGGCGAAACCCCACTTCTACCAAAAATACAAAAAAAAAAAAAAAAATTAGCCGAGCATGGTGGCCTGGGCCTATGGTCCCAGCTGCTCAGGAGGCTGAGGCAGGAGGATCCCTTGAGCTGGGGAGTCAGCTGAAATCGTGCCACTGCACTCCAGCCTGGGTGACAGAATGAGACCCTGTCTCAAAAAAACGTGTGTGTGTGTGTGTGTGTGTGTGTGTGTACACACATAACAAGGCCATGCACAGTGGCTTATGCCTGTAAACCCAGCACTTTGGGAGGCTGAAGCAGGAGGATCATTTGAGTCCAGGAATTTGAGATCAGCCTGGGCGGTATGGTGAGATCTTACATATTTTTTAATCTCTACAAAAAAAAAAAAACAATTAACTGGGCACGGTGGTGTGTGCCTGTGGTCACAGGTACTCAGAAGGCTGAGGTAGGAGGATTGCTTGAGCCCAGGAGGTTGAGACTGCACTGCAGTGAGCCATAATATCACCACTGCACTCCAGGCTGGATGACAGAGCAAGACTCTGCCTAAAAATACATATATATATATATATATATAGGTGTGTGTGTGTGTGTGTATGTGTGTATGTGTGTGTGTATATATATATATATATAGAGAGACAAAATTTACCATTCTAAACATTTTTATGTGTACAATCCTACATTCACTTTGTTAGGCAAACATCACCACTATCCATCTCCAGACTTTTCTCATTGTCCCAACCTGAGACTCTGTACCCATTAAATGCTAACTCACCATTCTCTCCTCCCCCAGCCTCTGGTAACCACTATTCTTCTTTCTGTCACTATGAATTTGACAGCTCTAGGTATTTCATGTAAGGGGAATCACATAGCATTTGTCCTTTTGTGACTAGCTTATTTCACCAGCATAGTGTCGTCAAGGTTCATCCAAGTTGTAGCATGCTTCAGAACGTTATTCCTGTTAGTCACTAGGCTAACATTCCATTGTATGTATCTGCCACATTTCGTTTATCCAGCTAATCTGCTGATGGACGTGTGGGTATCTCTCTTTTCTTGCTAGCCAGAGTTTGCAGATCTTGGTTTCTGTTACTTGCACCAAAAGCACCTGAACTTGGGCAACAACCCATCAATCACCCGGGCATTGACTCAGAGGAGCCCCATGTGCTTGCTGCTCTTGCTCCTCCACAGAGGCAGTGCTACCTGCTTTGGTCCCTCCCTGGACTGTGAGTCCCTGCTCCTTGATCCAGGAATTTCTCTCCACCCTCCTTGCTATCAGGGGTTACAGCTAAATATGATCAAACTCCTTCCTCCAGGAGCTCCCAGCCTGGGGATGACAGAATCAATAACATACAATGTAGTCAGGCCCAGACCTTTGCTTGCAGAGGCCAAAGCAAACATGGGGGTGGGAGTGAGGCCGGCAGGGCCTAGGTTGACAGAAAAGTCAGGACAACATCAGATGCGGCAAGAAGTTTCAAAGTCCTTAGCCAGCACCAGGGTCAAAGCCAGGGAGTCAGAGTTCAAAGGCCTAAAAAACAGGACAAGGCTAAAAACAGGAAGCTCAGGGCCGGGGTTCTGGCAAGCTGGAACAGAATGTCGTTGTCTTGTGTTTTGTTTTGTTTTGTTTTTAAATTCAGGAGCACTGAGGTGTCAGTCTGAAAACCTGAGTAATCGAGAGTCTATATACACAAAGTCAAATCCCCACCCTAGCACATAATAAAAAGCCTGCCAGAAACTTCTGATGGTTCAGAACTGGAAGAGCTTTTCTCACGTGCATTCAGTTGCTTTTCAAGAAGGATATTCCCAGTCTTTTCAAGGCAGGCAGATAGATGGCTGACCTTAAACACACACAAATACAGAAAGGACTTCGGTCATTCTGATATACAGAGTTTTCCAGCTGTGGTCATCCTAAAGCAAATAAACCTTTTCTTGAACAACTTGTATGACTGACCTTTTGCCTTGTAGAATACAGGTGGCTGGGTACATGGGGGAACCAACTGGAACAGGAAGGGAAGAAAATGAGAGAACAACTCTGGATAGTACAAAGAGCATTTTACTGGGAGTCACAGAGGACGGCTCGCATGTCCTCTTTCTACACAGCCGTCTTAGACACCATGAATCCTTGAAGCAGATGACCAGATGTCCTGCGGCTGGTTTCAGCAGGCCTGTTTGAAATATTATTAGTCTTTCTCAGATGGGCTGCATGAACACATATTTTCTTCCCATGAGAGCATACATGTGCTTGCACGTGTGAGAGCAACTATTGAGAGTCATCAGCAGCCTGAGCTGGCACTTGGGGACACAGCTGATGCAATGGTTTAAAAGCACTGTCTCCAAGCCAGGTGCAGTGGTGCATGCCTATAGTCCCAGTAACTCAGGAGGCTGAGGCAGGAGGATCACTTGAGCCCAGGAGTTCGAGGCTGTCATGTGCCATGATTATGCCTGTGAATAGCCACTGCACTCCAGCCTGGGCGACATAGCAAGAAGACCCCATATCTTTTATTTAAAAACAAAAAGAGTATTATCTCCACACTCAGACTCTGACAGACCATCTATGTTTGAGTCCCAACTCTGTCACTCACTGTGAGGTCTTGGGTAACTACTAATCCTCCTAAGCCTTGGTTTCCTCATCTGTAAAATAGATCAATTATGATACCTACCCCCCAGTGTTGAAAGGATGAAAAGGCAATGTGAGAGAGTGCTTAGCAGATAAGTGCTCAATAGGCCTTATTGTTCCAGAATCTGACTTTTTTCTAGGACCACAGAACATAAGACAGAAAGGAGCTTTCTGTCATTATGAAGATAAGGGAATTAAAGGCCAGAGATGGAAAGCGATTTAGCAAAGGTCATGCTACAAATTACAGAAGATCTGGCACTAGAACTGGAGGCTATACTTTAAAAAGAAGAAACCTCTGATCTACACAAGCCTGAGGCTGGTATGAATATATGAAAGATTGGGGTCATCTGACTAAAGAAGCAATAGTTCAAAGCCTGAGACCTCCTTTTGCATGACCTGGTCTCCCTGGAGAGCCTGGCCTCCATTCATGTATCTTTGATTCTCGCCAAGGAGACTTTGAAGAAGGAATGGGCAAATGCAGAAAGGGACCTCAAATCTCTCCAGAGCCTGGTATTTATGAGCAATAGCCTTAACCTTTCTGAGCCCAGTTTCCTCTTCTGCAAAATGGCGCTGATACCTTACAGGGCTGCTGTGACAACTGCCAGCTTCTGGTACAGGATCTGGAACAAACATCATAATAAAATGGAAAACAGTATTAATCTCTTAGCAGCTAAAGCAGGAATTCCTATCATGGAGGAAATAACCTTTGTTAAGAAAATGAATTGGCAACCCTGGTTAAGGAAGGACACTCCCCCAGGACATGGAGCTGAGACTTCACAGGAAGGGCTGAAGTTGTTCCAAGCAAACCAGGAGAAACAGCTTTGCCCCTGAGAGCCAGAGGGGAGGGAGACAGAGGGCTGGAGAAGGGGATAGAGGCTGTGCAATGAGCGGCAGGACTGCCCTCCTTCCTGGAGTCCTCAAAAGTGCCATCAATTATTTTGCTTCCTGGCCGGCGCAGTGGCTCTTGTTTGTAACCCCAGCACTTTGAGAGGCCGAGGTGGGAGGATCACCTGAGGTCAGGAGCTTGAGACCATCCTGGCCAACATGGTGAAACCCCATCTCTACTAAAAATACAAAAATTAGCTGGGCGTGGTGGTGCATGCCTGTAATTCCAGCTACTCAGGAGGCTGAGGCAGGAGAATCCCTTGAACCCAGGTGGTGGAGCTTGCAGCAAGCCGAGATCATGTCACTGCACTCCAGCCTGGGTGACAGACCGAGACTCCGTCTCGAAAAAAAAAAAAAATGGAGATGGAAACACCAACAATTACAGGTTATTGGGAGAATTACACTGGTTAACATAAGTAAAGTGCCTAGTATTGGACCTGGCTCACAGCAGAGATTGGGTGCTTATGGGTTCCCTTGCCAGAGAAACGCTGCTTCTGTCTTGCAAGTTCTTGCTGGAAGAGGCAAGACAGAGTCAGGTGACACTTATCGGTTCCCACAACTACAACACAAATGCTGATGGAAAAGGAATCATGTAATGAGCAAAAGAATCAAGAAGTCACTTGAATCAAGAAACAGTTATTTCCACCCCTAGCACACACTCAGAACTTCCCCCTCGCTCCTCCCTTGCATTCTGATCAAAAAATGAGTCTTAGCCGGGCGCAGTGGTTCACACCTGTAATTCCAGAGCTTTGGGAAGCCGAAGTGGGCAGATCACCTGAGGTCAGGAGTTCAAGACCAGCCTGACCAACATGGAGAAAACCTCTCTCTACTAAAAATACAAAATTAGCCAGGCGTGGTGGCACATGCCTCTAATCCCAGCTACTCAGGAGGCTGAGGCAGAAGAATTGCTTGAACCCGGGAGGTGGAGGTTGCGGTGAGCCACGGTCGCATCATTGCACTCCAGTAGCCTGGGCAACAAGAGTGAAACTCTGTCTCAAAAAAAAAAAAAAAAAAAGTTCAAAGAGATAGTAAAAAACCATAGTAATTTTTTGCTTTACTGCAGTTTTCAAAGATACATTTTTTTTTTTCATAATGTGGCACCTCTTCAATGTTGGCAGAATTGTCTTTTGCAGGGAATTCCAGGAGACTGCAGATAACTAATTACCATGAGAAGGTAGTCATAAATATGGTTAATGTCTAACTGGTCAGGACTCTTAACATCAGTTTCAGTCAACTTGCTACAGCAAATGTAATCTTCCTATGAAGTCTCTTAAGTTCTCCATCTCTATTTAGCCAGGAGGTGGAGCTTGCCGTGAGCCAAGATTGCACCACTGCACTTGAAACTCTGTCTCCAAAGAAAAAAAAAAAAAACAAGGAATCCTCCCTGTCCCCTCCAGATCATATGCGTGAGGTTTCTCATCCGAGCCACAGAACACAGACAACTTGTGACTGCTTTCTCAGTTCTCCTAGGATGATGCATAACCAACACCACTCTGGATGCACAGGAGGGAGGTTAACCCATTACATCTACTGCTTATCTTAAGCCAGTTCAAAAAGCCTGTCTCAGGGCAGGGGCCACGTCTTCGAATTTACCCTGTTCCCATCCAGGGCCCTTTGTACCTGGGGGGCCTCACTAAATATCTAATCATGAATTTCACACTTAGGCATGGGGGCAGGGGTTGGAAGTCAATGTGATAGGGCCCCTTGGCTGTGAGTGAGGGGATCAGTGCAGGGATGTGTCTCCACCGAGATGGCAGTTTAAGCCAGGTCCTGGAGTGTGGATTTAGGTCTTGGAGTTCTGGATTGAGTTGCTGAAAAGCAATTGCTGTCTTGACATGATTTTAGGAAAATTAGTGAGCAGCGCCACCCAGTGGTTAAAAGCCACAATGACTTATCTCTCTGTGAGCTCATTGGGCTGGCTCGTACATAAGCCTAGTTGCTGAGATAGCCCCTTCCTGGTGTGCACACCTTCCACCTTCCCACCTCTCCTTGTATTCTCCCCTTTTGAAGAGAGCTGAGGTATTCAGTACACAGTGAGGGCACAGTGCTTTCAAGGAGCTTTCCTTCCCACTAAAAGTGGGAAGAGAGACCACGCACAATCAGGTTCTATATCGAAGAATAGAGCAGAGTAAAAGTGATGGCGAGGAGTACACAAAACACCTTTGTACTGTTTGATAGGACCCACCAAGAAGAACAATTTTCTTTGGGAGGCAGAGGTGGGTGGTTCATCTGAGGTCAGGAGTTTGAGACCAGCCTGACCAACATGTATACAACATGGTGAAACCCTGTCTCCACTAAAAATACAAAAATTAGCTGGGCATGGTGGTGGGTGCCTGTAATCCTAGCTACTTGGGAGGCTGAGGCAGGAGAATCGCTTGAGCCTGGGAGGCGGAGGTTGCAGTGAGCCGAGATCGTGCCATTGCACTCCATCCTGGGCAATAGAACAAGACTCCCTCTGGAAAAAAAAAATTAATAAGAATCTGATGATTAAAGTTCATATTAAACCTGTCGCTTCCAGCATGGGAAACTGAGCCCCTCACACACTTAACAAATGGACCATTCTGCAAGTCAAAGCCATCAACTCTAGACAAAAATTTAAAATATAACTGAGAACTTGGGTGACTACACAAAAATGGACAGATGTCAGAGGCACACTGAAAACTGGAACCAGCAACAGGCATTTAGGGAGTTCCTATTTTTTGTGGCCTTGGCCTAAGGGTTGGCTAAACCTAACAGAAAGTTTGTGGGCTGGGCACAGTGGCTCATACCTGAAATCCCAACACTTTGAAAGACCGAGGTGGGAGGATCACCTGAGGTCAGGAGTTTGTGACCAGTCTGGCCAATATGGTAAAACCCCGTGTCTACTAAAAATACAAACATTAGGCCGGGCGCAGTGGCTCACGCCTGTAATCCCAGCACTTTGGAAGGCTGAGGCGGGCAGATCATGAGGTCAGGAGATAGAAACCATCCTGGCCAACATGTTGAAACCCCGTCTCTACTAAAAAAAAACCACAAAAATTAGCTAGGCGTGGTGGCATATGCCTGTAATCCCAGCTACTCAGGAGGCTGAGGCAGGAGAATCACTTGAACCTAGGAGGCGGAGGTTGCAGTGAGCGGAGATCATGCCACTGTACTCCAGCCTGGCGACAGAGCGAGACTCCATCTCAAAAAAAAAGAAAAAAGAAAAAATTAGCCAGGTGTGATGTCTCTACTAAAAATACAGAAATTAATTGGGCCTGGTGGCGCATGCCTGCAATCCCAGCTACCCAGGAAGCTGAGAGATGAGAATCATTTGAACCTGGGAGGCAGAGGCTGCAGTGAGCCGAGATTGCACCATTGCACTCCAGCCTGGGTGATGGAGTGCAATGGAGGGAAACTCTGTCTCAGAAAAAAAAAAGAAAGAAAGAGAGAAAGAAAAGAAAGAAAGAGAGAGAGAGAGAGAAAGAAAGAAAGACGGAAGGAAGGAAAGAAAGAAAAAAAGAAATTACCATTACCCGGCTTTCCTCCACATACAGGAGTTAGTCCTGTGTAGCAAATAGTTGTAGTTTGCATTTTGATCTAGCCATAACTGTTTCATTTTTCAGAATTCTCAGTGAAAATTCTTTGAATTACGTAAGAATTCATTTGAAGGCCTGCTATCCCTCCAGGATTTGTAAGTTAGTTAGTTAATCATATTTACGAGTTTACAAGCTTTTAGTCATATTATTATTATTATTATTTTTTTTTTGAGACGGAGTCTCGCTCTGTCGCCCAGTCTGGAGTGCAGTGACGCGATCTCAGCTCACTACAAGCTCCGTCTTCCAGGTTCACGCCATTCTCCTGCCTCAACCTCCCGAGTAGCTGGGACTATAGGCGCCCGCCACCACGCCCGGCTAATTTTTTGTATTTTTAGTAGAGACGGGGTTTCACCATGTTAGTCAGCATGGTCTCGATCTTCTGACCTCGTGATCCGCCTGCCTCGGCCTCCCAAAGTGCTGAGATTACAGGCGTGAGCCACGGCGCCCGGCCTTTAGTCATATTATCTGTAAAATTAATAAGGGATTTATATTAAATAATCTCTAAGATTTCTTCCAGCAATAAAATTCTGCAATTCTGTAAGTTTCTACAGGGTCTCCACCCATCTCTAGCATTAACTACCTCCTATGCATTTTCAATTTTTAAACTATATAGACAAAATACGGAGAAATATTTCACATGGTAATAAGATCTGAGCAGTGACTGACACCCATATGAACCTTGTTTTATAAAAAGTGTTCACGTACCATCTTCTTATATTCACTCTACAACCAATAGAGCAAATCTAATTTATGGTCTATTTTTAAATAGCCCATTAAGAATGGTTTTTACATTTTTGAAGAACTGTGATAGAAAAAGCAAAGAAACAAAAAGAAATAAGCAACAGAGACCACATGTGGCCCACAAAGCCTAAAATATTTACTATCTGACCTTCCCAAAAAAAGATTTGAAAAAGTTGGTTTAGTAAAATGAAAGGAATTAAAGTTAACTCCGGATTGTTGCCTAAAGGAGAAGAAAATACAGACCACCCACATTAATTTCAACATCATTAATCCAGAATTTTTTGGTAATTTAATCTGAATTAAATTAACATTTAAATATTAAATAGGCCAGTCCCAGTGGCTCATGCCTATAATCCCAGCACTTTTGGAGCCAAGGCAGGTGGATCAGAGGTCAAGAGTTTGAGACCAGCCTGGCCAACATGGTGAAACCCCATCTCTACTAAAAATACAAAAATTAACCAGGTATGGTGGTGCGCGCCTATAATCCCAGCTACTCAGGAAGTTGAGGCAGGAGAATTGCTTGAATTTGGGAGGCGGAGGTTGTAGTGAGCTAAGATCGTGCCACTGCACTCCAGCCTGGACAACAGAGTGAGACTGTGTCGCAAAATATAATAATAATAAAATAAATAAATAAATATTGAAGATTAAGCAGCTGAAATACATAAATAATATTAACGCTACCAAGAGAATAGACTGGTATTGAGGATTTCATTTCAGGAATTGTTATATTAAAACAGATGTTTAAAATGATGGTTAAGTGGTAGAGCTAGAAATGTTTACACTAAGTAAGCACATATCAGAAATGCCCCAACTCTTCACTAATTACAAAATAACTAACTTGGTAACCAGCCCTGTTACCAAAGAAGGGATACCTGCATAGTATTTCTGTCTGTTTAGAGATAAAAAGAGACTATGTTTATTGCTATCAGAGCTTGATTTTTATCCTCTGTCCATGATCCAGGGTCATGTATGTCATTAATCCTTATTAAGCTTCTTAGTGATGCTCTTTTGCAAACAGTATAAGCAGTACAGGTGCAAAGACAGTGAGTGAAGGCCTGCTTTCTGCCCGACTGCTTAACATGTTTAAGATCTTTTAAACCATCCGAGCTTTTAAAGTCTGCTTCTCTTAACAATACACCTACTAGATTTTTAAAAATACCATCCATGAACTTAAAGGAATTACTATTCTCATTGGTGTTTTTAAAGAAACAAACAAGCCTCTCTATACTGCTTTCTTCAGAACTGATTTTCAACTGATATATACGGGTGTAGCCATATTGGTTGCTAAATACCGAAATATGTTCTTACTGGTTGGTAAAGAGCCGCCGTTGTAAGCTCTCTGCATGCCCGCCACAGCCTCGCCTTTCCAACAGGCACTTCATTGCTGTACCTCCCCACAATCCAATAATTAAAAGGTTATCCCGAGGCATAGCAGGAGGCCTTTAGGACCCTTCTTCTTCACTAGGCTTGCATCCATACTGATTGCTGGTGCTTGGGTCATCCCTTCCATGTAACAATTTTGAATATCACCCTGACTTTCTGACTAATAGAGTAAATCGTTACTATCTTATCAATGTTTGTGTTCTGCAATCTAGAGTATCAAATAGCTCTAGCTCACCTGTGTTACTTATCTGTATAGAATCAACATTCAGAGTTGCATTATTTCTGAATAAGCCCAGGATGCCATCATACTGTAACTCAGTCTCCTAAACCACACTGCATTTTTTTCTCTATTTCTCTCAATGTTGACAGTGTGACCTAAGTTCTGTATTCTCTTGTTCCTCTCAGTTCGCTTTGCACCTCATAGGCCTCCAGATATCTCCTTGAAGCCTCTTCTCTTTGAAGTACCAGCATCACTACAGAGTCAGTGTCTGTCGGCCAAGATTGGGTTTTCCACGAAATAGATGCTCAACTTCAACGTTCAAATGCCAGCGTGAACCACGGAGTAGTGATTGTGGGAAACGCTGGATTCTGCAAAACTGCCACCATCTCCAGACTGGTGGCCCTCAGCTGCCATGGTACAAAGATGAGACAGATCACCTCAGACAGCCCACGTGCCTCCCCCAAATGTATATTTCCTTTTTAAATAACTCCCTGCTTCATTGGCACTGAAGTTTTTCTGACATATTTATATTAAGTCATACATCCTTTTATTTCCTGATCTGTAAAACCTGACTTCCACGTGAGGACCTTTTGTGTTTTTTGTTTTTTTTTTTTTTTTGAAACGGAGTCTCGCTCTTTCGCCCAGGCTGGAGTGCAGTGGCGCGATCTCGGCTCACTGCAAGCTCCACCTCCTAGGTTCATGCCATTCTCCTGCCTCAGCCTCCCGAGTAGCTGGGACTACAGGCGCCCGCCACCATGCCTGGCTAATTTTTTTTTTTTTGTATTTTTAGTAGAGATGGGGTTTCACTGTGTTAGCCAGGATGGTCTCAATCTCCTGACCTCACGATCTGCTGGCCTCGACCTCCCAAAGTGCTGGGATTACAGGCGTGAGACACCGCACCCAGCCCATGTGAGGACTATTAATTCAGAGGTGAAGACAGTAATTACCCACAAAATCAAATACCAGATAAAGGGGAATACAGTAGGAGGAGGAAGGGAAGAGCAGAAATAATACATGACATACGATCACTGAACTTCACCTCAACTCAAAATGTCACACATTACTTTAGGCTTTTTTTCCTGCCATCTCCCATATCCACCCCCCTGCAGTTATCCAGAACTCTATTCAGTGACCAAGGAATTTAATGTACCAGTTGAATGAAAGAAGTCTAAATTCACTCCTACTGGTAGGGAGTTAAATGAGGACTACTTTTTCCTATTCCTCCTTCTTTTCAATAGCTATTGGCCATCAAATAACAACTTCTAATATTTACTTTGGTATCCATTTTTAAAGTATGATCTTATTCATAAATATAGTCTATAATTTCTACTAGTAAGAATACATTTTCTAAATAACAAGAACAAATTGAATTTTTTTCAAAAAAATCTTCAACAGTTTTATTGAGCTATAATTCACATACCATGTAATTCACCCATTTAAAGTATTCAATTCAGCATTTTTAGTATAACTCACAGGGTTGTACAGCAATCACCGTAATCCAGCTTTAGACCATTTTCATCCCCCTAAAAGAAACTCATGCCTGTTAGCAGCCAATGCCCATTCTCCTCTTAACCCTCTATTTCTAGCCCTAGGTAACCACTAATTTACTTTCTGTCTCTACGGATTTTCCTATTCTGGACATTTCATATAAATAGAATCATACAAGATATGTTTTGTTTTGTTTTGTTACTAGCTTCTTTGACTTAGCATAACATTTTCAAGGGTTATCCCCGTTCTAGCATGTATCGGTATCTTATTTCTTTTTATTGCTGAGTAATAGTTATTGAGTGGGTATACTGTGTTTTATCTAGTCATCAGTTGGTGGGCATTTAGGTTGTTTCCACTTTTGGCTATTATGAATCATTCTTCTAAGAACATTTGTGTACACGTTTTTGGGTGGACACGTGTTTTTATTTCTCGTAGGTATAGTCTTAGGAGCAGTATTGCTGGATCATAGAACAAATGGAATTTAGTCATTTTTCCTTTAAAGTTTTATGATTATCTGATGCAACCATCTAAATCTTTTTGATCCAGATGTGGATGCCAACAGAGAGCTGCCACTCACACAGCCACCTTCAGCCCACTCATCTATCACCAGCGGAAGCTGCCCAGGAACTCTGGAAATGCGCAGGAGGCTATGCGAAGACTAGCCTCACAAGTATGATGGGATTCCCATGTTGGGGACATGGTAGTTCCATTTTAACATTAAGGAAGCAAAGATAGGGAGACCTTTGCCAAAGTGAACAAAAATACATAAAGGTACACCATGAAAGCGTGGAGGAAAGTTTCTCTTTCTTTACTATTCCTAGAAAAATATTATGTTGGGATCAGAACCTTAGAGTTGGAAAGACCCTTAGAAATAAAATCTTCTGGTGAATAAATAAAGAAGTTGAGACCCAAAGAAGTGGGTTGGTTGGTTTTGAGACGGAGTCTTGCTCTATTGCCCAGGCTGGAGTGCAGTGGTGCAATCTCGGTTCACTGCAACCTCTGTTTCCCAGGTTCAAATGATTCTCGTTCCTCAGCTTCCCTAGTAGCTGTAGATGGAACTACAGGTGCGTGCTACCATGCCAGACTAATTTTTTTTTTTTTTTTTGAGACGGAGTCTCGCTTTGTTGCCCAGGCTGGAGTGCAGTGGCACGATCTCGGCTCACTGCAAGCTTTGCCTCCCGGGTTCCTGCCATTCTCCTGCCTTAGCCTCCCGAGTAGCTGGGACTACAGGAGCCTGCCACCACAGCCGGCTAATTTTGTTTGTATTTTTTAGTAGAGACGGGGTTCCACCGTGTTAGCCAGGATGGTCTCGATCTCCTGACCTCGTGATCCATCCGCCTCGGCCTCCCAACATGCTGGGATTACAGGCGTGAGCCACAGCGCCTGGCCCCATCCCAGACTAATTTTTGTATTTTTAGTAGAGACGGGGTTTTGCCATGTCGGCCAGGGTGGTCTCAAACCCCTTACCACAGGTGATCTGCCCGCCTCGGCCTCCCAGAGTGCTGGGATTACAGGCATGAGCCACCGCGCCTGGCCAAAAGGGATATGTTTTACCCAACATCAGGGTATAAGTAATCAACAGTTTTTAATTTTCATTCCTAACTTAAAACTCTTCCTGCTATACTACACTGTCCATAATATCTTTTATACATTTGGGTTTGAAATTCATATTTTTCTCAAAATAACATAAGCACATAGAAAACCAAATAATGCTCAAAACCAGCAATTCTCTTCCTCTACCCCACCCATCTTCTCCCCAAAGGCAGCCACTTTCAACTCTTAAGGAAGTTTCTCTGATTTTCACCTCGATATTTCTAAATTCTACTTGTATACTGCTAAAACTTTTATTAATTTACATATTAACTATTGCTTCTTATTATAGATGATGGAAATTACAGCTCTTTTACCTTCCTTCTTCCTACCACCATCCCAACACAATTATTTCATGATTTTTGGCTGAACCATATTATAGTATTTTCAGTATTAATACTATGCAAATATAGTTCTCCCTGGAGCCAAGGGTAACATTTCCTTCTTGAACGACTTTGTTTTTCCTAGGGGTTTATGAAATGCCTCGTTTTAAAATTTGCTTATTTTTCTTCACATCATTGGCTAAGTCATTTCATAACCCTAATGTAGTTTTGTAAAATGTCTCTCAATACAATTTTCCACATTACCAGTTACGTTTTTTCTTTTTAACCTGGCAGGCATCCATCTTTTTTTTCTTTTTTCTTTTTTTTTTTTTCTTTTTTTGACAAGGAGTCCGGCTTTGTCGCCAGGCTGGAATGCAGTAGTGCGATCTCGGCTCACTGCAAACTCCACCTCCTGGGTTCAAGCGATGCTCCTGCCTCAGCCTCCCAAGTAGCTGGGACTATCACGCCCAGCTAATTTTTTTTTTTTTTGTCTTTTTAGTAGAGATGGGGTTTCATGAGTCATCCGTCTTAGAGCCCTCCGTCGAGCTTAGTCTGGGCCTAGGACACTCTGAGGGCTTTCCACCTTGTTCTCCTGGAAGTTCCTGTCAGTTCTCTTCTGTGTTTCATCTATGTCATATTGTTTCTCGATTTGATTCTTCATTTTGGTGGAACATATCCTCCAGTAGCTTCCTAATAAAAAAATGCATAGGACGTAAGTTTTTTGAGACTTACTGTTTCTAAAAGCATCTTTTTTCTATGTTCATACTTGCTTATTTGTTTGACACAGTATATCATTCTAGGGTAAAAATTATTTTTTCTCAATTTTGAAGGCATTGTTCCATTGTCTTGAGCTTCCAATATTGCTATTAAATACTCTGGTACTATTCTTATTCCCAATCTTTTATATATACCTTGTTTTCTCTCCAGAAGCTTTTAGAATTTTTTTTTTTTTTTTTTTTTTTTTTTTTTTTTTTTTTGAGACGGAGTCTTGCTCCGTCACCCAGGCTGGAGTGCAGTGGCGCGATCTTGGCTCACTGCAAGCTCCGCCTCCCAGGTTCACACCATTCTCCTGCCTCAGCCTCCTAAGTAGCTGGGACTACAGGCGCCCGCCACCACGCCCGGCTAATTTTTTTTGTATTTTTAGTAGAGACGGGGGTTTCACCGTGTTGGCCAGGATGGTCTCGATCTCCTGACCTCGTGATCCGCCCCCACCCCCAGCCTCCCAAAGTGCTGTGATTACAGGCGTGAGCCACCGCTCCCGGCCTAGAATCTTATTTTTATCACCATTGTTCTTGGGTCTTTTTTCATTTATTCTGTTGGTACGTAGCAAGCCCTGAGGATATTCTTTAATTCTGAGTAATGCTTTTGTATTATTTATGATAATTTCCTCACCACCCTTTCCTCTATTCTCTCCTTCTACAACTCGTATTAGTCAAAAATTAGATTTCTGGCTGGGCACGGTGGCTCATGCTTGTAATCCCAGCAGTTTGAGAGGCCAAGGTTGGTGGATCATCTGAGGTCAGGAGTTTGAGAGCAGTCTGACCAACATGGCAAAACCCCATCTCCAAAAAAATACAAAAATTAGCCAGGCGCAGTGGCAGGCGCCTGTAGTCCCAGCTACTCAGGAAGCTGAGGCAGGAGAATCGTTTGAACCTGGGAGGCGGAGGCTGCAGTGATCCGAGTGGTTTCTCTAGGTTTTGAATCTGTTGCTACCCTGTGGGAATACACACAGAATTCACAAGACAAGGAGAACTTGGCTTCTGTCTACAGAAGAATTAATGTGTATTGTGGCTTAGTGCTACTTACATTATATTTGTTATATCATTTCTTCATTTTTACCTTAACCCTATGAGGTACATTATTATCTCATTTTACAGGGGAAGAAACAGTGGCTTCAGTGATTAATTTTTTCAAAGTCATACTGTTAATAAATGTCAAAGCTAGGATTCAGAGTCAGTATTCTCCCCTATAAGGTGAATACTATTGTTATCCCCATTTTACAAATGAGGAAACAGAGGCTCTGAGATTAAATAACTTGCTTGAGACCATAAACTAGTACATGACTGAGTCAAGATTTAAACTGAGGCAGGCAGCCTCCAAGTCTATACTTTTAACCACTACGCGATGCTGCCTCTCTAGTGTGGCAGGAAGGATTTTTGTTTAGTGCTATTCTGGAAAATCTATCCATCATTGATTGTGGCTTCGAAGCAAGAAAGTTATAATGAAGGTGTACCTTTCAGTCATTTTGCTGACCTAAAGTTCTTTAAAAAAGGTTTTTATGCAACTAGAAGTTCCCAACACATTAAACAAGTTGTCACTGATTTACTGCTTAGATTAAGAAGCTAATATATCGAAATGAGCTCATTCTAGAAAATAGCTAATTTTAAGAAGAGTCACAGAGATACAAAAAGCAAAGGTTTTTATTTTCCCCCAAGGAAACCTATGTAAGAAAAAATTAAATGTCATCCTTGCCAAGAGACAAGTTCTGTACTATACTGGGGGGTGTCAAATGATCATAGTTCCCAAAATTGTTGCTGTCACTATTAAAGCTGTCAGCCAAAGAAGTAATCATTTCAGTAATCCTATAATATTAAGCATTTTAAACATAATGTGGAAAAGTAAGCCAGAAACACACACACATACATACACAGAAAATGAAGAACAATAATGAAGAACAAGATTTTATTTGTGTTGTGGCGATTTTTTTTTAAATATTTACATTTAGGAGAAATGAGATCCAAACTAAACAACAAATACCCCATAGATGATGTTTTATAAAATTTGTCTAGGGCTTTTCTCTAAAAATTAATACTGAAGTTTTATTTTCAGACCCAGATTTCATCTACATTTGGGATACTGAATATGGGAAAACAGCCTTGTTGTTTATCGTTAATTTCCATATTATTTTTATTTTCTACCTCTTCCACTGGAATGGGTCAGTGATTAAATGTTCACCACTGTATCCCCAGCTCCTACACAATGCATGGCACATAAATATTTGAATGAAGAAACTCTAGTCAATTCTCTGTACTGAGTAATCTTTCTAAAACATTTGCTTTTGCTACTTAAAGCCAGCAAATAGCTCCTCCTTGCCCTTGAATGAAATCCAAACTCTCTTCTTAAAATATTATATGAATTGTAATGAAAGGACCTTTGCTTTCGCCAGGACCAGATATTTTAGACCACATAATTCTTTGTGTGTGGGGGCGGGGGTGAGGGGGGCAAGGGCAAGGCGGATGTTGTCCTGTCTACTGTAGGATATTTAGAAGAACTATCCTTGATCTCTGTCTACTACCAATAGCACTGTCTCAACCCCTAGTTAAGACAACAAGAAATGTCTCCAGAAATTGCCAAATGTTTCCTGGGGAGCAAAACCAGTGCAGGTGGAAAACCCCTACCATGCCCTATCTTCCATCATTCCCCACTCACTTATACTCTAACCACACAGAAATTGATTTTAGTTCCTTGAAAGTAAAAAGCTATGTCTTGCCTTAGGGCCTTTGCACACACTGTTTTCCTCTGCCTGGAAAACTACCACACCTTGGTTCACTCCTTGTCCTCCTTCATGTCTCAGCTTAAATATTGCTTCTTCTAAGAAGCTTTTTCTGACTCTCCTAAATTACCTTAAGGTGCCCCAGCTGTGTGTTGCCCCAGCACACTATATTTCCTCTCTTCTAGTACTTATCACACTATTATTATTACTTGTTTAATTGCCTCTGTTTCCTGCTAAACTGTGGAGGGTAGACAAGGGTCATAACTATATTATTCATTATTATAGCTCCAGAACCTAGCACAATGCCTGGCATACAATGTTCAATTAATATTTGCAAATGAGTGAAAATGCCAGTATTTTCCATTAGGAAATCTTGCAGCATTCAGCTGGGTGCTTATACATAATAGTGGTTCTCGACGAATGTATAAGTCAAATCAGAATCAGATTCATGTGCCCCAGGAATGAATCTTGTTAGAGAATATGG
Source organism: Homo sapiens (assembly GCF_000001405.40). Classification (NCBI taxonomy): domain Eukaryota; kingdom Metazoa; phylum Chordata; class Mammalia; order Primates; family Hominidae; genus Homo; species Homo sapiens. Next base: position 192,813 of record NT_187614.1, on the reverse strand, counting down.
AATTCCACCAATCCTCTGAGAGAGTTTCATAAACTGGGGATTGAATGTACATAGACTGTTTATATTGTGCCAGATCTGTTTCTCTAGGAATGCCAGATGAACTAAATAAATTAGCCACTTTTCTTTAAAATTTGTATTTGGTATTGGCCCTAACCTCCTTTGGCTCAAGTAATCAGTAATCTATAATTGAATAGTAACAATCTACAAGATACAGCTATTTAGATCTAGAATTATAACAAAGCTAAGCATTACCCTCAACTCTGCTATAGTTAATTAAACAACAGGGCTCTTACTACCACCCATTGAAGCTTACTATAAAGCCTAAATCAAAACAGTGTGTTACTAGTACACAAATAGACAATAAACAAGTGGAATAGAACAAAAAGTTCAGAATTAGACCCAAGGGCATGCAACACTTAGTGTATGACAAAGGTGGCATTCAGATCATTGGGATAAAGGTGGGCTTTTTAATTAAATGAGCTGAGACAACTAAGTAACCATATAGATAACTCGTATCTCACACCATGCTCAAGAATACACAAATGGATTAAGGATCTAAAGGGTCTGAATATCTAAAGATAAAACCATGCAACTAATGGAAGAAAACTTAGTAACTTTTTATTTAACCTTGGTGAAGAGAAAGGCTTTCTAAGATCTAAATCTAGAGGAACAGAAGAAAAGATTGACAAATTTGGCCACATGAAAAAAATTTACCAGCCTGGACAACATAGTAAGACCCTGTTTCTACAAAAAAAAAAAAAAAAGAAAACAACTAGCCAAGCGTAATGGTGCATGCCTATAGTCCCAGCTACTAGGGAGGCTGAGGTGGAAGGATTGTTTGAGCCCAAGAGGTCGGGGCTGCAATGAGCCAAGATCATGCCACTGCACTCCAGCCTGGGTGATAGAGTGAGACTCTGTCTCAAAAAATAAAAAATAAAACTTTTAATGTTGCATGACCAAAAAAATACCACAAAGTCAAAAGACAAAGACAACTGATAAACTGAGATAAAATATTGACAAAATACCTCAAAAGTACAGGCAACAAAAGGAAATACAGACAAATGGGATGACATCTAAACTAAAAATCTTCTGCACAGCAAAGGAAACAATTAACAAAGTGAGGAGACAATCCACCGAATGGGAGAAAATGTTTGCAAACCATACGTCTAGTAAGGAGTTAATATCCAGAATGTAAAAGGAACTCAAACAATTCAACAGCAAGAAAACAACTTGATTAAAAAATGGGCAAATGACCTAAACAGACATTTCTCCAAAGAAGGCATACGAATGGCCAATAGGTACGTGAAAAAAATGCTTAGCATAACTAATCATTAGGGAAATGCAAATTAAACCACAACGAGATATAATCGCACACCAATTAGAATGACTTTTACCAAAAAGATGAAAGATAAGTGTTGGCAAGAATGTGGAGAAAAGGGAACTCTTTACTTTGTTGGTGGGAATGTAAATTAGTGCAGCCATTATCGAAAACAGCATGGACATTCCTCAAAAAACTGAAAAAAGAACTATCACATAATCCAGTAATCCTGCTTCTAAGTATATATCCAAAGAAACGGAAATCAATGTCAAAGGGATACCTGCACTCCCATGTTCATGACAGCATTATTCACAGTAGCCAAGCTGTGGAACCAACTTGAACCAACCAAGCTGAATGGATTTTTTAAATGTATTATTTTTTAAAAAGCAGTTTGGAAATTTCTCAAAGAACTTAAAACAGAGCTACCATTCAACCCAGCAATCCCATTACTGGGTGTATACCCAAAGGAATATAATTTGTTCTACCATAAATACATGTGTGCACGTGTTCATCACAGCACTTTTCACAATAGCAAAGCCATGGAATCAACCTAGATGCCCAACAGTGGTGGCCTGGATAAAGAAAATGTGGTACATATACACTATGGAATATTGTGCAGCCATAAAAAAGGAATGAAATCATTCATGTCCTTTGCAGCAACATGGATGCAGCTAGAGGCCATCATCCTTAGCAAATTAAAACAGGAACAGAAAACTAAATATTGCATGTTCTCACTAAGAAATGGGGGCTAAACATAGAGTACCCATGGACACAAAGAAGAGAACAACAGACACTGGGGCTCACTTAAGGGTGGAGAGTAGGAAGAGGGTGAGGATCAAGAAACTACCTATCAGGGGCCGGGCACCGTGGCTCATGCCTGTAATCCCAGCACTTTGGGAGGCCCAGGTGGGTGGATCATCTGAAGTCAGGAGTTTGAGACCAGCCTAGCCAGCATGATGAAACTCCATCTCTACTAAAAATACAAAAATTAGCTGGCCATGGCGGCAGGGGCCTGTAATCCCAGCTAGTCAGGAGGTTGAGGCAGGAGAATCTCTTGAACCTGGGAGGCAGAGGTTGCAGTGAGCCAAGATGGCGCCATTGCACTCCAGCCTGAGGGATGGGGCGAGACTCCATCTCAAAAAAAAAAAAAAAGAAAGAAGGTAAAAAGAAACTACCTATCAGGTACTATGCTCACTACATGGATGACAGTCATTGGTACACCAAACCCCACACAATGTATCCATGTGACAAACCTGCCCATGCACTCCCTGAACCTAAAATAAAAGTTGGAAGAAAAAATAAACAGAATTTTAAAATGTGATATGTGTATGGATATGTTATGTGTGTGCGTGTGTGTCTGTGTGTGTGTTAGTAATGAACAGACTCCACAATAAAGGACTCAAAGTGAGTAATCAGCATCTAACTTGGCACTGTTTCTTGGGTCTCCTTTGCAATCAGCCCCACTGAATTCAGAAATGCCAGCAGCCATTTCACAAACCCAGGCGGCCACACAGGCCCCACTGCCTCCATTCCCACCACTATGGCCAGTTGAAGTGACACACGCAACTCATCTTCCTGGCCAGGGCCATTCGAGAGCAACAATAGATTTTCAGTGTAGACAAAACAGCCTTCTATGGGAAGATGGTGCTGTCTAGGACTTTTATAGCTATAGAGAAGTCAATGTCTGCCTTCAAAGCTTCAAAAGACAGGCTGACTCTCTTGTTAGGGGCTAATGTAGCTGGTGACTTTCAGTTAAAGCCAGTGTTCATTTACCACTCCAAAAATTCTAGGGCCCTTAAGAATGATGCTAAATCTACTCTACCTGTGCTCTATAAATGAAACGACAAAGCCAGAGTAACAGCACATCCATTTACAGCATGGATTACTGAGTATTTTAAGCCCACTGTTGAGATCTATTCAGAAAAAACATAACTTTCAGAATACTACTCCTCATGGACTGTACATCTAGTCACCTAAGAGCTCTGATGGTGACGTGCAAGGAGATTATTGTTGTTGTCATGCCTGCTAACACAACATCCGTTCTTTAGCCCATGGATCAAGGAGTAACTTTACTTTCAAGTCTTGTAATTTAAGAAACACATTTCATAAGGCTAGAGCTGCCATAGATAGTGATTGTTTTGATGGATCTAGGCAAAGTAAATTGAAAAGGAGTTTCTTTTTTTTTTTTTTTTTTTTTTGAGACTCAGTCTTGCTCTGTCTCCCAGGCTGGAGTGCAGTGGCACAATCTCAGCTCACTGCAACCTCCACCTCCCGGGTTCATGCCATTCTCTTGCCTCAGCCTCCCAAGTAGCTGGGACCACAGACACCCGCCACCACCTCTGGCTAATTTTTTTTTTTTTTTGTATTTTTAGTAGAGACGGGGGTTCACCATGTCAGCCAGGATGGTCTCGATCTCCTGACGTCGTGATCCGCCTGCCTCAGCCTCCCAAAGCGCTGAGATTACAGGCGTGAGCCACCGTGCCCGGCCTGAAAAGGATTTCCAAGATTTTCATCTGGAAAGGATTTACCATTCTAAATGCCATTAAGAAGATGTGATTCATAGGAGGTCAATATCAACATTACTAGGAATTTGGAAGAAATTGATTTCAACCATCATGGATGACCTTGAGAGGTTCAAGACTTCAGTGGAAGAAGTAACTGGAGATGTGGCAGAAATAGTAAGAGAACTAGAATTACAAGTGGAGCCTGAAGATGTGACTGAATTGTTATAATCTCATGATAAAACTTGAATAGATGTGGAGTTGCTTCCTATGGAAGAGCAAAGGAAGTGGCTTCTTAAGATGGAGTCTATACTTAGTGAAGATGCTGTGAGCATTGTAAAAATAACAATAAAGGCTTTAGAATATTACATATCCCCTGGAAAGGGGGCTGAAGCCAGGGAGCCAAGTGGTGTTGCTCAGCGGGTCCCACTCCCACGGAGCCCAACTAGATGAGAACCACTGGCTTGAAATTCTCACTGCCAGCACAGCAGTCAGAAGTCGACCTGGGACAATGGAACTTGGTTGGGGGAGGGGCGGTCGCCATAACCAAGGCTTCAGTAGGCAGTTTTCACCTGACAGTGCTGAGACTGGGAGGTTTGGACTGGGTGGAATTCACCACAGTGCAGCAAAGCGGCTGTGGCCAGACTGCTTCTCTAGATTCCTCCTCACTAGGCAGGGCATCTCTGCAGGAAACGTGGCAGCTCCAGTCAGGGGCTTACAGATAAAACTCTCATCTCCCTGGGACAGAGTACCTGGGGGAAGGGGCGGCTGCAGTCACAGCTTCAGTGGACTGAATCTTTCCTGCCTGACGGCTCTAAAGAGAGTGGCTGATCCTCACAAGGAGGATTCTCCCAGCACAGCACACCAACTCTGCTAAGGGACAGACTGCCTCTTCGAGCGAGTCCCTGACCCCCGTGCCTCCAGACTGGGAGAGACCTCCCAACAGGGGTTGACAGACACCTCATACAGGAGCGCTCCGGCTGGTATCAGGCCGGTGCCCCTCTGGGATGAAGCTTCCAGAGGAAGGAACAGGCAGCAATCTTTGCTGTTCTGCAGCCTCCACTGGTGATACCCGGGTGAACAGGGTCTGGAGTGGACATCCAGCAAACTGCAGCAGACCTGCAGAAGAGGGATCTAACTGTTAGAAGAAAAACTAACAAAGAGAAAGCGGCAACAACAACAACATCAACAAAAACAACCCCCCAACAAAACCCCATCCAAAGGTCATCAGCCTCAAAGATCATAAATCCACAAAGATGAGGAAAAACCAATGCAAAAACGCTGAAAATTCCAAAAACCAGAATGCCTCTTCTCCTCCAAATGATCGCAACACCGCTCCAGCAAGGGCACAAAACTGGATGGAGAATGAGATTGACAAATTGACAGAAGTAGGCTTCAGAAGGTGGGTAATAACAAACTCCTCTGAGCTAAAAGAGCATGTTCTAACCCAATGCAAGGAAGCTAAGAACCTTGATAAACGGTTACAGGAACTGCCAACTAGAATAGCCAGTTTAGAAAGGAACATAAAACATAGCACGAGAACTTCGTGAAGCATACACAAGTATCAATAGCCAAAGTGATCAAGTGGAAGAAAGGATATCAGAGATTGAAGACCATCTTGCTGAAATAAGGCATGCAGAAAAGATTAGAGAAAAAAAGAGTGAAAAGGAATGAACAAAACTTCCAAGAAGTATGGGACTATGTGAAAAGACCAAATGTACAATTGATTGGTGTACCTGAAAGTGACAAGGAGAATGCAACCAAGTTGGAAAACACACTTCAGGATATTATCCAGGAGAACTTCCCCAACCTAGAAAGACAGGCCAACGTTCAAATTCAGGAAATACAGAGAACACTACAAAGATACTCCCTGAGAAGAGCAACCCCAAGACACATAATCGTCAGATTCTCCAACGTTGAAATGAAGGAAAAATGTTAAGGGCAGCCAGAGAGAAAGGTCAGGTCACCTACAAAGGGAAGTCCATCACACTGACAGCAGATCTCTCAGCAGAAACTCTACAAGCCAGAAGAGAGTGGGGGCCAATATTCAACATTCTTAAAGAGGCCAGGTATGGTGGCTCACACCTGTAATCCCAGCACTTTGGGGTCACCTGAGGTCAGGAGTTCAAGACCAGCCTGGTCAACATGGTGAAACCCCGTCTCTACTAAAAATACAAAAACTAGCCAGGCATGGTGACTTGTGCCTGTAGTCCCAGCTACTTGGAGGCTGAAACATGAGAATTGCTTGAACCCAGGAGACAGACGTTGCAGTGAGCCAACATGGCGCCACTGCACTCCAGCCTGGGTGACAGAGTGAGACTCCACCTCAAAAAAAAAAAAAAAAAGAAAGAAATTCTTAAAGAAAAGAATTTTCCACCCAGATTTTCATATCCATCCCAACTAAGCTTCAGAAGCAGAGGAGAAATAAAATCCTTTCCAGACAAGCAAATGCTAAGGGATTTCATCACCACCAGGCCTGCCTTGCAGGAGCTCCTGAATGAAGCACCAAATACGGAAAGGAAAAACCAGTACCAGCCACTGCAAAAATACACCAAAATATAAAGACTAGTGACACTATGAAGAAACTGCATCAACTAGTGTGTAAAATAATCAGCTAGCATTGTGATGACAGGATCAAATTCACACAACGTTCAGCCAAGAGCACAGATGGTTTTTTAAATGAAATCAGTAAAAGAATGCTTTGTCTAAATATCACAATTTTTTTTTTTTTTGAGATGGAGTCTTGCTCTGTCACCCAGGCTGGAGTGCAGTGGCATGATCTCGGCTCACTGCAAACTCCGCCTCCCGGGTTCACGCCATTCTCCTGGCTCAGCCTCCCTAGTAGCTGGGACTACAGGTGCCCGCCACTACGCCCGGCTAATTTTTTTTTTTTTTTTTTGTATTTCTAGTAGAGACGATGGGGTTTCACCATGTTAGCCAGGATGGTCTTGATCTCCTGACCTCGTGATCCGCCCGTCTCTGCCTCCCAAGTGCTGGGATTACAGGCATGAGCCACCGTGCCTGGCCTAAATATCACAATTTTTATCTTTAAAATGATATCTTCTTACTTTAGGATTTTACAGCTGATTTGCTCAGCTGTGCTTAGCCTCAACGTGTGGAATCAACTGAAGTGAAACATGATGAAAGTTTACATTGATTTAGAGGTTCACTGTTTGCTTATTAGCAAAGGAGATTTGTACCCAGGTAGACATACGCCGTGGCATTCACTGTTCATTGAAAGGACAGATCAATTGCTGACAAGTTTTCTCTTTAGGTTCCTTACGTTGTGTTTAAGATAGTTAAAATGAAATAGGTAAAATAATCACCAATCTATCTAAAGAAGAGAGTGGAGATTTTTAAAATGCAACCTCTGATTTCCAGTTTCCACATTGTGCTCAGACTTCATTGCTTCACTCACAAGCAATTCCTATCTTCATCTTTATATATGTAGTAACGTTTCCTGTGGTGTTTTTTTTTCTCTTTAATGAGAAGGATTTCAGGTGTTTAGGCATGATGTGGCTTATTCAAGAATAAAAGGAAAAAGAGAAAGAGGAAAGAGGAATCCATGGATTAAAAGATTTAAAAGACATCGACTAATCATAATGTGTGCATCTTATTTCAATCCTGATTTAATCAACTTTAGAAAAGGCTTTTTGACATAAAACAGTTGAAAATTTGAACACTGACTGAATATATAATGATATTAAAGAACAATTGTTTTAAGAAAGATAGAGATAATGTGTGACCAGCGCTTGATAAAGAAGAACCCAACCCAAAATCTATTATTAGAGAAGGCTGCGGAGTATGAGAGAAACAGACTGTGCTGGGAATCCTAACCCTGGCGTGGCCATCAGTGCGCTGTGGCCTTGGCTGAATCCCTTTCCCTGCCCAGACCTTGGTTTTCCCATCTATGAAGTGAAGGAGGGGACCCAAGGGGCCTGTTTAACTCTGGCTTTCTTTTGCTTTGTCCTCCTGTCATGGGCGGCCATGGAGCCTTTAACTCAGGGCCTGTATCAACACCACCATGCATCCACGAGAGAGTAAAATGGGCAGAAGAGTGCTTGATGGGCACAAGCCCAGAGCTGTTGGCTTCTGCAGAACCCAGAACAGGAAGGGTCACCTCCCTGAGGCACCTGGCCTGGAGAATCAACTGCCTGATCCCAGGTATGCCAGGTCAAAGCCAAGGGGAAGGAGAGAAACTGCTGGAGGACTTTCTCTCACAAACCGTGGGCATGTGTTATCTGCCTACCAGGATGCTTTCACCGTGTTCTGATGCTTGAGAACTTCTGGTGAGTTCCCTGGGCCTCCATCCTGGTCTGGTTACCTTCTCAGGACTCCAGGTGAGTTGGGCTGCATGTGACAGACCCATGTGTGTGCAAATGAACAATGTCACTGGATTGCTACATCACTGACCCTTCAATTCCTTGTTGCTGGCCTCTGCCCACCTGCCTTTCAGATACCGTCATTATGAAAGTATCATCCTTAACACAGAACCTCACACACTATAAGTGCTCCATGTAAAGCAGTGAAGGGGTGGAGAGGGGAACCTCCCTCTAGGACCATCATAGATGCTTAACATTCTCTTGAAGCCTGACAAGCTTTCTCCAGAAGGCTGAACTATAATACTCACCATCTGCTACCAACACCAACCAGTTTAACACATGAACTAAATAACCAAGAAAGAAAAACACTTCCCTTTAAGTGGGTACTGCAGAGCAGTAGCTAGATCCATACGTTAGTGTCAAATCTGGATTCAAATCCTGCACTGCCTCCTATCAGCTCTGTGACTTTGGGCGTTTCTTAACTTCTCTGCAGCTTATTCAGTAAGAATGCTGTGAAGATGAGATTATTTCCTTCATACAGTGTTTGGCATTGTGCCTCACCCACTGGGAGGGCTCAATGTGTGTCCACAACTGCTTTTCTTTTTCTTTTCTTTTTTTTTTTTTTTTGAGACTGTGTTACTCTCACACCCAGGCTGTAGTGCAATCATAGCTCACTGCAGCCTCAAACTCCCAGGCTCAAGGGATCCTCTTCCCTCAACCTCAGGAGTAGCTGCGACTACAGGCCACCACACCTGGCTAATTTTTGTAATTTTTTGTAGAGATGGGGCCTCGCCATGTTGCGCAGGCTGGTCTTGAATTCCTGGGCTCAAGTGATCCACCCACCTTGGCCTCCCAAAGTGTTGGGATTACAGATGTGAGCTGCGCCTGGACCTTTAGGCATTTTTTAACCTCTCTGTGGTTTATTTTGTTTTGTTTTGTTTTTGAGACGAGTCTCGCTCTGTCTCCCAGGCTGGAGTGCAGTGGCGTGATCTTGGCTCACTGCAAGCTCCGTCTCCTGGGTTCACGCCATTCTCCTGCCTCAGCCTCAGGAGTAGCTGGGACTACAGGCGCCCGCTACCACGCCCGGCTAATTTTTTGTATTTTTAGTAGAGACGGGGTTTCACCGTGTTAGCCAGGATGGTCTCGATCTCCTGACCTCATGATCCACTCGCCTCGGCCTCCCAAAGTGCTGGGACTACAGGCGTGAGCCACTGCACCCCGCCACCTCTCTGCAGTTTATTTAGTAAGAGTGCTGTGAAGATGAGATGACTGCCTGCATAGAGTGTTCCGCATCATGCCTCACACACTGGGATGGCTCAATGTATGCTCACAATTTGCTTTTTTTTCTTTTTCTTTCTTTCTTTTTTTTTTTTTCTTTGAGATGGAGTTTCTATCTGTCACCCAGGCTGGAGTGCAGTGACATGATCTGGGCCCACTGCAACCTCTGCCTCCCAGGTTTAAGTGATTCTCCTGCCTCAGCCTCCCGAGTAGCTGGGATTACAGGCACACACCACCACACCCAGCTAATTTTTGTATTTTCAGTAGGGACGGGGTTTTGCCATGTTGGTCAGGCTGGTCTCGAACTCCTGAGCTCAAGTGATCCACCCGCCTCAGCCTCCCAAAGTGCTGGATTACAGGACTGAGCCACAGCGCCCAGACCACTATTGCTTTTTGGGGGGAAGCTTCTATTGCAGCACCGTAAGGGGGCTCCACCATCATATTTTCCTACCCCTCAATTGAACCTTCTCTCTTTTCCCTATTTCTTATAAAAATTACCTTTCAGTGTGTCGTTTTCTCAGGGACATGCTAACCTGTGATGTTGCAGCGTCTGATGATGCAACTTTGACGGGCTTTATAATCGTGGATTTCAGGCAAGCTGGGAGGCCTTCCAAAGGCCCTTGAGAACCACAACTTTTTTTTTTTTTTTTTTTGAAACCAAGTCTCACTCTTGTTGCCCAGGCTGGAGTGCAGCGGTGCAATCTCAGCTCACTGCAACCTTCACCTCCTGGGCTCAAGCAAATCTCCTGCCTCAGCCTCCTGAGTAGCTGGGACTACAGGCGTGTGCCACCAGGCCCAGCTAATTTTTTGTATTCTTAGGAGAGATGGGTTTTGCCATGTTGGCCAGGCTGATCTCGAACTCCTGACCTCATGTGATCCACCGGCCTGGGTCTCCCCAAGTGTTGGGATTACAGGCGTGAGCCACTGTGCCCAGCCTGAGAACCACAACTCTTTGGTGACATCTGCAATCCTCCATATCAGCCCTGCAGATAACAGACAGGGAACTATGGCTGCTGTCTCACTGGAGTCAGGATATCCTTTTAAAAAGAAATGGGAGTGCCAGGCGCCATGGCTCACGCCTGTAATCCCAGCACTTCGGGAGGCCGAGGTGGGTGGATCACCTGAGGTCGGGAGTTCGAGACCAGCCTGACCTACATGGAGAAACCCCGTCTCTACTAAAAACACAAAATTAACCAGGCGTGGTGGTGCATGCCTGTAATCCCAGCTACTCAGGAGGCTGAGGCAGGAGAATCGCTTGAACCCGGGGGCGAAAGTTGCGGTGAGCCGAGATCGCGCCAATGCACTCCAGCCTAGGGAACAAGAGCGAAACTCCATCTCAAAAAAAAAAAAAAAAAAAAATCTGGGAGCACAGAGAGCTCTCCTGGTGTTGGGGGACCAACAAGGTGGAATCAAGAGCCACAGACCAGGGCCCAAGTCCCAGCGGTAACTGAGTATTATGGGGGTATTAACGCCCACCGCCCACCGCCCAGGATAGGGAGCACAGAGCAGAGAATTCTAAGCATTCAAGCCCTGAAACGCCCACTTCCTCTACCTGAGTCGCTGCTGTCCTCTAGTGTCCACTGGATAAATTGCACAGCACGCTGGCCTGAAGAAGGGGAAGTGGGAGATGCTTTTCCCCCACTTCTGAATCTATCTGATGCTGTGGTTCTCAACCATGCCCACCCATAACTTCCTTTTCATAAAATATATTTTGTATAATTACAGTAATTTTTAAACATTTTAGGCAGATGTATTGAGGTATTGACATATAATAAACTGTGCATATATAGAGATTACAATTTGGTAACATCTGACCCTTGGTATACACCTGAAATCATTATCACAATCAAGATAGTGAAGATATCCGTTCCCACAAAAAGTTTCCTTGTTGCCCTTGGTGATCCTGCTTCCTGCTCTTTCTACCTCCCCACCCCCAAGCAACTACTGATCTGCTCTCTTTTTTTCTTTTCTTTCGTTTTTATTTTATTTATTTATTTTTTTAAGATGGAGTCTTGCTCTGTCTCCCAGGCTGGAGTGCAGTGGCATGATCTTGGCTCACTGCAACCTCCACCTCCTGGGTTCGAGTGATTTTTGTGCCTCAGCCTCCCGAGTAGCTGGGATTACAGGTGCGTGCCAACAGGCCTGGCTAATTTTTATATTTTTAGTAGAGACAGGGTTTCACTTTGTTGACCAGGCTGGTCTCGAACTCCTCACCTCAAGTGATTCGCCCACCTCAGCCTCCTAAAGTGCTGGGATTACAGGTGTGAGCCACTGTACCCTGCCCTGATCTGCTTTCTATCATCATAGGTTAGTTTATATTTTCTAGTGCTTTCTAGAAATGGAATCATACAGTGTGTACTCTTTTTTGTCAAGCTTCTTTCACTCAGTATAATTATTTTGAGTTTTATCCATGTTGTTTTGTGTGGCAATAGTTCATTACTTTTTAAAATTTTAGTTGTAGTTTTTGTGGGTACATAGTAAGTGTATATATTTATGGGGCACCTGAGATGTTTTGATACAGGCATACAATACATAATAAAGACATCATGGAGAATGGGGTATCCATCCCCTCAAGCATTTACCCTTTGTGTTAAATATTTCATGGCAAAGTTATCTTGGGGTAAACACTGCAGCTGCAGGTGCCACCAGTGAGTATTCTCTGGGCAAACAGAAAAAGGGTTAAACAAATCACATTACACATTACTCTAAAATTTGTATCTATGTCTAGCCCTCAGACAAACCATGATGCCTGTTCTTTACATTGGTGGTCACTGAATGCTAGAATTATGAATTTAAAATTAATAAAAATTAATCAAGTTTTCAAAAATCAAAATAAAATGGATTTATTTCAATCATTTTGACGTAAAAATTTGACTAATTCTAATTTGTATGTTGCCTTTTGGTTTAATGGATACTTTTCAATAGTTGAAAAGAAAACTAACTTTTGGGAAAATATTCCTGATAAAATTAAATTTTTTACATAAACATAATTTTGATGAAAATATTAAGATATTTGTACTTTGAATATGATTGTTTTAATCCTTACATGTATTTTCAAATCTTGATAATAATAACATAATTACCGATTTTGCTGAAAGATAAGAAAAATACATTTCATGGAATAGTTTCAGTAATTTATAAATTCCACATCTTTATTACTCATCCCAATATTGTCAGCCCATCAACAGAGCACCCAGACATGCGCAATAAACATGAAATTTCATGATCTTTGACATTTTGCTAACTTTCTGTCATATACAAATCATAGCTTCATATATATTTTAAAATTTTATCCTTTTAAAGGCATATTTGTCAGAGGATGAGGATAGGACATACTTTAACATACATAACATAACATAATCGGCCGGGCGTGGTGGCTCACGCCTGTAATCCTAGCACTTTGGGAGGCCGAGGCAGGCAGATTGCCTGAGCTCAGGAGCTCAAGACCAGCCTGGGCAACAAGGTGAAACCCTGTCGCTACTAAAATACAAAAAAAAATTAGCCAGGCATGGTGGCATGCACCTGTAGTCCCAGCTACTCGGGAGGCTGAGGCAGAATTGCTTGAACCCAGGAGGCAGAGGTTGCAGTGAGCCGAGATCACTCCAGAGTGAGACTCCATCTCTAAAAAAAAAAAAATACAAATCATAGCTTCATACACATTTTAAAATTTTATCCTTTTAAAGGAATATTTGTCAGAGTATGAGGGTAGGACATACTTTAACAGTCTGTTAGTTTAATTTATAACTTGCAAATATTGAGACAGATGGCCTATGGTATCCATCTGTCCTCTTGCCCTGAGCTGACTTGACTCATGGGTCCCAGCTTGGGTTTTCCAGTTGTTTGAATGGGTAGGAATCTACCCATGTTTGCCACAGCTAGGGGGCTGGAGGTGGAGGGTCCCTCTGGACCCCCTTTGAATGACCATAACTTCAGAGCCTATCAAAGAGACTAAATATTCTGCAGCCCAGCAGGAGGTCCCAACCCAGCCTCCAGAGGGAGTGGAAACTTCTGCAAACCAACAGGATTAAACTGAGGCTCATGTGACTTCCTTGGGAGACCATCCTCTCTCAGATCTTAAGTTTCAGAGATCAAATTTCCAAGCATGTGGTCCTTGGCTATGGAAACCTTTCCTCCTGCCCAGGACTCTCACTCTACAGAGACGAGTTCATTCAGGTCATCTGAAGCCCATGTAGATTTTTGGCCACAAATGGTTTCTCATAAAGTGGTGCCCCCAGCATGTTCAGCCTCCCCTCTGCCCCTGCAGGCCTTCTATCCCAGGGTGCCATGCACTGCTGCCCTGCTGGGAAGAGAAGTCTGGAGGGGCACGGGGCAGCACTGCCCACTTAGAAGCCCCTTGTCCTATTTTTCTGTCAGATCCTGCCTCCCTGTTTCAGAGGGAAGAGTGGGCCGTCAGTAACAAGATGTTTTCTCCCTTGCCTCTTTTTTGCTACAGTTGGTAGAAATTTCTCCCAGACTTCCTCGGTGACTAATGATGTTGGGATGTTGTGGCCTTCACAGGGAGGGGACAGGGTGTCAGGTCACCATATCACAGATGGTTGACCCCATGCCGACTACAACTGGCTCTTTTGGCTGTAAGTGACAGAAACCCAACTCAAACTTGTTCTGTGAGTGGGGACATTTATTGAATCTCAGAATTGAAGGGAGGGGAAGGGTGTGTTTGGGTCCCAGAAAGGGTGGACCCTGGGGCTGGAATCCCGTCCAGACTCCGCTCCCTCTTCACGGAGGCTTAGCACCTTAGATGGGCTATGTCCTCTGGCCCTGCACACATGGGCTTCCTGTTGGAAGCTGAGCAGCTCCACCAGCTTCCGTTTACAAATATAGTGACTGGCACACAAGCATTCCTATGCTTATGGGGGGTGGTGGGGGGCAGGACCCCAGGACTGGCAGCCCCCACTAAAACCCCATGAGGGAAGGAGTCACCCCAAAGGTGGTGCTGTTCCCAAAAATGAAGGAAACAGCCAGTGCTCTCCACCCTATCCCACCCGGCCATTTTCCTCACAGATGTCACCTGTCCTCCCAGGCCCAGCTGCTACTTCTGCCTGATGCTTGGCCAATTTGCCTGGTTAAAACCAGTGTATTTCCAGGAGATGGATGACGTCACAGAACTGGGGTTCCAGAAGCCTTCTTTAGAACATGGAGAGCTGTTAGTTGGGCAGGGCTGAAGTGTATGTGGTGAGGAAGAAGAGGCTCCTACTGTAGACAGCCTTGTTCTACAGATCCTCCCAGAAATCTCTGGGCCAGGTGGAACCCAGGGTCAGAGAGGGATGGGAGAGAGGTAAGCTGTGGAAGGGGTGGGAACATACCTTCTGGAGCCACTGTCTTCCTTGAGGGGACCCTGAGAGGGGGCTTAATGGGCAGGGATGGAGCTTCCTGCTTCCCGAGGCTCAGTGACATCTATCTCTGAGGGACCCTCCTGAGTCAGTGTGGAGTAGGTTGTTTGGCTGAAATTCTAATTTAACAGGGCATCTTGTAAATTTTATTTGCCAAATCTGTCAGCTCTGGGGGTAGAATGATGGGAGAAGCAAAAGAATGGCCCGAAGCTCAGGCTGGTGTGGAACGAGTCTCAGATAGAACAAGAGACAGAAGCAGCCTCATTGTCTGAAGTAAATACCAAGGTTCGTGGTCTCACGTTTAAGGAGATCGAGGTCGCAGACACACACGCACACAGAGTGAGTTTGGAGCAGGAGTTTAATAGGCAAAAGGAAAGAACAGCTCTCTGTCACAGACAGAGGTCCCAGGCAGGTTGCCAGGTGGTAGTAAAAACGTCAGGGTTTTATAAATGGGCTAGAGAGGGGCATTCATGAGGAGGGGATGTCTTATCCTCCTAGAGCCCGATGGTTCAGTTGGGACCAGGTGTGCTATCTGTATAGAGCAGAGTTTTTAATAGGCTCTCACCCCATTCCCGACCACATCAACTTTTAGTCTGTGTCTCTTTGTCTTGCTTATCTGGGAGCGAGAGTTTCTGTGTCTATTCCCACACATCTTGCAGCTGTAGGCATACCCATCGATTCTGCTTTTAGCTTCCCTATCTTAGCGCGCCTAAAGAGAAAGGAATGTAGTTATTAAGGCCCACTGTTTTACTGGGGCCCATTGTATAAGTGTGAAGTTTGGTGATTACCCAGGAGACTTCCCCCACCCTTCTGTGCCTGAGCTCTTATCTGTTTTTACCCTTTGCTCTTTCAGGCTGGTTGTTGTTAGAAGAAAAGTGATTTCCTTGAACTGCGTGAGGTTAGAAAGGGAGCTATCTTTGAGCTGCTTTGCGTTAAAAGGAAAGTTTTCTGCTGGGGATTCACTTTACCCTAACTGTCTACCTAAGTAGTTTCTTTCTGCCTCCTATAACAAGACCAGAGAAGAAACAAGCCCACCAGGGTAGCCATCTTGTCCAAGCAGAAGCCGCCTGACACTTGAAGGCGGCGGGTGGAAGAACTCAGGCTTCTGCCCCCTCAGCAGCATATACCTAAGTTAAGGGGAAAAACACACCTTCCCTCAGTGACAGAAATAGTCCCAGGTTTTCAGATTTATTGGAAGTATTATTTCTTTTTAGTGTAGAGATGAGGTCTTGCTGTTTCCCAGGTTGGTCTCAAACTCCTGGCCTAAGCAATTCTCTCACCTCAGCCTCCCAAAGTGCTCGGATTACAGGCATGAGCCACCATGCCTGGCCAGTCTTTCAGTTTTCATGGCATTGGCCATTTTGAAGAATACAGGCCAGTTATCTTACAGATTTTCAGTGAGTTTGGCTTTGATGTTTCCTCAGGATTAGACATAGCCTATGCATCCCTGGACGGAATATTGCATAAGCGATGTGTCCTCCTTGGGAATCACATCTGGAGGCACACAATGTCCCTCTGTCCGTCTTTGGAGATGTTAATTTTGATTGCAAGGTCAAAATACTGTCTGGTTATCCACTGTATACTGTTTTGTTTTTTCTTTCTGTGCAACTAATAAGCAATCTGTGGGGAGACCCTATAAGATCATGATATATCCAGTTCTTCAGCATTCTTCCCACCACCTCAGATTTAGCATGCAATGATGATTTGTTCTCAAACCAATCTATGATAGTTGCAAAATGGTGATTATTTTTCAACTCCATGACTTCCTCCACACTTATCGGTTGGCCTTTTATTGTCAGGAAGAGGTCTCTGCTTCAGCTCCACACAATGTATCTTTTTGTCAATTTATTATTATTATGGGCTCATGGATTCCTATTGCATTTAATGTATAATCTGTTACTGTCATTTATTCTGATGGTCTAATTGTCCCAGATTGGGTTGGAAACCATTATGCAATGGTTCCTTAGATATGACACCAAAAGCACACCCAACAAAAGGACAAATAGATAACTTGCACATCATCAAAATTAAAAACTTTGGGGCTTCAAAGAACACCACCAAGAAAGTGAAAGGCAACCCACAGAATGGGAAAAAAATATCTGCCATATATCTGATGCTGGTCTAGTATACAGAATATATAAAGAACTCTTCCCACTCAGTAATAAAAAGACAACTCAATTTGAAACTGGCCAAAGGTTCTGAATAGACATTTTCCCAAAGATATACAGTGGCCAATAAGCACATAAAAAGATGATCAACATCCGTAGCCATCTGGGAAACGCAAATTAAAACAACAGGGTGATACCAGTTCATACCCACTAGGATACCTTTTGTCAAGAAGACAGATAATAACAAGTGTTGGTGAGGATGTAGAGAAATTGGAACCTTCATACACTGCTGATGGGAATGCAAAATGGTGCAGCCACTTTGGAAATCTGGTAGGCCTCATAAGCTTAAGCCTAGGGTTACCCCATGACCCAGCAACTCTACTCCAAAGAAATAAAAACATATATCCACACAAAAACTAGTATGTTAATGTTCATAGTAGGATTATTCATGATAGCCAAAAATAGAAACAACCCAAATGTCCATCAACTAATGAATGGATAGACGAAGTATGGTCTATTCATACAATGAAATATTATTCAATCATAGAAAGGAATGAAGTATCATTACATGCTCCAACCTGAATGAAACTTGAAAACATTATGCTAAGTGAAAGAAGCCAGATACAAAATGCCATATTTTCTGTAACTCCGTGTGTATGAAATGTCCAGAAGAGGCAAATCCATAGAGACAGAAAGTAGATTAGTGGTTGCCAGGGGTTGGGAGGTGGGGGATGGGCAGTGACTGCTAAATGGGTGCAGGGTTTTGTTTTGGATTGATGAAAATATTCTAAAATCAAGTGAGGTAGTAGTCGTACAACTCTGCAAACATACTGAAAACCACTGAATTGTACACTTTAACTGAATTAATTGTATGATACATGAATTATATCTCAATAATGCTGTTACCAAAAAACATCGTTTCAGATCTGGCCAGTCGGTGCCCCTTTGAGCTAGCTCTTGTGTCCATTTGACATGCCCCAATACATATTTCGAGCACTTTTTAAATTTCTTGTACAGCAAGATAATCCAGACATCTCATAACCCTTTCCTGCTCCAGCCTGGGAATCAGCCATATTTCCTAGAGTCCTGGTTCCCTTTTGTGTGGAATGTGAACCAAGATCTGGGCATTATTTCATTTAATCATCAAAACAACCCTTTTAGGTAGGTATTAGCATATCTTCATTTTACAAATGAGGCCCAGAAAGGTTGAGTATGTTGCCCAAAGTCACATAGCACCCCAGGATTTGAAAGCAGGCAGTGTGAATCTAGGGCCCTTGCTATTCAACACACACACACGCGCACACACACATACACAATGTGAAAGTGAAGGTTACGTCTACAGCCAGCCCACCAAGAATTGTACCAGGCAGGGTATGCCCTTGGGAAAAATCATGTGTCATGTGTCTGGGGGAGTGGGGTTGTGGGGAGATTAGCACCCAGTGTCCTGGCCCTCTTTCTAAAAGCACATGCTCAGATACACACACACATATGCTGGTGAAGATAGTCTTCAGTAATCTCCTTTGCCAACCTCACTCCCCATCCCAATACCCAAATACTACCCATAGCTGGGTGCCCATATAAGAGGACCTATGGATGAAATGAGATTGGCCAGGTGTGGTGGCTCACACCTGTAATCCCAGCACTTTGGGAGGCTGAGATGGGAGGATCACTTGAGGCCAGGAGTTCAAGACCAGCCTGGTCAACAGAGTGAGACCCCCATCTCTAAAAAATAAAAAAATAAAAAACAAACAACAACAAAGAAAGATTGGCCTTGGTTTTTAAATGTTGAAGCTCAGAAGTGGGTATATGGAGGTTCATGATACTATTCTCTTTCCTTTTTTAAAGGTTTAATTTTCCATGATAAATAAAAATCTATAAAATAATAAACAAGAGAAAAGAGATTGGAAACAGCCAGGTTGGAGCAGTGAGTGAGTAAGGAAACCTGGCTGCCCTCTCCAGATTCCCCAGGCTCTCAGAGAAGATCAGCAGAAAGTCTGCAAGACCCTAAGAACCATCAGCCCTCAGCTGCACCTCCTCCCCTCCAAGGATGACAAAGGCGCTACTCATCTATTTGGTCAGCAGCTTTCTTGCCCTAAATCAGGCCAGCCTCATCAGTCGCTGTGACTTGGCCCAGGTGCTGCAGCTGGAGGACTTGGATGGGTTTGAGGGTTACTCCCTGAGTGACTGTGAGTACCATCCGCCCCTCCCCAGCCATTTCTCCTCTGCTAGTCATGTCCTATATGGCCAGCTTCTTTCTCTCCTGTTCATCTTTCAAAGCCAAGTTCAAAAAGCAGCCCCCTTCAAAAAAGCCTTTCCCAACACGCTGTATTCACTCAAGTTATTGTCTGAGCACTTATTATGTACCAACAACTGTTTTAGACACTGGGGCTGTAGAGATAAACAAATTCCCTTCCCTTATAATGTTCACATCCTAGGGGAAGAGAGCAGCAACAAACACACTCATAACGTACTGCCTGGTGGTGACCAATGCTATGAAGAAGAATAAAGCAGGGGGAGCAATGGTGAATTCTTTAGATGGGGAAGTCAGGGAAGGCCTCTCTGAGGAGATGACATTAAGCAGCACTGAATTAAATGAAGGACCTGGTCACCCAAATGTCTGGGGGAAGAACACTCTAGGCAGAGGGGACAGCTAGTACAAAGGCTTTCTCCTCCTGCATGGAAGGGATATCTCCCTTTTGCCCAGGAGTTGTGTGCACCTGTCTTGCAACACTTTTGTCCTTTAATCTTGCTTTGTGGGTTTTTTAGGTACCTTTTTTTTTTTTTTTTAGACAGAGTCTCGCTCTGTCACCCAGGCTGGAGTGTAGTGGCGCGATCTTGGCTCACTGCAAGCTCTGCCTCCTGGGTTCACACCATTCTCCTGCCTCAGCCTCCCCAGTAGCTGGAACTACAGGCACCCACCACCATGCCCAGCTAATTTTTGTATTTTTAGTAGAGACAGGGTTTCACCGTGTTAGCCAGGATGGTCTCGATCTCCTGACCTCGTGATCCGCCCGCCTCAGCCTCCCAAAGTGCTGGGATTACAGGCATGAGCCACCGCGCCCGGCATACATATTTTTAAGCTTGTACATATTTTTAAGCTTGTACATACAAGCTTATTACAAGGCCTGTATTACAAGCTTAGGTACATATTTTTAAGCTTGTAATACAGGCCCCTTGAAGGCAGCATCTGTGTTTGACCCAACTGAAATGTCCCTCACTAGGCTTTGCACAGTTCCTGGCACACAGTAGGTGCTCAGTAAGTGCAAAACACATGAATAGATGGACAGATGAGTAATTGTACTTATGAGTGGGTGGATGGACCACAGGATAAGAGGGCAAGTCAATGGAGATTTCAAGCCCTCTAGTCCTATCTTGCCTCCCAGGCCTTGTTCCTTTTGTCTGAAACCTTGCCTCCCTTTCTCCTCCATCTCCCTTCTCACTCAGCTTGGTCCCCTCTAAATCCTGACCTTCTTCTCCCTACTCTAAGGGCTGTGCCTGGCTTTTGTGGAAAGCAAGTTCAACATATCAAAGATAAATGAAAATGCAGATGGAAGCTTTGACTATGGCCTCTTCCAGATCAACAGCCACTACTGGTGCAACGATTATAAGAGTTACTCGGAAAACCTTTGCCACGTAGACTGTCAAGGTCTGGCCAGGGCCCCAGGGTGGGAGAGATGAGAGCAGCAACCAGGCTCTGCTCACAGAACTTCTCTTCCCACCCACAGCCTGGGAATGGCCCCAGAAATATGGTTCAAAAAATCAGGGAATCCCTTTACTGAGCAGAGGGCTGGAGTAGTGTCCCTAATGCCCATCCAGTTAGGAGATTCTATAGAGTCCCTGAGTAGGATCCAGGAAGGCTCCATATACAGCTGGTAGTAGTAGAACAGTTGCAGCAGCCAATGTTTATTGAGAGAATATTATACACTAAGTGCTTTACATACTTGGCTTATTTCATCCAACTTTCATGCAGTAGAAACCATTTATGATCCCTACTTTACAAAACAGCAAACTGAGGCTCAAAAAGAGAACCAGCATTGAATGCCAGACTAATGGCCTCACAGGCTCTTAACCATTCCGGAGTACCCTCTTTAGCTAATGATCTGACCAAAGACCAAGTGCAAACTCCCTACCTCAGAGCTGATCCAGGAGGCTCGACAGGGCCCATGACTCTGCCCCTCACCTCTGCCTTCGCACACTGACCGATGTCCCTCGGCTCCTCGCCTGAAGACCCCCGCTCACTAGGCGGGACATACCTCTGTGGTGTTTTGGCATTTCCTCTCCCTGGAAACCTCCCACAAACTTTGAGTGAACCACTATCTACCCTGGTTAGGAAGAATAGTAGTGAACAGGCCCAAATCTCAGGCCTCTTGCCCCTTCTGCCCACACCCCCTTTCACCTCGAACCTCTAGCAGCCATTGTAGGGATGTCTAAATGGGCCCCCTGGGAGACAGCCTTTGCCTCAACTGGAAGCCTCTAGGTGGCATAGGGCTGTCCAGGGAGGGCTGGTGTCTGCCTCCATCTTTGGGGCTGTCTTCTGTGCCCTCACAGGTTTTCTCTTCCTCCCTTTCAGATCTGCTGAATCCCAACCTTCTTGCAGGCATCCACTGCGCAAAAAGGATTGTGTCCGGAGCACGGGGGATGAACAACTGGTGAGGAGGACACGGTGGGACTCAGCGGGCAGAGCCCCACGAAGGAGGACGTGACAGAGAAAAGGGCAGTAGGCAAGGACTCACGGGCACGCCCTTGCAGTGTCTAGAAAGATGTGGGATAGCGGACGGGCTTGGAACTCTGAGATCTGGTTCTTCTATGATATTGTATTAAACAAAACTCTTCTGGTTGCAGTAACAGAAAACAACTTGAGCTAGCTGGGGGAAATTTATTCTGAGAGGCCCAGATGTCTCACTGAGCCCACTCAAGGGCTGCAGCTGGGCCTCAGGAAGAGCATGGAACCAGGGCTGGAAATTGTCAGCACACTGTCCATGGCAGGTTTCAGCTTCTCTTGGTGCATTTGCTTCACTTCTCTCTCCGCAGACTTTCTCTGCTCCACAGTCTAAAGGACAAAGGGTGCTGCAAAGTTAATAAGCTAAAGTCCTAAGCAACCATAGGGACTGGCTAGGCTCAGTCCCAGTCCAAGTTCCTGGGATAGAGAATCTGATTGGTTCCACTTGGACCATGTGTGCCCCCTTGGTCCAATCAACTGTAGGGATGGGAGGAGTTAAGCAATACAATTATGGCTGCCGCTCGGGCCCTGTGGCCATAATTGACAATATTTTTTTATTTAAAAATGTGGACCGGGCATGGTGGCTCACGCCTGTAATCCCAGCACCTTGGGAGGCTGAGGCAGGTGGATCACTTGAGGTCAGGAGTTCGAGACCAGCCTGGTCAACATGGTGAAGCCCCGTCTCTGTTAAAAATACAAAAAATTAGCTGGTCATGGTGGCGCCTGCCTGTAGTCCCAGCTACTCAGGAGGCTGAGGCAGAAGAATCGCTTGAACCTGGGAGGTGGAGGCTGCAGTGAGCCGAGATCGCGCCACTGCACTCCAGCCTGGGCGGCAGAATGAGACTCTGTTTAAAAAAAAAAAAAAATGTGGCGGCTGGGCGCAGTGGCTCACTCCTGTAATCCCAGCCCTTTGGGAGGCTGAGGTGGGTGGGTCACAAAGTCAGGAGTTCGAGACCAGCCTGGCCAATATGGTGAAACTTTGTCTCTACTAAAAAATACAAAAATTAGCCAGGCGTTGTGGTGGGTGCCTGTCCCAGGCTGCTTTTTGTGTTATGTGGGGATGAGGCACTGACCCTGTGGGCCGGGATCTCTCTGGGGACCTTTCCCTTGCTTTCTGTCCATGCTCCTTAAGGCAAGCTGCATGGGAGGCTGAGGCAGGAGAATCGCTTGAACCCGGGAGCCAGAGGTTGCAGTGAGCTGAGATCGCGCCACTGCACTCCAGCCTGGGTGACAGAGAAAGAATCCGTCTCAAAAAAAGAAACAAAAAACGACAACAAAAAAATGTGGCATTCATCAGCTGGGCAGACACCCACATAGCTGTGAGCTCACCAACGGTGGACATTCAGATAGTCACCTTTTCTGAGCTTCAAACTAGATATATAAGTAACACAAATGGCTGCCTCTACAGGCAACTGTGGAAGGAGTCAAATCCCTTGCATACTCAAAACACCACAGAAAAGAATTGACAGCGATGATTATGCTGATCCTTTCTGGAGGGAGAATCAATGGTTGTACCTGGGACTTTTTTTTTTTTTTTAATAAGTAACTCTCAGCCCTGTAAAACAGTGCTCACCCCTTCAGGGAGATATGAGGATTTTAAAATGTGGAAACGTTGATCCAGGGAAGCAGGCAAACACCAGAGATGAGAGAGTTTTACAGGATTCGTCAGAGGGGACAGTGGAGGACAGACCAGAGGGCTAGCTAGCAATGACGGGGATTCTGGGCGTTGCTCCATATGCGAGACTCACCAAGAACTGGGTCATGTGTGTGGAAGAGTTACTGAGTGTGAGGCAAGAACCATGTCTTTTTTCTCCGCAGGGTAGAATGGAGGTTGCACTGTTCAGGCCGGCCACTCTTCTACTGGCTGACAGGATGCCGCCTGAGATGAAACAGGGTGCGGGTGCACCGTGGAGTCATTCCAAGACTCCTGTCCTCACTCAGGGATTCTTCATTTCTTCTTCCTACTGCCTCCACTTCATGTTATTTTCTTCCCTTCCCATTTACAACTAAAACTGACCAGAGCCCCAGGAATAAATGGTTTTCTTGGCTTCCTCCTTACTCCCATCTGGACCCAGTCCCCTGGTTCCTGTCTGTTATTTGTAAACTGAGGACCACAATAAAGAAATCTTTATATTTATCGAAATATTAAAGCACTCGCTCTGCAAAGACTGTGTCCATTTATTCATTAGTCTACATATATTTGAGTACCTAAGACAGTGGGAGTGTACTAGGTAGTAGAAGGAAGACAAAACACAGCTATTGTTGTTTAGGTGTTCATAATCTAGGTGGAGAAGCAGAGACATCCACAAACATTACAATAGGTAATTAAATGTATAGTAAAATCCATAATTATTGCTTTGAAACAGTATCAGCATCCAAGTAATTCCTCCAAAGAACAATTTTTGAAGTAAAAGAGAAAACTCAGAAGTAGGCAATGGGTGGGGTCTGGTATTGATGTGGAGAAAGTAGTGATGGGATGGAGAAATAGTGGCAGATACCAATAATTTGGGGGTGCTTTGGGAGAATAAGCTAGGATCTAGATGATTAAAAAAAGGTGCTCTGGACAGGATCTGGTTTGCCTGGAGGGTGCTGAGGTGGAGTAGAACATGCTTAAAGAAAAGGCAAAATCAGAAAAGTGACAGTTGAAGGAATGTCCTACACATAGCCACCGTCAGTAGTGTCTGACCAATCTGGGGTTTTATCTTGGACCACTTATTTCTCTACCACTGAGCCTTAGCTGTTTCTACTATAGAAGGAGGGATTTGACTATTCAGTAGTTGCCAGACTTTTGTATTTCACAGGTGATAAAATGTAAAAAATAATTAAACCTGAGATTTCTTTCTTTTTTTTTTTTTTTTGAGACAGAGTCTCACTGCGTAGCCCAGGCTGGAATGCAATGGCAGGATCTTGGCTCACTGCAACCTCCAACTCCCAAGCTCAAGCAATTCTCCTACCTCAGCTTCTCAAGTAGGTGGGACTACAAGTGTGTGCTACTACACCCAGCTAATCTTTTTTTTTTTTTTTTTTGAAATGGAGTCTCACTCTGTCACCCAGGCTGGAGTGCAGTGGCATGATCTCCACTCACTGCAACCTCCGCCTCCTGGGTTCAAGCAATTATCCTGCCTCAGCCTCCCCAGTAGCTGGGATTACAGGCGCCCCCCGACCACACCCGGCTAATTTTTGTATTTTTAGTAGAGACGGGGTTTCACGGTGTTGGCTAGGCTGGTCTCGAACTCTTGACCTCAGGTGATCCACCCACCTCAGCCTCCCAAAGTGCTGGAATTACAGGCATGAGCCACCGTGCCCAGCTATTTTGTATTTTTAGTAGAGACAGGGTTTTACCACGTTGGCCAGCCTGGTCTCAAACTCCTGACCTCAAGTAATCCATCTGCCTCGGCCTCCCAAGTGCTGGGATTATGGATGTCAGGCACCAGGCCCGGCCGAGGTTTCTAATTTTTAATTTTAATGTCCAAGTAAGAGCATTAAAGCAACTATCCTCTATTAGCATCTTTTCATAGAAAAATTTTTAGTATCAACATTATAGGGAGGTCATACTTGTAGAAGAATGGAGTGGAATCTACTTTATTTTATGAAATTATAAAAAACCTGATTATATTTTCCATATGGTCCTCATTTTGTAGAGTAGGGGTGAAAACTTTATCACAGCATGAGTCTGAGGATCATTATTCAGAAATCACAAGAGACTTGTCCTGTAGGGTCTCTTCTGGCTCTGACATTCTAGGATTAAAATAAACAGTAGTAGGACTCACTTTACTTCTTGTGTTACTGAAACTGCCTTTATAAAAATTATGACAAATCTGACCTAACTGATTCCATTTTGCTTCTAACCTCCAAGCTGCCCTTGCTCATTCCTGGGCACAGGCCAAGCTAACTATGAGAGGAATTTTTGCTGCTTAACTTTGAAACAAAGATAATAGTCCCTTCCTGAAACAAACCACCTCCCTGCTTGGGAATCAGATCTCCTCTGTAAAACTAACAAATTAGCCACAAGATTAGAAATTATGGCTCAGAAATTATGTAGACAGAGGCCACAAGATTCCTAACCTCTCCAGTTGCTCCTATACAAAACACTGTTGTAGTCTCAGCAATGCACCAAGATATAACACTCTGTAGTTGTCTGATATAACCCCCGGAGTTCTTTGTCCTACCTCCAAGATGATTAAGGAGCGTGGACACAAAGGTGGGGTTACAGCAAAAGTTTAATAAGCGAAAGAAGAAAGCTCTCTGCCAGCAGAGCGTGGGGGCCAGAACGGGTGTCCCCTGTGAGGCTGGGGTCTTTATGGACTGGGAAGGGGAAGCAATGTGCTTAGTCCGACAGCTGTCTTGGAGAACTCAGCTTGGCAAGGAGCCTTGGCCCAGGACCAATCAGGAGCTGAAATGATTCTTAGATGCTGCTTAGCTTGGCCCAAGACCTATCAGGGGCTGAAGTGATGATTCATAGAGGCTGGACTTACAGGTCCAAAAAGGAAAGTAGAGTGCCCACTGGAACTCACCGGAGCCCACTATGCCCATGCCCACAAAAGTAGAAGCAACTTCATCCTGGGAGCCCACTGACTATACAAAGGACAAAGGCATTTCTATGCCAGGCCTTGTTCTTTTGTCTGAGTGAGCTGAAGTTTTGTGCAAGCTTTTATCCAAATGGGCCAGAGGTTTTTCCATCTGTGCAGCCGTGGGCATGTCTCCAGGCACAACACCCTATGCTAGTTCTCTTATGGGTGCTGGTAGCTTGAATTTTTTCCCAGGCTGCTTTTTATGTTATGTGGGGGTAAGGCACTGACCCTGTGAGCCGGGATCTCTCCGGGGACCCTTCCCTTGCTTTGTGTCCAAGCTAACTAACTGCTTTCAACATTACTATTGTAAAACCTAATATTGGGGTTCTAG
Source organism: Homo sapiens (assembly GCF_000001405.40). Taxonomy (NCBI): domain Eukaryota; kingdom Metazoa; phylum Chordata; class Mammalia; order Primates; family Hominidae; genus Homo; species Homo sapiens. Next base: position 166,313 of record NT_187614.1, on the reverse strand, counting down.
GTATTTTTCAGACCCTTCATTCTGATGGACCAGCTGGCACCACTCACATGGGCAAACTGGCTCATCTGGTCTTGCGGCCCCCAACCAGGAATTCACTCAGCACAAGAACACAAGCTCTGACTCTCTATGATTTCATCCTTGACCCAACCAGTCAGCATTTCCTATTCCCTGGCCCCCTGACTGCCAAATTACCCTTTAAAAAACACCAGCTTCCAAATTTTCAGGGAGGCTAAGTTGAGTAATAGTAAAACTCCAGTCTTCTATTTAGCTGGTTCTGTGCTTATGAAACTCTTTGCCTATTTCAATAACACTGTCTCAGTAAATCAGCTTTTCTGGGCAGTGGGTATGATGAACCCACCAGTTGATTACACTCCTCCACCACGTAGCTGATTATGACACCTACCCTTCTCAGACACCATCAGCTCCAATGTTGGTGCCTTATTTGGACTTATTCTTTGTGGGTTTGTTTGTTTGTTTGTTTGTTTTTCTTTTTTCAAAATTAATCTCTCCTTCTCACTCGTACCTCCAACCTCTCACATCATCTGACCCCCACAAGTACACATACACGATTCACCAGAATGACGTAGGACAATCAGGGAATTCTTTTTAAGGATTTCATGCGAGACTGTTAATGGTTTAGTGAGTTATACTTTTATTTGCAATTTTAAACTCTTAAAAAAACCTCTTAAGTCAAAAGATTGCATCTTTCGTGGTTATTTCCCACAAGTGCTAATACTTAGTACCCTAATCTCCTTCAGGAGTGAAGATGAAGCTGGCTTCTATAAACACGTCCCTACCCTTCCATCCTGTCAGCCTATTTTGGGACTTTACCCTAAACATGCATTGAACGGAAGCTCTAAACTCAGGGATCTTGTGGCTGTGACTGGAGGAGGGGAACAGACTCAGAGGCTGGCCCTAGGTAGGAGGGGCAAGGGAGCGATCCGAGCCCCGTCCCCGCCCCTCGCATGCGCCTCTTTTTAAAAAAGCGCGGGCGTGCCTTGCGCAGGCGCAATGCTGGGGCGAGGGTTAGCCGCGCAGGTGCGGTGAAGGGAGGATGGCGGAGTTGGTACCTTTTGCGGTTCCCATCGAGAGTGACAAAACCTTGCTAGTGTGGGAGCTGAGCTCCGGACCCACGGCCGAGGCTTTGCATGTGAGCCGGGGCCAGGATGGAGGGAGGGATGGAGAAAGCTGCCCACCCGCTGACTGGGAGTTCCGGAGTCCTGCCTCAGACCCTCACCTGCCTGAGCCTCCGCTGAAGGACTCTTAATTATAAAGGGGATCCCAACTGACAACTGACGACCCCCAACAGATTTTTAGAGTCCCGGAGAGGTATCTCTCCACCTTCAGAACGTTTTACCTTCCAGTGCTTCTTAAAGTTTAGGATTTTAAGAGGAAAACCTGTTGATTAAGTGGGAAGTGTTTTGAATCGCATCCTTCGCGAAGAGAGGTTTGGGGAATATGAGGGCATGTGCGGTTTTGTTTTCTGGGCGTGAGATTTCATGCATTTACTTGTCCCACCCCCACAGCATTCTCTGTTCACAGCATTTTCTCAGTTTGGCCTTCTGTATTCAGTCCGGGTCTTCCCAAATGCTGCAGTGGCCCATCCTGGTTTCTATGCCGTCATTAAGTTTTATTCTGCAAGGGCTGCCCACAGAGCCCAAAAGGCATGCGACCGGAAGCAGCTTTTTCAGAAATCTCCAGTCAAGGTGGGTCCAAATATGGAATTCCTAGCTCCGCTGAAATGAAGTGCTGAATTCAATAATAGGTTAGCATTTGTCCAGCACGCTGGTTTACAGAATATTTTCAGATGCATTGCCACACTAATCTTCCAGTTCTCTGGGTTTTTTACATGAAGAAACTCAAACTCAAGGTGGTTGAGCGACTTGTTTAAGGTTCCTGACAAGAATTATGGAAACTCGAGATTGAACTAAAACCTACTGATGCTAAACCTCATGTCATTTTATGCTGTCCCTTTTTAAGAAATCTCAGCTTGGGCAACAAAATGAGACCCCATCTCTATAAAAAAAATTGTAAAGATAAGGCTGGGCACCGTGGCTCATGCCTGTAATCCCAGCACTTTGGGAGATCGAGGCGGGCTGATCACTTGAGGCCAGCAGTTTGAGACCAGCCTGGGCAACATAGCAAAACTCCATCTGTACTATAAATACAAAAACTAGCCGGGCATGGTGGCATGCGCCTGTAGTCCCAGCTACTCGGGAGGCTGAAGCATGGGAATTACTTGAACCCAGGAGGTGGAGGCTGCAGTGACCCGAGATTGTGCCACTGCACTCTAGCCTGGGTGACAGAGTGAGACTCCATCTCAAAAAAAGAAAGAAAGAAAAATAAAAAATTAAATATCAGCCAGATGTGGCATGCACCTGTAGTCCCAGCTACTTGGGAGACTGAGGTGGGAGGATCGCTTGAGCCCAGGAGTTTGAGGATGCAGTGAGCAATAATTGCATCACTGCACTCCTGCCTGGGCCACAGAGTGAAACCCTATCTCTAAAAAATGACTGAATGAATGAAATCTTTGCCAGAAGACTTCTGCTTATATTTACTTTTTAATTTTTTTAGAGACAGAGTATCCCTGTGTTGCCCAGGCTGGTCTCTAAATCCTGGCCTCAAGCAGTCCTCCTGCCTCAGCCTCTTAAGTAGCTAGGTACAGGCCACCATGCCCAGCTATATTTACTTTTTATTTTTATTTTTTGAGATGGAGTCTCATTTTGTCACCCAGGCTGGAGAGCAGTGGCATGATCTTGGCTCACTGCAACCTCTGCCTTCCGGGTTCAAGTGATTCTCCTGCCTCAACCTCCTGAGTAGCTGGGACTACAGGCGCCTGCCACCACACCTGGCTAATTTTTGTATTTTAGTAGAGATGGGGTTTCACCATGTTGGCCAGTCTGGTCTCGAATTCCTGACCTCAAGTGATCCACCCACCTCAGCCTCCCAAAGTGCTGGGACTACAGGTGTGAGCCACTGTGCCCAGCCATATATTATATATTTACTTTTTTTTTTTTTAAAGACAGAGTTTCGCTCTTGTTGCCCAGGCTGGAGTGCAATGGTGTGATCTCAGCTCACCACAACCTCCGCCTCCCGGGTTCAAGCGATTCCCCTGCCTCAGCCTCCCAAGTAGCAGGGATTACAGGCATGCACCACCACGCCTGGCTGATTTTGTATTTTTGGTAGAGATGGTGTTTCTCCATGTTGGTCAGGCTGGTCTCGAACTCCTGAACTCAGGTGATCTACCCGCCTCAGCCTCCCAAAGTGCTGGGATTACAAGCGTGAGCCACCGCGCCCAGCCTATATATTTAGTTTTATGTGAATTTAAAATGTGTGGGTGTGACCAGGTCTTCTGCCAGCTGTTACATAAAGGAGACTGTATCATCATCATCACATCATCATCATCATACTCACCATGGCTCACAAACTGCCTGTTTGAAACTCCCTTCAGTTCTGAGAGGATGGGAACATTCTTTAAGCGGTATTGTAGAAACCCTATTCCATATTAACATGCCAACCAATTTTACTTTCCCAGAGCCACAGAATGATATCTCATTGTATGCCTCAATTCAGTCATCTTTCCCTTTTCAAGGACCATTTCAATTCCTGATTGGCTACTTGATCTGACTGCTTCCTACTAATCTTGCTGCCTATTCTTCTCTATATTCCATTCCTCATTGAATTAACCTTGATCAAATCTGAGAACTCTGCTTAGTAATGACTCCAGGTATACTACTCCCACTTCAGTAGCCTGTTCAATGCCCTCTTAGCCTGTTCAACACCCTCTTCAATCCTGGTTCCACTTTCTGTGACTGAAATGATTACCTGTGAGATATTATTTAACTTTTGAACTATGGTCTGTTTCTAACCTGTGACCATTTCACATAGCCACTCAAATATTATAAAGGTACAACTAAGATTATGAAACATTTACTTGGTATCATTTTGCAAATAATGAGTTTTTAGTGCTCTTTGGACATTGAGACCATTTCATAAGCTTTAGGTTTTGAGAATTTCACAGCATAAAGCCTATCACTGAGACAGTAATGAAGGAAATGTTCTACAACTCAATAGATAGGTGAGATGAGAGGGCATTCATACTAGATTTATTACTAAACTCAAAGCTTTCAGTTACTACTCACCCCCCACTGTAATCTAGTTTAAGTGTTCTTTTCTACTTTAGCACGTACACTTAGTTCCTGTCTTTTTTGCCTTTCTAAATACAGAAAAGAGAATAATGTTTTAAAATAAAATCAAGGAAAGGCCTAAGGCACCTGAGAGGGTTTTGTTTTTGCTTTTTGGGTTTTTGTTTTTTTGTTTGGTTTTTTCGTTTTGTTTTTTTGAGATGGAGTCTTGCTCTGTCACCCAGGCTGGAGTGCAATGGCATGATCTCAGCTCACTGCAGCCTCTGCCTCCCGGGTTTAATTGATTCTCCTGCCTCAGCCTCCAGAGCAGCTGGGATTACAGGCGTGCACCACCACGCCCAGCTAATTTTTGTATTTTTGGTAGAAACAAGATTTCTCCATGTTGGCCAGGCTGGTCTTGAACTCCTGACCTCAAGTGATCTGCCGCCTCGGCCTCCCAAAGTGCCGGGATTACAGGTGTGAGCCACCGTGCCCGGCCAAGAGGGTTTTTTGGTTCTTTTTTTTTTTTTTTTTTTTTTTTTGGTGAAATGAAGGAAAATGGTTGCTGCAAAGTTATCCAAGCTGACAGCTGTCTGTGCCACCCAGAGGCTCAGAGTTTTTCTGAAGCTTCCTGGTTGTCTGGAAAGGCTCCACTGTGACTCACGATACAGGCCGGTCTCGCCAGTGGCACTCAACGTTTAAAAACTGGTCTTTATTTCTTTCCCAACAGGCATTTCTCCTTCTTTTCAGTTGGAGAAAGTAATTTCATTTTTTACTTGCTCATTGTTTTATTCATTCAATCGATAGATCATCTGTGCTCTATTATATGCCAAGAACTATGCTTAGTTCTGGAAATGAAAAAAGAATAAGCTATGGTTTCATCTGGGACTTAAGGAGCTTATAAACCAGTGATAGAGGAAGGTGCATAAACAAATCAATAAAGAATTAACTTTACGGCCAGGCGCAGTGGCTCACACCTGTATCCCAGCACTTTGGGAGGCCGAGGCGGGCAGATCACAAGGTCAGGAGATCGAGACCATCCTGGCTAACACGGTGAAACCCCATCTCTACTAAAAAATACAAAAAATTAGCCGGGCGTGGTGGCAGGTGCCTGTAGTCCCAACTACTCGGGAGGCTGAGGCAGGAGAATGGCGTGAACCTGGCAGGCGGAGCTTGCAGTGAGCCAAGATCGCGCCACTGCACTCCAGCCTGGGTGACAGAGCGAGACTCCGTCTCAGAAAAAAAAAAAGAACTTTACTGTTAATTCTTATTAATTTCTAATACAAATAAATTTGACTTTATTTGTATCATTTGAATTTCATGAATATAATATACTACATTTAAAAAATGAAATATATAGGAAAACTTGTGATGTAAGAAATCCACAAAAATGGATAAAATGTTTTAAGAATTAACACTCAGTAGATATTTGCGTTCTCAAAGAAGCACGTAAATGCAGATATACCTCTCCTTTCAGTTGCATGTAAAATTTATAGAAGTATTTGTATTTCCTTTTTTTTTTTTTTTGAGACAGTCTCACTCTGTCACCTAGGGTGGAGTGCATGGCACCATCTCGGCTCACTGCAACCTCTGCCTCCCAGGTTCAAGCGATTCCCCTGCCTCAGCCTCCCGAGTAGCTGGGACTGCAGGCACGTGCCACCATGCCTGGCTAATTTTTAGTATTTTTCGTAGAGACGGGGTTTCACTATGTTAGCCAGGATGGTCTCGATATCCTGACTTTGTGATCCACCTGCCTCAGCCTCCCAAAGTGCTGGGATTACAAGGGTGAGCCACTGCACCTGGTGTTATTTCATCTTTTAACGGGTTAGTAACTTGGGGAGGGGGATGGGTGGTGGGTTCATCTTATCTATATTCAGGTCATATTCTCAAGCAGGAACTACTGAATGGGAAGACAGTAACAATTTTTCATTGCACACTTGGTATTGACAAATCTCAGATCTATCCAAAATAAAATCTCTAGCGGTTGTGATATTTATGGGTCTATCTCCTATGATTTTAGGTTCGTCTTGGCACCAGACATAAGGCAGTTCAACATCAAGCCCTTGCCCTGAACAGTTCCAAATGCCAAGAACTGGCGAATTACTACTTTGGTTTCAATGGGTGTTCCAAAAGGATCATCAAGGTAAACCTTGTAGATTTTTTTTCACTTACCACACTCTCCTTTCAACATTGAAATCCTAGATTTTAGACAGAAGTATTGAACTGGATTGTAGGGAGGAGATGTGAGAGGCCTCTACCATTGAGGATAAATTGACATGTCTGAATTGGCCTGCTACCTAGAATTAATAATCTCAGTCAATTGGATGGTGGTATCCGTAATTTTCTCCACTGTTTTTGTGGCATATAATAAAAAATGGTTGTCTCTATCTAGCAATTCATTTGCAAATCTAACTTGATTTTGAAGCCATAGGACACCTCAACTGTTAGCTTGAATGACTGGAGTGTAGTTGTTTTTTGGGTTTTCTTTTTTTTATTGGGTTTTTGTTTTGTTTTGTTTTGTTTTTGAGACAGAGGCTCGCTGTGTCATCAGGCTGGAGTGCAGTGGCGCTATCTCAGCTCACTGCAAAATCTGCCTCCTGGGTACAAGCAATTCTCCTGCCTCAGCCTCCCAAGTAGCTGGGACTACAGGCGCCCACCACCACGCCCAGCTAATTTTTGTATTTTTAGTAGAGACGGAGTTTCACCATGTTGGCCAGGATGGTCTCAATCTCTTGACCTCGTGATCCGCCCACCTCGGCCTCCCAAAGTACTGGGATTACAGGCGTGAACCACCACGCCCAGCCAAGTTTTTACTTTTAATAACAAAACATTTTGAAGCCTACATTAAGACCCCAGGAAGGACCTTACATTAAATATCCTTACAGCTTCAGGAGCTTTCTGACCTTGAAGAAAGGGAAAATGAAGATAGCATGGTGCCACTTCCGAAGCAAAGCCTGAAGTTCTTCTGTGCTTTAGAAGTGGTGTTGCCATCCTGTGATTGCAGGAGTCCTGGCATTGGCTTGGTGGAGGAGCCTATGGATAAGGTGGAGGAAGGTCTGTTTTCACTGGGAGTGGAGGAGGGTAGGGATTTGGAGTGGAAAGGATCTTTCTTTTTTTCTTACTTTCCAAAACTCATCTTTTCAGATACATATCAAGCCCCTCCCTCTCTGAGCTACTGAAGTCCTGGGCAGAGTTTTTCTGTCTTACAACATAGGGTTTTACTGTAGGCAATACCTGATTGAACCTTTAAATTTAAAATCGTACAGCTGACTTCCTGCCGAGAAGCTTAGGAGGAAGAAGGAAGTAATGTTTTTACAGTTTTTGGTTAAGAACTTGCTTCGAACTAAAATAGTCCTTCAAATATGTGTCTCTTGTAGCTCTCGGTTATCCCAGCAAAACCATCTAAAGATTTTTTTTTATCTATTTATTATTTTTTAGAGATAGGATCTTGCTCTGTTGCCCAGGCTAGAATGCAGTAGCATGATCATAGCTCACTGTAACCTCCAACTTCTGGGCTCAAGGGATCCTCCTGCCTCAGCCTCTTGAGTAGCGAGGACTACAGGCGTGCACCACCACACCTGCCTAATTATTATTATTATTATTATTTTTAGAGATGGGGTCTTTCTGTGTTGTCCCACCTGGTCTCCAACTCCTGGCCTCAAGTGATCCTCTTGCCTCAGGATCCCAAGTTGCTGGGGTTATAGGCATGAGCCACCATGCCAGGTCATCATCTAAAGATTTACATAAACTTTTGTATAAACATTCAGTTCCTTTTTTTACTCATAAAAGGGTTTCAGCAGAAAAAGTGTCTAATATAGATACCTAGAAAGGGTACTCAGTTGATACTGATGTTGAGTATTTTTTTAGTATTCATGGCCATCATGCTTAGGGTTTGAAGTCAGAGGCAGGGCTGTAGGCTAATGGAGTGGAGTAGGCTCCCGGGGGTGATGCCCAGGGAGGAGCCAGATTATCTGTACCAAAGTTTTTTCTTTTTTGAGATGGAGCCTCACTCAGTCGCCCAGGCTGAAGTGCACTGGCGTGATCTCGGCTCACAGCAACCTCCATCTCCCAGGTTCAAGTGATTCTCCTGCCTCAGCCTCCCAAGTAGCTGGGGTTACAGGTGCCTACCACCACACCTGGCTATTTTCTTGTGGTTGTATTTTTATTAGAGACAGGGTTTCACCATGTTGCCCAGGCTACTCTCAAACTCCTGACCTCAAGTGATCTGCCCACCTTGGCCTCCCAAAGTGCTGGGATTACAGGCATGAGCCACTGTGCCTAGCCTCTTTTTTTTTTTTTTTTTTTTTTGAGACAGAATCTCACTCTGTCGCCCAGGCTGGAGTGCAGTGGCATGATCTCGGCTCACTGCAACCTCCGCCTCCCAGTTCAAGCTATTCTTGTGCCTCAGACTCCCAGGTAGCTGGGATTACACATGTGTGCCACCACACCCGGCTAATTTTTGCACTTTTAGTAGAGACAGGGTTTCACCATGTCCGCCAGGCTGTTTTTGAACTCCTGGCCTCAAGTTTCACCACATTGACCAGGCTGTTCTTGAGCCCCTGGCCTCCACCTGCCTCAGCCTCCCCAGGTGCTGGGATTACAGGCATGGGCCACCAGGTCCAGCCAACCAAACCTTTTTCGATGAGTGATTCCAGCCCTTGATGCATAGGAGGGTAGGGTCTGTAGGAGTGTAGCCTTAACTGATCAATTTGAAATCTCTGGGTGATGTGAGACATGTGCCAGGTTCTTGGCTCTTATCTCCCTTCTAGTACCTCAGGAACTTCCCTACTAGATGGAGGTAGTAAAAATGGGCCCTGCCAGGATGTACCTATAACAGAGCCATTCAACCATACGCTTGTGCCATCTGCCCTTAGTCATGAAGGTTTTGAGCTAAGAATCGTGGATGCTTTTTTATTTTTTAAACATATAGCAATTATCATTCAAATAGGCACCTTAAATCCATTTGTTTTGGTTGGATTTAGGACCATTATCATTCCTTATGAAAAGGAAGACAGCCCAGAAGCTTGCTATTCAGAAGGCTTTGTCAGATGCATTCCAGAAACTGTTGATTGTTGTTCTAGGTAAGACTGTCTTGATCATCCTTGAAGTACTTCAGTTTCAGTAAGCAAATAAACTCATTTTGAAAAGTTAATTGAATAAAAATATTGATATCTAAAGCACTCTATAGTATGCTTTCATTTGCTAAATTATTTCACACCAACAGGCTCAAATTTGTTCTGTGTGACATTTGTGAAAAAAAATGACAGCAAATATTGTCCCCAGTTTACAGATGTGAAAAGACTTGCCTCAGTTCCCACAGAAAATGTTTAAGCCAGGTCTTCTTTAATTGCTTACCTATCATACAGAATAGTGATTATAAGTTTTGGACGCATGGATTTGAGTCCTAACTCTGTCTCTTAGATTTTTAATGCAATTAGGCCGGGCGCGGTGGCTCACGCCTGTAATCCCAGCACTTTGGGAGGCCGAGATGGGCGGATCACGAGGTCAGGAGATGGAGACCATCCTGGCTAACACGATGAAACCCCGTCTCTACTAAAAATACAAAAAAATTAGCTGGGCGTAGTGGCGGGCTCCTGTAGTCCCAGCTACTTGGGAGGCTGAGGCAGGAGAATGGCGTGAACCTGGGAGGTGGAGCTTACAGTGAGCCAAGATCGTGCCACTGCTCTCCAGCCTGGGTGACAGAGTGAGACTCCATCTCAAAAAAAAAAAAAAAAAAAAGATTTTTTAATGCAATTTTAGGTCTTATAGCCAGAGAGATTTGAAAATACTTAATATCTCTAAGCTGCAGTCTCTTCATCTATAAACTGGGGTTAGTAATTCAGTCAGCCTTATGGAGGACATTGTAAGAGTAAATGAGATGACAAATGTAAAAACTCGGAGCTACACTTACAAGATAAGCAGACATATTAACTATTATTGTCATTGTTGATTTATCTCTGAATAAATAAGCTCTCTGCTGAAGAGTTTATTAGATTATGTTTCCTGAATCAAGAATTCAGTTTCAGCTTTCATTTCTGGCACTGACACATTGGGCAAGTATGATTCTTATACAAAAATCAGCTGCTTTGCCGTGAGCCTTGGAATTGGTCATGCTATTGAATATATTCCCTATTGCTTGTATTCCCTATTGAGTTCTACAGTGGCACGAATCTTATAGGCTGTGCCCAAAGGAAGCCTAATGATTAGCAAAGAGTCCCTGAACAGAGTTGCTCTTCTGCTTCACAGCCCTAAAGGCTTAGAGACTGAGAGATCCTAATTAAGTTACCACAGACCTTTATTTGCTTGTAGGAGGTGGCCCTGACTGCTCTCAGCTTTCCAACCTGGGCAACAGCCCTTCTAGTGAAAGTCTTACTTCCTTGGTCATCAACTGTCAAGTCTGAGTAACAACATTTAAGAACCAAACGAAGTGTGTGTGTTGTTTACCTCTCCCTAATATACAAAGGTATCTTGCACACACTGAAAACTTCTTAGACCAAAAGCCTGATGGCTCTAGTTTGCCTTGAAGGTAGTTCTATTGTCTATAAGGGTATGTGAGCCTGTGTCTGCCAATAAAATGTTCAAATGTTCTCTCTCTCAGAAGCTTTGTTCATTGTATCTGGTGGAATGAATTTTGGTTCAAAAGGAGTAGACACCTGAGTAGACAAAAGAAGGCCCTTGCTTCTAATGTGAAGTGTCTACTAGCCCAGTGGTCTCTATTCCAAATTTGAACTTGCTTTGACCCCCATCTGATGCCTTACCATTTAGTCATATTATGATTGAGCATTTTGGTTTCCACATTTTTTATTTCTTATGTTATTCCTTAGTTCCTATCTGTAAGATCATAAAGTCCTTTGTACCGAATATGGTTGATATTTCATACATATGTTAAAAACTGAGGTGTGAGGCCAGACATGGTGACTCACACCTGTAATCTCAGCATTTTGGGAGGCCAAGGCAGGAAGACCACTTAAAGCCAGGGGTTCAAGACCAGCCTGGGCAACAAAGCAAGACCACGTCTCTAAAAAAAAAAATTAGGCAGGCACAGTGGTGTGTACCTGTAGTCCTTGCTACTCTGGAGGGTGAGCCAGGGGGATCACTTGATCCCAGGAATTCCAGGCTGCAGTGAGCTGTGACAGTGCCATTGTACTCCAGTCTGGGTGACAGAGTGAGAGACCCTGTCTTCTAAAAAAAAAAAAAAAAAGAAAGAAAGAAAGAAAGAAAAAACTGAAGTGTGAGATGAGGAGATAAGGAAACTTCCAGGAAAATGCTCTTATTTTCTGCTTTTAGAAACCAAAACAATGTTTCATCATGGGGTGCTACCATTATATGCAGGAAGTTTTAGAATGAAAAAGATTCTGAATTGATCCTCGCTAACTTTATTTCAGAAAGTGGTAAAATAGCTGTGGAGTACAGACCCAGTGAAGACATCGTAGGTGTCAGATGCGAAGAAGAACTACACGGTTTAATTCAAGTATGTGAAGATAAAAACTCAGGGGTAACATAGCCAGTGTAACCATAATTCAAAAAAAAGCAGCATAATTTGGAGGATAATTTGTTTCATTCTTAGGAAAATGTGAAACTGATACTACTTTTGAGTGCAGAGTATTTCTGGGGCTTTTCCTGAAGTCTTGACCTTTGGCTCTGACCGCTTATTTGAAGTTTGGAGAGGAGAACTGAGGACTATCAGAGTATTACTACAGTTGTGGACACAGGAGAGGGATTAGTCTTCCCCCAGGAGTTAGGGATTCCAGGCTGCTTGAACACAGGCCTTTTTAGAACTTTCTTCAAACAGAATCCCAGAGATATGGGGAGAAAGTAACTGGCCTTAAGAATGATCGTGCTACAGCTTTCGAAAACTATAATGCCTTTCAAATACAGTTTATTACCTGGATCTCAATATCTCACGTATATCTTGGGTAGAATATTTTGCTGAGATCTTTCTGTAAATCAGTTACAATCATGTGCTACAAAATGATGTTTCGGTCAACAATAGACCACATATATGATGGTGGTTCCATAAGAGTATAATGGAGCTATCCCTATACAGCTATACCATTTTTTATCTTTTAAACAGTATTTTTACTGTACATTTTCCATTTTACATACATAAATACCTTCCGTTATGTTACAATTGCCTTCAGTATTCAGTATAGTAACATACAGTACAGGTTTATAGCTTAGGAGCCATAGGCCATACCATATAGCCTAGGTGTGCTGTAGGCTATACCACCTAGGTTTGTGGAAGTATATGCTATGATGTTAGCACAAGGGTGAAATCACCTAATGACATATTTCTCAAGCTTCTCCTCACATGGCAAGCAACGCATGACTGTATATGAAAGCTCTTAAATAGGGATTAAGTTTCTAAATTAATCTCTGAAAGAAAACAGTCATTATTTACTACATATGGAATTCTTTAAAAAAAGTAGCAAAAGTGTTTTTTTTCAGTAGGAACTTAATTTGGGGCTAGAGTGTTTTATTTAACTTTCACCCCAAAGTTGCAAAGCGTTTTGTTTTGAAGTTTTTCCCTGTAAAATAGTTATTTTAATTCAATTTAAATAAAACCCATCAAGGAAACTTCAAGCTTTAAGAAGTCTAGCTTCCTGTGAAATGTGAGAGAAAGTCAGCACTGATTTCAGAAATCTGATTATAACAATAGATCCATCCCTAAATGAGGCAAGTCTTGGAATCCCTTCCATTGTAAAACCATTAATCTGCACCATATACCTATGCTAGGCACTGGCATAAGATGAAGCACGTTCTTAGAGTTCACATGCTGGTGATTGTGCCAGACAATGAGTAATAAAATAGGTAACAATGGCTGTGGAGGAAGTCAGCTGGGTTCCAGTTATAGTCGCATTTCAGGAAATTATTTAACAGCTGACTTTAACAACCTAAGCCTCTTCTCCATGTGTGCACACAGGGTAGACCTCTGAAGAGTGGCGCTGTAATTTCTAGGGTAATGGCTGTGTTAAGTCAAGGCAGGATGACAGTTCAAACTTCTCTCCCAGACTGAATTGCCCACCTCCCAAAACCCCTCCTACAGAAAATTTGGAGTCTTCACTTATTCCCTGGCAGCCCCTACCTAATAGAGTGGTGAATTATCAAACATGCAACAAAGGATATGGAAAGTTTAGCAAAAACGGCAACATTTTGGAATGAATGACCGTAATGTGCGTTCTGCCTGCCACCCTAACTAGCGCACATTTTGCAGGTCCCTTGCTCTCCCTGGAAGCAGTATGGCCAAGAGGAGGAAGGGTATCTCTCGGATTTCAGCTTGGAGGAGGAAGAGTTCAGGCTGCCAGAACTTGACTAGCATTTCTGAATATCCCAAGGCGAGGTCATGTAACTTCCTTGGGAAGCTCTGTCGTGCCCCTACCCCACGCCGCCCCACCACTATAGGCTGCTGGAGTCCTGGAACCACCTGGGTCGGCCGCCCAAATCTTTCCTGGCGAAGGGGAGGGAAGGGGTGTTCTGGTGGAGTGGGAAGGGAGGCTTGGGTAGGATTGTGGGATAAGATCGCCCTGGTGACGAGGAGCGGATCTCGAACGGAACTTAATAAAGGTTGCCTAGATAAAGATATGGTAAATAACGGACGAGGCGGGGCCGCGGTTGCTAAGGGCGCGGGCATCTGGTGGCTGCCATAATGGCTTCTGCTCAGTGCGGGACGCCAACTTCTGTCATGTACCGGCTGCGTCTCTGGTCCCTATGGCCCCTCCTCACGTGACAACTACTGTGACTACTAGTCCAGGAGGCTCAGCCTCTGGAGTGGGTCCAGGGCCCACTCCAGCTGACCTCCGACCCCCTGAGGCCAACTGAGCCCTGGGCTTGGCGCTCCTCCGATCTCCCCCCGGAACCTCCCTATGCGTTTATCCACCCCCACCCCCATACAGACCCGGGAGCTTTGATAACCTGAGGTCCTCTACTGCCACCCAGATGTCAGCCTCGCCTCAGGAACCGACTGAGACTTTGGTTCCATTTCTGGACACAGATTCAGCTGGAGAGCTGCCCCTGGGGCCAGAGAAGTTCGCTGTTGCACACCAGGATCTGAATGATAAGCTGACTCACAAGAAAGGCTCCCAGAGTTGGTTCCAATGCTAGACTGGGATCAGAACCAGACGGTAGCTCGGCCTCTTTGCCTCAAAAGTAAGGTTCAAACTGTAAGTCTAGATCAGGCTGCAGATCATTAGGCATATGAAATACTTGTTCCACCTCTAGATAGTCAGAATTCAAAAGCAATGAAGATTAGTGTTTCACCCAAAAACCTGAAGAAGAAAGATCTACCTAAGCATCGGAGGCTTGCTAAGGTTGTTGTTGGAACTCCACACCGATTTGTATCAAAACCTCAGTGTCAGAAACAAACTTTACAAGCATTTAGTATTTAGATTCAGGTATGGATATACTGTATCTGGGCAGCCTTCCTCCAGAAGTCCAGGTGAAAGATGAGCCTCCAGGGCCCCATGAGCAAGTTGGACTTTTGCCAATTCTATCTAGAGCCCGAAACTCAAAATCCACAGACCCTCCAAGAGATCCAGTCATCTTCACTCCAGCAAGAAGCCCCAGCACAGCTTCCACAGGTCCCTGAATACGTAGAAACTTCTTCAACCCCGTAGGAGGCCCCAGCTCTTCCTTCTCAGTCCCTTAAGGGGGTCCATTCTTCAACAGAGCAGGAGGCCCCAACACAGCTGCTACCTGCCCTGAAGAGATTGTAGCTCAGTTATGAATACGTTATCAGGTAAATGTTGCATTAAAAAGTTGGAGTGAGGCCAGGTGCAGTGGCTTACACCTGTAGTCCTAGCACTTTGGGAGGCCAAAGAGGGTGGATAACCTGAGATCAGGAGTTCGAGACTATCCTGACCAACATGGTGAAACCCTGTCTCTACTAAAAATACAAAAGTTTGCTGGGTGTAGTGGTGAGCACCTGTAATCCCAGCTACTCAGGAGGCTGAGGAAGGAGAATCGCTTGAACCTGGGAGGTGGAGGTTGCAATGAGCTGAGATTGCACCATTGCACTCCAGCCTGGGCGACAGAGTGAGACTCCATCTCAAACAAACAAAAAAAGTTGGAGTGAAGCTCATCACTCACACTTGCCCAATGTAACAGTCAAACTTGTGGATTTGGAGCTTACAATAAGTCCAAAGCCAGATAAGAAACTTACATCAAGCCGGGAACAGGCCACAACTCAGCCTCCAGAGCACCCTGAGAAGATGGACCCTTCCTCAACCCAATTAGAGGACCCAGCTTAGACACCAGAGTGCCCTGAGGAGATGAAATCTACAACCCAGCACAGGACCCCAGCTGAGCCTCCAGTTCCTCCTATGGAGGCCAGACCTTCTCCAAGTGAGCAGGAACAGCCAGCTCAGCCTTCTGAGTTTCCTGGGGAGGTTGAACCTTCCCAGACCCAGCAGGAGGCCACCGCTCAGCCTCCAAAGTTCTCTATGGAGAGTGCATATCAAACTGCACTGAATTATGAGGTGACAGTTCAAACTCAGGGTGAGGATCAAGCTCATTATACAAATGACAGTTAAACCTGTGGATGTAGAGATTACCATAACTTCAGAGCCTATCAAAGAGACTAAATATTCTGCAGCCCAGCAGGAGGTCCCAACCCAGCCTCCAGAGGGAGTGGAAACTTCTGCAAACCAACAGGATTTAACTGAGGCTCCAAGTCCTGTGGAGGATGAATCTCCCCCGAGTGAGCAAGAACAGACAGCTCAGACTTCTGAGTCTTCAGGGGAGGTTGAATCGTCTCCAGCCCAGCACGAGACCCCAGCTCAGCCTCCAGAACATCATGAAGTAAAAGTTTCACCTCCAGGTCACCATAAAGCTCAGCATTCAGATTTGCCCATTGTCACTGTTAAGCCTCCAGTTATGCAGCTCACCATAGCAACAGAGCCTACTGCAGAGGTGGGAACTTCTCCAATCCACCAGGAGGCTACAGCTTAGCTCTCAGGGGCAGTTAATGATGTGGAACCTTCCATGACCCAGCACGGGGGCCCAACTCTGCCTCCATAGTCATCAGAAGATGACTTTACCAGTTCAACAGGAGACTTCAGTTCAATCTCCAGCTATTAAAGATGAGAACCTCTCTCCAGCCCAGCAGAAGGCTGCTGCTGAGTATCCACAGATGCCTGAGGAGGTTGAGTCTTCTCCAACACAGCAATAGACCCCAGCTCAGCCTTCAGAGATCCCTATTGAAGTTATAGCTAATCTCCAGTGCATCATGAGGTAACAGTTTCTCTAAGTCATGATCAAGTTCAGCCTCCAACATTGCACAATGACACTGTGAAACCTGTGGATCACATGGTAACCATGACTCCAGAGTTCACCTAACAGGTTGAAATTTTAACCAAACACAGGGCCCCAGCTCAGTCCTCAATGTCCCCTTAGCAGTTTCAGCATTTGAAAGACCAGCAAGAAATGATTATTCAGCAGCTAAATACCCCTGAAAATGATGAACTTCCTCCAGTCCCTCAAGAGCCCACAACTCAGTCACCAGCTCAGACTTTGTAAGGTCATTGAATGATGAGATGGTATTTTCACCTCTAGATCTATCTTTAATATTCAGAAATAATTCAACTTTCCCTAATACCACATTTAAAAATATGGATATGGACCTCACCATACCTACAGAAGTCACTATGGAGGTTGAACCTTCCCCAGTCCAGCAGGACAATCCTCCTATTCCCACTGAGTAGGCTGACTTTTCTCCAACCCAGCATGATACCCCTTCCCCACCTCTGGATTCTCCAGAAAAGATTGAATCTCCATCACAGCAAGAGGCCACAGCTCAGACCCCAGATTCCCCTAAAGGGGTGGATTTTCTCCAGTCCAGCAAGAGTCCCCAGCTGAGGCACCAGAGCTCCCTAAGGAGGTTGAACCACTGCAACCCAGCAGGAAGCCTCAGGTCATCCTCCAAAGTCCACTGCAGAGGTCAGTCCACCATAGCTGGAGATACCAGCTCAGCCATCAGCCACCTGAGAAGGTCAAACCATCTTCAGTCCTACAGCAGGCCTCAACTCAGCTTTTAGAGCCACCTGAAGAGGTAGAATGCTCTCCAGTCCAGTAGACAGTGCCTGCTCAGTCTTCAGAGCCCCCTATGGTGGTAGAATCCTCTTCGACAGAGCAGATGGCCCCATCTTTGCCTCCAAATCTCCCTCAGGAGGTGGAACCATCTCTGACTCATCAGGAGGTTCCAACTCAGACTCCAGAGCCCCCTATGGAGACAGAACCTTCTCCAGCTCAGCAGGAGGCCACAGTTCAGGCTCCAGAGCCTCCTAAGGAGGCAGAACCTTCAAGTCAGCAGATGGTCCCAGCTCAGCTTCCAGAGCCCCCTAAGGGGGTTGCAGCTCAACCTCTAATGCATTATGAGATGACAATTGTAACAGCAAGCCAGGACCAAGCTCAGTATCCAGCATTATGAGATGACAATTCCAACAGCAAGCCAAAACCAAGCTCAGTATCCGGTATCACCCAGTGTCACATTTCAACATTTACACCTGGAGCTTACCATAACTCCAGAACCCACTATGGAGGCTGAGCATTCTATAATGCTGAGGATGACTACAGCTCCTCCAAAACACCCTGAGGTGACCCTTCCACCTTCAGACCATGTGCAGGCTCAGCACACAAACCTGAGGCCACAGTGCAACCTTTGGATCTGAAATTTACCACGAATCAACAACCTACTACAGAGAGTATATTTTCTCCAACCATGGAGAATTCAACTCAGCTTCCAGAGCCACCTATGGAGGTTGTAACTCAACCTCCAGCTCATTATGAGGTGACAGTTCCAATACAAGATCAGGATCAAGCTCCGCATTCAATACTGGCCAGTGTCACACTTCAACCTTTGGACCTGGGGCTTACCATCGCTCCAGAATCCACTACAAAGGTTGAACTTTCTCCAGCCATGCAGGAGGCCGCAACTTAGCATCCTCAGGAAGTTACACCTTAACCTCCAGTATTTCAAGAGGTAACAATTTCAACACCAGGTCAGGATCAATCTCAGCATTGAATATCACCCATCATTATAGTTAAACCTCTGGACCTGGGACTTACCATAACTCCAGAACCCACTTCAGAGGTTGAACATTCTACACCCCTGAAGAAGACTATAGTTCCTCCAAAGCACCCTGAGGTGACACTTCCACATCCACACCAGGTTCAGACTTAGCATTCAAACCTGACTCAAGTCACATTTCAGCCTTTGGATCTGAAACTTACCTTAACTCCAGAATCCTCTATGGAGGTTGAGCCTTCTTCAACCATGCATAAGACCCCAACTCAGCCTCCAGAGCTACCTAAGCAGGTTGTAGTTCACCCTCCTGGGTATTATTATGAGATGTCTCTTCCAACAGAAGGCCAGGATCAAGCTAATCATCCAACCTCACCCAGTGTCACAGTTCAACCTTTGGATCTGGGGCTTACCGTTACTCCACAATTCACTACAAAGGTTGAACCTTCTAGAGCCATGATGACTACAGCTCCTCTGCCAAAGCACCCTAAGGTGACACTTCCACCACGAGACAAAGGTCAATGCTCAGTATTCAAACCAGACCCAAGTCACAGTTCAACTTTTGGACTTGGAACTTACCATAAATACAGAACCTACTACAGGGGTGAAACTTTTCCAACCACAGAGGAGACCTCAACTCAGCCTCCAGACCTGGGGCTTGCCATAACTCTAGACCCCATACAGACATTGAACATTCTACAGCCCTGGACAAGACTGCAGCTTCACGTCCAGACCAGGTTCAGACTCAGCTTCAAAACCTGACTGAAGTCAGAGGTCCACCTTTCAACTAGAACCTACTCAGGATTCATTGGTTCAGTCTGAAAGTTACACCCAAAATAAGGCTTTAACTGCACAAGAGGAACAGAAGGCCTCCACAAGCACCAACATATGTGATCTCTGTACCTGCGGAGATGAGACGCTGTCATGTATTGACATCAGCCCAAAGCAGAGGCTCCGCCAAGTGCCTGTGCCAGAGCCTAGCACCTACAATGGCATCTTCACCATCTTGTAAGAATCACCTTTCCTCAATTGTTCTCTGTGTCCTGCCTGATATAGCAGCTTTTTCCTGGAGGCCTTCCTGGGCCTTCTTTATCTCACCAAACCACATGGACAACTGACTTTCTGCTTCTGCCTTTGCCTGTCATTTCTTCCTTCTCCTCATTCTCCTTTACTGTTAGGCCCCTTCCCTGGTCTTTTACTTGTGATTGCTCTTAATCCTTTTCTTATCCATTTTTCTTTAGCCCCATCACATCATTTGCTTCACTGCTGCTGTCCTCCTATTTGCACTTCATCCTCTTTACAGCAGTCTGTCTCTCCATCTCAGTGATAGTGCTCTAGGTGGTTAAGAGTTGATTCTGAAGCCAGGTTACTGGGTTTGAACCCAGGTCTGTCATTTGTTAGCTTGGTTACCCTGAACAAGTTATTTTTCTCTGTGACTCAATTTCCTCATCTTTAAACTGGGGATTATTCTAGTTACCATTTCATAGGATTGTTGTGAAATTTAGGTGAGTGAATACCTGTAATACTTGCATCAGTGCCTAGTATATGTAAGAGTGGTGGCTGTTAACATGATTACTTAGCTCTTTAGTTATGTTCAGAACTCATCTTTGTCCCTGACTTTCTATATGTAGCACCCGTTTTGTGTCCAACCCAGGGACAAGTATGACACTGTCTCTGGAACATGAAAATGATAGAAGAAAAAGAATAAGCATAAAAATGGAGGTGTAAATAATAAAGTACTAAAACATAATGCAGACCATCAGTGCTAGAATTCACCAGAATCTGTGATCCTTGAATTATGGAGGTCAGGGGAAGCTGCATCAGTAAACTAACACTTTACCTGGGGCTTAAAAATTAGCTATAATTTGTTAAATAAGAAAAAAATAGGAGTACGGTCTAGGCAAAGGCATGGTTACAGGTATGGTCGAAATTGAGTAGAACGACCCACAGCTCAGCCTCCAGAGAAACCCAAGGAGGTGGACTCTTCCTCAACCCAATTAGAGGCCCCAGCTCAGATACCAGAGCACCCTGAGGAGATTAAATCTGCAGCAACCCACCAAGGGACTCCGGCTGAGCCTCCAGGTCCTCCTGTGGCAGCTGAACCTTCCTCCAGTAAGCAGCAGCAGCCAGCTCAGCCTTCTGAGTTTCCTGGGGAGGTTGAACCTTCTCAGACCCAGCAGAAGACCCCAGTTCAGCCTCCAGAGTCTTCTATGGAGAGTGCAGCTCAAACTCCACCGAATCATGGGTGACAATTTAACGTCAGGGTGAGGATGGAGCTCATTATACCTTGCCAAGCATTACAGTTAAGCCTGTGGATGTAGAGATTAGCATAACTTGAGAGCCAAGGATAATGAATCTTCTCCAGTCCAGCAGGAGGCCCCAACCTAGCCTCCAGAGGAGGTGGAAACTTCCACAACCCAAGAGAAGGCCCCAACTGAGCCTCCATGTTCTCCTGTGGAGACTGATCCTTTTCCCGGTGAGCATGAGCAGCCAGCTCAGCCTTCTGAGTCTCCTGGGAGGTTGAATTTTCTCCAGCCCAGCAGGAGATTCCAGCTCAGCCTTGAAAACATTATGAGGTAACAGTTTCACCTCCAGCTCACCATCAAGCTCAGTCCTTAATGTCCCCTGAGAAGTTTAACCATTTGAAAGATGCACAAGAGATTATCATTCAGCAGTTAACTACCCCTGAAAATGATGAACTTTCTCCACTTGCTCAAAAGCCCACAACTTGGTCTCCAGCTCAGCTCTCCTCAGACATTGTAAGTCCATTGAATGATGAGATGGAATTTTTCACCTGAAGATCTGTCTTCAATATTCAGAAATAATTCAACTTTGCCTAAAATCACAGTTAAAAATGTGGATATAGAGTTTACCATACCTACAGCAGTCACTATAGAGGTTGAACCTTCTCCAGTCCAGCAGGACAACCCTCCTATTTCCAGTGAGCAGGCTGACTTTTCTCTAGCCCAGCCTGATTCCCCTTCCCTACCTCTGGAGTCTCCTGAAGAGAGTGAATCTTCAGCCCAGCAAGAGGCTACAGCTCAGACTCCAAATCCCCCTAAGGAGGTAGAACCTTCTCCAGTCCAGCAAGAGTTTCCAGCTGAGCCAACAGAGCCTGCTAAGGAGGTTGAACCATCTGCAACCCAGCAGGAAGCCTCAGGTCATCCTCTGAAGTCCACAAAAGAGGTCAATCCTCCACCAAAGCAGGAGATACCAGCTCAGCCATCAGAGCCACCTGAGAAGGTTGAACTATCTCCAGTCCTACAGCAGGCCCCAACTCAGCTTTTAGAGCCACTTAAAAAGGTAGAATGCTCTCCAGTCCAGCAGGCAGTCCCTGCTCAGTCTTCAGAGCCCTCTATTGTGGTAGAACCCTCTCCAGTCCAGCAGATAGCCCATCTTTGCCTCCAGAGCTCCCTCAGGAAGTGGAACCCTCTCTAACTCAGCAAAACTTTCCAGCTCAGACTCCATACCCCCTATGGAGGCAGAGCCTTCTCCAAACCAGCAGGAGGCCACAGTTCAGGCTTCAGAGCCCCCCAAGAATATAGAACTTTCAAGCCAGCAGATGGTCCCAGGTCAGCTTCCAGAGCCACCTAAGCGGGTTGCAGCTCAACATCCAATGCATTATGAGATGATAATTTCAACAGCAAGGCAGGACCAGGCTCAGTATCCAGTGTCACCCAGTGTCACATTTCAACCTTTAGACCTAGGGCTTACTATAACTCCAGTATCCACAAAGGAGGCTGAGCATTCGACAACCCTGAGAAAAACTGCAGTTCCTCCAAAACACCCTGAAGTGACTCTTGCAACTCCAGACCATGTGCAGGCTCAGCACACAAACCTAACTGAGGTCACAGTTTAAACTTTGGATCTGAAACTTACCACAACTCCACAACCTACTGCAGAGAATATATTTCCTCCAACCATGGAGAACTCAAATCAACTTCCAGAACCACCTACGGAGGTTGTAGCTCAACTTCCACCTCGTTATGAGGTGACAATTCCAACACAAGGTCAGGATCAAGCTCAGCTTTCAACACTGGCCAGTGTCACACTTCAACCTTTGGACCTGGGGTTTATCATCACTCCAGAATCCACTACAGAAATTGAACTTTCTCCAACCATGCAGGAGACCCCAACTCAGCCTCCTAAGGAATTTGTACCCCAACCTCCAGTATATCAAGAGGTGAGTGTTCCAACACCGGGTCAGGATCAAGCTCAGCATCCAATGTCACCTAGCGTTACAGTTCAACCTCTGGACCTGGTGGACTTACCATAACTCCAGAACCCACTACAGAGGTTGAACATTCTACACCCCTGAAAAAGACTACAGTTCCTCCAAAGCACCCTGAGATGACACTTCCACATCCACACCAGGTTCAGACTCTACATTCAAACCTGATTCAAGTCACAGTTCAACCTTTGGGTCTGAAACTTACCTTAACTCTATGGAGGTTGAATCCTCTATGGAGGTTGAGCCTTCTCCAACCATGCAGAAGACCCCAACTCGGCCTCCAGAGCTACCTAAGGAGTTTGTAGCTCAACCGCCTGTGTATTATTATCAGATACCCATTCCAACACCAAGCCAAGATCAAGCTCTGCCCTTCTACAGCCCCGATGACTACAGCTCCTCCTCCAAAGCATCCTGAAATGACACATCCACCTCCAGACAAGAACCAGGCTCAGCATCCAAACCTGACTCAATTCACAGTTCAATCTTTGGACCTGGAGCTTACCATAACTACAGAACCTACTACAGAGGTTAAAACTTCTCCAACCATGGAGGAGACCTCAACTCAGCCTTCAGACCTGGGATTTGCCATAGTTCCAGAACTCACCATAGAGACTGAACATTCTACAGGCCTGGACAAGACTACAGCTCCACATCCAGACCAAGTTCAGACTCAGCATTGAAACCTGACTGAAGTCACACATTTCACCTTCTGAACTAGAACCTACTCAGAATTCACTGGTGCAGTCTGAAAGTTATGCCCAAAATAAGGCTTTAACTGCACAGGAGGAACCGAAGGCCTCTACAAGCACCAACATATGTGATCTCTATACCTGCAGAGATGAAACACTCTCATGTATTGATCTCAGCCCAAAGCAGAGGCTCCACCAAGTGCCTGTACCAGAGCCCAGCACCTGCAATGACACCTTCACCATCCTGTGAGAATCGTCTTTCCTCAATTGTTCTGTGTCCTGCCTGACATGACAGCCTTTTCGTGGAGGCCTTCCTGGGCCTCCTTTATCTCACCAAACCGAACTGACAACGGACTTTCTGCTTTCACCTTTCTTGTCAATTCTTCCTTCTCCTGGTTCTCCTTTACTGTTAGGCCCCTTCTCTGGTCTTTTACTTGTGATTGCTCTTAACCCTTTTCTTATCCACTTTCCTTTAGCCCCATCACATCATTGCTTAACAGCGGCTCTCCTCCCATTTTCACTTCACCCTCTTTACAGCAGCCTGTCCCTCTTCCCATCTCAGTGATGATGCTCTAAGTGGTTAAGAGTTGATTCTGTAGCCAGGCTGCCTGGGTTTGAACCCAGGTCTGTCATTTATTAGCTTGGTTACCCTGAGCAAGTTATTCTTCTCTGTGACTCAGTTTCCTCGTCTTTAAACTGGGGATTATGCTAGTTACCATGCCATAGGATTGTTGTGAGATTTAAGTGAGTGCATACATGTATTGCTTACATCGGTGCCTAGCATATGTGGGAGTGTTGGCTGCTAACATGATTACTCAGTCCTTTAGTTATGTCCAGAACGCATCTTTGTCCCTGGCTTTCTATCTGTAGCAGTCGTTTTCTGTCAACCCTTGGCCAAGTATGATACTGTCTTCAGAAATGAAAATGATAGGAGGGAAGAAAGAGACTAGGCATGAAAAGGAGGTATATATAATGAAATACTACAAGATAATGCAGACCATCGGTGCTAGGATTCACCAGAATCTGTGATCCTTGAGGTGTGGAGATCAGGGAAAGCTACATCAATAAGCTAAAACTTACTTGGGACTTAAAGTGTAGCTATAATTTGTTAAATAGAAAACAAATGGGAGTACAGTCTAGGCAAAGTCATGATTACAGGTATGGTTGAAATTTGGTAGACAAGGCTGCAGCTCAGCCTCCAGAGAACCCCAGGGAGGTGGACTCTTCCTCAACCCAATTAGAGGGCCCAGCTCAGACACCAGAGTGCACTGAGGAGATGAAATATTTTGCCCCCAGCAGGGGACCCCAGCTGAGCCTCCAGGTCCTCCTGTGGAGGCTGAACCTTCCCCCAGTCAGCAGGAGCAGCCAGCTCAGCCTTCTGAGTTTTCTGGGGAGGTGGAATTTTCTCAGACCCAGGAGACCCCCAACTCTGCCTCCAGAGTCTTCTATAGAGAGTGTAGCTCAAACTCCACTGAATCATGAAGTGACAGTTCAAACTCAGGGTGAGGATCAAGCTCATTATACCTTGCCGAGCATTACAGTTAAACCTGCAGATGTAGAGATTAGCATAACTTCAGAGCCTACCACGGACACTGACTCTTCTCCAGCCCAGCAGGCGGCCCCAAACCAGCATCCAGAGCAGGTGTAACCTTCTGCAACCCAACAGGAGGCCACAACTGAGCCTCCAGGTCCTCATGTGAATGCTGAACATTCCCCAGTGAGCAGGAGCAGCCAGGTCTGCCTTCTGGGTTTTCTGGAGAAGTTGAGTCCTCTCTAGCCTGCAGGAGACCCCAGCCCAGCCTCCAGAACATCATCAAGTAACAGTTCCACCTCCTGGTCACCATCAAGTTCAACACTGAGATTTGCCCAATGTCACTGTTAAGCCTCCAAATATGCAGCTCACCATAGCAACACAGCCTACTGCAGAGGTGGGAACTTCGCCAGTCCATCAGGAGGCTACAGCTCAGCTCTCAGGGCCAGTTAATGATGTGGAACATTCTGACATCCAGCATGGGGCCCCGCCTCTGCCTACAGAGTCATCGGAAGAGACTGGACCTTTACCAGTTCAACAGGAGACTTCAGCTGAATCTCCAGAACCTACTAAAGATGAGAACCCCTCTCCAATACAGTAGGAGGCTGCAGGTGAGCATCCACAGACCCCTGAGTAGGTCGAGTCTTCTCCAACCCAGCAAGATGCCCCAGCTCAGCCTTCAGAGCTCCCTAATGAAGTTGTAGCTCAACCTCCAGAGCATCACAGAGTAATAGTTTCTCCTGTAAGTCATGAGGAAGTTCAGCCTCCAACATTTCACCATGTCATTGTTAAGCCTGTGGATCACATGGTTACCATGACTCCAGAGTTCACCTATCAGGTGGAAGTTTTAACTCAACACAGGGCCCCAGCTCAGCCTTTAATATCCCCTGAGCAGTTTAAACATTTGAAAGACCAGCAAAAGATTATCATTCAGCAGCTAAATACCCCTGGAAATGATGAACTTCCGCCAAATCTATCAAGAGCCCATGACTCCATCTCCAACTCAGCTCTCCTCAGACATTGTAAGTTCGTTTAATTGTAAGATGGTATTTTCATCTCTAGATGTGTCTTCCGTATTCAGAAGTAGTTCAACTTTGCCTAATACCACAGTTAAATATGTGAATATTGGCCGGGCATGGCGGCTCACGCCTGTAATCCCAGCACTTTGGGAGGCCAAGGCAGGCAGATCATGAGGTCAGGAGATCCAGACCATCCTGGCTAACATGGTGAAACCCCGTCTCTACTAAAAATACAAAAAATTAGCCAGGTGTTGTCGCAGGCGCCTGTAGTCCCAGCTACTCAGGAGGCTGAGGCAGGAGAATGGCATGAACCCGGGAGGCAGAGCTTGCAGTGAGCCGAGATCGCGCCACTGCACTCCAGCCTGGGCGACAGAGGGAGACTCCATCTCAAAAAAAAAAAAAGGATCTAGCATAAGTATGGACTAATTTTTTTATCTTGCCTGAATTCCTATCTAAGGGGTCTGAGGAGTCATGCCCTACAAATCGTAAATTCTCATCAGATGGGTCTTATTTAACCCTATATATCATGATTTACTTTCCAGCCTGACCGTGTCATAACATTGCAAGACAAAGAAAATCAAAATATTTTACCCCAAAACATGTTATTTTGCCATATTTTTGAATGGCCCTGCAAAGCTTCTCTTTGTGGGAGAAATTTTGTATCTGTAAAGCATCTCTATTAACATAGCTAGATCTTTTTCTTCTAGAACCTCCCAATCCTAAAGAGATTCACTAAGATCTGAATAGGAAACATTTGTCACCTATTTCTCTAAGGGCAGCCACTATAAGACTTCAAAAGAACTTTGGTCTCCACAATCTTTATCGTAACCTGAACATTCCCTTTCTATCTATCCCAGGTCTTGAGACAAACTCAACCTTAATTGTCAATCAGAAAATGTTTAAATTCACCTATAGCCTGAAAGCCCCCAACTCCACTTTGAGTTGTTCCACCTTTCTGGACCAAACCAATGTATTTCTTAAATGTATGTGATTGATGTCTCATGCCTCTCTAAAATGTATAAAACGAAGCTACGCCCTGACCACCCTGGACACATGTTCTCAGGACTTCCTGAGGGCTGTGTCATGGGCCATGGTCACTCATATTTGGCTCAGAATAAATCTCTTCAAATATTTTACAGTTCAACTCTTTTCATCGACATACGGACACTTGAAGTGAAGAAGCAGAGGAAAGAGAATGAAGTGGGAAAAATATAAAGAAATAATTACAGAAAACTTCCCAAATTTTCTGAAAGGCTTGAATTTACAAATTCAAGGTCAGCAAACCCCATATAGGATTGATTCAGAGAAACCTATACTTAGGCATATCAAAGTCAAACTGCTGAAAGCAAAAAAAGAGAGAATTTTGAAAGCAGGAGAGAAAAGTGGCACAATACATATGGGAAAACAACTATTTGAATAACTGAAGACTTTTTTTTTTTTTTTGATGGAGGGCCAGATAGGTGGATTCAAAGATTTTCTGATTGGCAATTGGTTGAGTTATTACCTAAAAACCTGGAATCATTAGAAAGGAATGTCTAGGTTACCATAAGGGGTTGTGGAGACCAAGCTGTTATCATGCAGATGAAGCCTCCAGGTATCAGGCTTCAGAGAGAGTAGATTTTAAATATTTCTTATCAGACTTCAAGAGTCTGTTCTATCAGTCTTAAGATCTTTTTGACGTGAATGGTAACAAGGCGTGTCTGACTCCCCCCTTCCGATCATGACCTGAACTAGTTTTTCAGGTTAACTTTAGAATGCCCTTGGCCGAGAGGAGGTGCCCATTCAGATGGCTGAAGGGCTTCAAATTTTATTTTTGGTTTACAGCCCATTCTTCATCAAACCTAAGCATAAAAAAACAGCAGTTTTCCCCTGGGTATCTGTGTCATTTCTGAAGGTTCCAGTGTCACGCAAGACTTTGATTTTTAAAATTAAATAAATTTGTTATGCTTTATTCTTGTTAATCTGTCTTTTGTTATAAGGGTGTCATCCATGAAACAATGGGTGAGGAAAAGATAACTACTTTTTCTCCTCTACAATACCACACTCTCTTCAAAGCTCATGCTTTTTTGGTCCCCTCTATCGTTTCACAATGAAGTCGCAGGCTGGGATGGCTGGGGTTTGGGTTGAAAAGTAGTCTGGGGCCAAATTGTCAACACTTGAATGCCATACAAAGGAGTCTGCATTTTAGTTTTTATGAAATAAGGAGTTATTGGCCAGGTGTGATGGCTCACACCTGTAATCCCAGTACTTTGGGAGGCTGAGGTGGGCAGATGGCTTGAGCCCAGGAGTTTAAGACCAGTCTGGGCAACATGACGAAACCCTGTGTCTATAAAAAATACAAAAATTAGCTGGGTATGGTGTCGCATGCCTGTAGTCCCAACTACTCAGGAAGTTGAGGTGGGAAGACCACTCGTGCCCAGGAGGTTGAGGCTACAGTGAGCTGTGATTGCACCACTGTACTCCAGCCGGGGGTACAAGCAAGGCCCTGCCACAAAACATAAAAATAAATAAATAAATAAATAAATAAATAAATAAATAAATAAGGAGTTATTGAAGGAGATCTCTGCAGTCAGAAAAATCTGGGCACAAATTGTAGGGGAGGAAATATAATATCTTTTTCTCACCCATCGCGAGTTTCATGGCTGAGGCCCCTATAACAAGACAGATTAACAAGAGAAAGCATACAAATTTATTTATGGTAAGTTTTACATAAAACAAGAGACTTCAGAAATGAAAATCCAAATACTAAAGAAAAACTACTTTTATGTACAGTCATGCAGAAGTATGATTAGAAGACAAAAGGGTATATTCTAATGGTAATAAACTGAGGGAGGGGAAGACTTATCAAGGCCTGTTTGCTCAGATTCTTCTTGGCCTCCAGGGTTGGGGAGGACCTCTCTGGAATGAGGATCTTATGACCTATTTTCAGAGGAGGTAGATCAGAATTCTTTTACAGCCTGCTTCAAGGGAGAAAGGTGGGAGGAGGTCAGAGAGTGACCTCCCTGTTTCTGTAGTTTTCTCAGTTTCTTTCAGCTTAAAATAATCAGTAGGCCAAGGTGCCACATTTTGGGGTAGCATGCTCCATACCCCATCAAGATCATGTTCCAGTAATCAACTTCTGTACAGAAAAATCACCCCAGAACTTTAAGCTTAAAACAATAACCATTTCTTATCTCTTACAATTTTTGTGGATTAGGAATGCAGGAAAGGGTTGGCTGGGAGGTTCTGGTGTGGGGTCTCTCAGGTAGTTACAGTCAGACATTAATTCTCTCTCTCTGTCTCTCTCCACATGGTCTCTCCAGCATGGCAGTCTCAGGGTAGCTACACTTCAAAGGCTTCCTGAGCCAATATTTCAAAAAGAATAGCAAGCATCTGGGCAACATTTTCTAATCTAGCGTTGAGAATCATTCTGATCCACGTATTGAGAATGTTGCAAAGATCCAAGAACAGAGGACCTACTTTCCACCACTTGATGGTACAAATATAGAATTGTGGACATGTTTAAAACCACCACTTAATTCATCTATAGAATATAAAGAATAATAACAATATCCAGAGAGGGTTGATCTGAGGCTAAAATAAGATAAGGTATACTTCATTTCCCCATTTCCCTTCTGGAGCTTCCTGAGATCACCTCTCAGTAAACTACTTTCACTCAGCCGGGCACAGTGGCTCACGCCTGTAATCCCAGCACTTTGGGAGGCTGAGGCAGGTGGATAACCTGAGGCTGGGAGTTCGAGACCAGCCTGGCCAACATGGTGAAATCCCGTCTCTACTAAACATACAAAAATTAGCCGGGCATGGTTGTGCATGCCTATAATCCCAGCTACTCAGAAGGCTGAGGCACGAGAATTGCTTGAACCCAGGAGACAGAGGTTACAGTGAGCTGAGATCACACCACTGCACTCCAGCCTAGGTAACAGTGAGACTCTGTCTCAAGAAAGAGAAAAAAAATACTTGCACTCAAATCCTCTCTCAGGTTCGGCTTCTGGAGGAGCCAACCTAAGAAAGGTGGGAAAGAAAGAAAAGTCAACTCCTAGATTGTTAGCCTGACCCGTTGAGCTTCATCATTTTAGCTTAAACAGCCACATTTATGGAGTATCTGCCAAGTACCATGTTACATATTTTAGGCCAATTCCTAATCATAGCCACATTGTGTAGTGTATAGCATCATCCTCATATCTCCGATAAGAAAACAGCCTTGGAAACGTCAACCAGCTGCCCAGAATTAGGCAGCTAGTAAGTGGTGGAGCTGATTTGTAAAGAACAGGAGATGAAGGAGGCAGAAAGTCCACACTGCTTTTTGGCATGGCTGCCCAAAATGTGGGGTTATGACAACTCCTATTTCCATGTGCCCCACCTCCCAACTGGAAAGTTCCTATTTCCTCATAGGGGGATTTTTTTTTTTTTTTTGAGACGGCGTCTCGCTTTGTCTCCCAGGCTGGAGTGCAGTGGCGTGATCTCAGCTCACTGCAACCTCCGCCTCCCAGGTTCAAGCGATTCTTCTGTCTCAGCCTCCCAAGTAGCTGGGATTACAGGTGCCCACCACCACGCCCAGCTAACTTTTATATTTTTAGTAGAGAAGTGATCTCACCATGTTGGCCAGGCTGGTCTCAAACTCCTGACCTCAGGTAATCCACCCGCCTCGGCCTCCCAAAGTGCTGGGATTACAGGCGTGAGCCACCACACCCGGCCACAGCGGGGATTTTTAATGGTACTATCATTCAACTTGTCACTGATGGAGAAAGTGGAAGAGATGGAGAAAGAAAAAGAAAGAGCAAAAGTATAGACGATGAGAGAGAAAGTTTACAATGTGCCAAATACCGTTCAATTCTTTAATCTTCCCAACAAGGCTCGAGGGACACATTAGCTAATATTATCTTTTACTTTTCAGAACGGGAAAGGCCACATTCTATGGAACAGTAAAGAGAAAATCCAGCCACCCTGATACCCAGTGTGTCTAGGTCACGCCCTGCCTCACTGTGACTCAGACTGTCTCTATGTTTTCCATTTCTTTTCTTTTTTCTACTTTTTTTTTTTTTTTAACAAAACAATTCCATGTCCTACTTTCTGAGCATATCCTGGCTGGTCCCTGCAGGGAAATTAAGCCTTCTTAAGGGGTTGGAGCCATCAAAAAGCAGCTGCAGGACAGAAAAGTGAGGGTGTGAGCTGTCAGTGTTTCTCTCCTGTTTTCAGAAGCACTGACAGGATTTTGACGAGACAAACGGGTGGTTAGAGTGTCTGCAGCGATGGGGCTAGAAAGCAGCCTGTGTGTCTGCAACATGAGAGGGAAGTTTTATGGCTGGAGGACTGTGTGTTTATGTGACCCTGGGGGTAGTTCTTCATCATTAATCATGTAGCAGTGTCAAAAATGTACATGTTACAACTTGGACGTGCAGAAAAGAGTTGCTATTTTTCAGTAACTGAGCTCACACTGGAGCACCCACTCTCACCAATGGTGGAAGAAACATTTGAACAAGGGTAATTAAGGAAAATGAGCTCCTCTGAAATGAAGCAGTTTCACTTCAGGTAAATATTCATGGCCAATGTGAAGTTCAAACTCCTTGTCAGGACTGTTTCTTACCTCCCAGGGTGGCTTCAGGATGCAGGGCGTCATGCAGAGGGTGGGGCATGGTTCTCATTCTGCTGACTGCAGCTGACGTGTTGACATATGGCTCATCTCACCTTGCTCCGGGACCCTCTTGATGCTCCAGTGCCACAGCTGGCGGACCCTGTGGTCTGTTCTCTTGCTGAGGCCAGAACCCACAGCCACTTGCTGCCTGGGCCCCACCCAGTTCTCACTGATCTGAGCCTCAGCATGTCCTCTATCCTTTTTAAACTGCCCATTTGGCAGCCTCTGCTATGTGGGCATCCGGAACCTCACCAGAATATCCAAAAAGTCATTCCCATTCTCCATCTCAGATACTGCAAGTAGTCAAGACTCACCCCATCTACATCCCCAAGAACTGAAGGCTCCTGTTACATCATGGCACCTCTTCCTCTGATTCCCAGCTTCCACGGAATTCTCCATTTCTTCACATGCTGCTTCACCCCACGAGGGTCAGGGCCCTCATTTCTTCATTCCCCCAAAACAACCACGATGTAAGGCTATTGGTTGTAACATGTTTACTGGAGATTTGCACACAAGATAGGTATTGAATATAGCACAGAATAATTCAGGTGAGAACTTGAATTTGGATACCAGCCATAAAAATCCCTGCCTTAAAAAACCACTGGCCATTCCCTGACAGAATAAATTAATCTCTCCCTGGCCTGATTTTATTCCCAGGATCTGGCCCACTGTGTTCTAGATCCCTGCACATCTCCCCTCTTCTCTCTCACCACCACATATCCTTACCCCATCTCACACTGACCATGAATGACTTCCAATCCTGTTTCTTACGCAGAGTTAGCCCTCTCTAGGCAATATGAGGTAGGGGCGGGATGGAATGGAGGGATTTCCCTTTTTATAATCACACATGCCCATTAAGGTATTTTCCCCCCTAATCCTAAGAGTAATTCCCTCCCTAAGAATAATTTTGCCCTCATTTTAGATCAGCCAGCTCAATGTTAGGCAGCTTTGCTAAAATAGTTGTGTAATGCCTACAAACATTTTTGTAATGGGGTATTTTTTTGAATCCTCACATGAAGCAGTAGGTAATATTATTATACCCATTTCACAAAGAAACTGAGGCTTAGCAAAGTTAGGGAACGTGGCCACTGAGTGAATCAACAGCCAAGCAAGAACCCAGACCCAGGTCTGCTTCCTCTAAATGCCCATGCTCTCCGCCACTGCCCATCAGGGGAGAAAAGAGATATGTGTCTGCAGCTGACAGGCAAACCCCATCTTCAAAATCAATTCCCAAGTGGCAGGAAAGGCCATTGTACTGCAGGGGCCTCTGCGGAGGGGACAAGCCAGGAGACAGGAGCCCTCGACGCTGGGGAAGCTTGTTCCTGAGGTCCCTACTGGTCCAACACACCATCTTCACGAAGCAACCTCCAGGATTCTCACTCCCAACTCAGCCTGTTCCCTGACAAGAGAGTCCCCACTGCAAACACCAATGCTGAGTCTGCCCTGGAAACAGCCCCCTTTGGGCTGACCACACTGTCTCTAGACCTCAGAACTATAGAGAGGCAGCTGCAAACTTGAGGCTCTCCCGGACTGTTCTGATCAACGTGCATCCCTGGCAAGGAGGCACTGTGCCTTTCTACCTCTACTGGGCAAGGGGCCAAGCCCAGAGAGGGCATCAGTGTTTGCTGAACTGAGTCCAATTCCAACCACTACTGTTTCCTCCTTCCTTTGTGATAAAGGGCTCCAGTAGGCTGAGCTGATCTCAGTGACTGTGAGCACAACTACTTCCATTTACTGAGCACCTAGTATGTGCCAGGCATCATATGCAATGACCTTATCTGGTCCTTACCAGTCACGTGGGCTCAGTAGAAAGTCAGTTCATTTTATAGATGAGGAAACAGTCCAGCAAGAGCACAGCAATTTCTTGAGCTTTTACAGCATAAGCAGCAGAGGCTGGAATTTGAACCAAAGTTTGTACAACTCCAAAGACTATCCTGTTTCCACTATGAAATACCCTCCATCAGAGGAGATAATGTCTACCACTCCTTCCCCGGAGATGATGAAATATCACTCTTCTTCTTTTGGGGGAGGGCACGTATGGTTGTTTTTGGTGTCAAAATATGATTCTAAAAGCCCACTTCCCTGATGTGGTAAAGGGTGGGGTGAGGGGTTGGGTGAGGGGGCTGGGGCAGGAATGAGCCACTGGGTGAATCATGCACCTCAACCTCTGCTGAGAGAGCCTGAATCTCTTACTGGCCTGAGGGGGTAAAAGAAGCTCTAAGACGGGCTGAAGCTCCATGGGAATTCTCCCTCCAATACCTGGGTAACCCCCTACCACATGACTTATTAGAAATAGATCAAATATGCACATGATACAAAATTCTAAAGATACAAAGTGGTATACAAGGAAAAGAAGGTCTCCCTCCTACCGCTGTCCTCCAGGCCTCTCTCCCATTACCCTTCCTAACAGGAAGGGAATTGTTGCCAATTTCTTATGCAGCCTCCAAAAGCATTTACAAACATAGATGAGTCTCTCTCTTCTTTTTAAACACACATACATTGTAGCATACTATGTAAGCCATTCTATCCTCCTTGTTTCTTTCATCTAGTGTGTCTTAGGGATTATTCATTTCTGCAAGTATGAAGACTGCCCTTTTTTTTTTTTTTTTGAGACTGAGTCTCACTCTGTCACCCAGGCTGGAGTGCATGGAGTGCAGTGGCGCGATATCGCCTCACTGCAACCTCCACCTCCTGGGTTCAAGCGATTCTCCTGCCTCAGCCTCCTGAGTAGCTGGGATTACAGGCACGCGCCACCACACCCAACTAATTTTTGTATTTTTAGTAGAGACAGGGTTTCACCATGTTGGCCAGGATGGATCTCTTGACCTCGTGATCTGCCCACCTCGGCCTCCCAAAGTGCTGGGATTACAGGCGTGAGCCACCATGCCCGGCCTCCTCATTTTTTTTAGTAGCAGCCTGGCATTCTGTTATATGGAAGTGCCAGAATTATTTCATTAGTCCTTTATTGATAAACTTCAATCTTCACTATTACAAACCATGAATATTTTGTATAGATCAAGTTGTACATATGTGACTACATCTGTAAGATAAATTCCTAGAAGTAGGAATACTAGTGCTTATTAAATACAGTATGTACTTTTAAATTTTTTCAAACTTTATAGAGGATGTAGCAATGTATAGCCCATCAATAATAAAAGGCACAGCCGGGCGCAGTAGCTCATGCCTGTACTCTCAACACTTTGGGAGGCAGAGGTGGGCAAATCACCTCAGGTCAAGAGTTCAAGACCAGCCTGGCCAACATGGTGAAACCCTGTCTCTACTAAAAATAGAAAAAATTAGCCGGGTGTGGTGGCACATGCCTGTAATCCCAGCTAGTTGGGAGGCTGAGGCAGGAGAATCGCTTGAACCCAGGAGGCGGAGGCTGCAGTGAGCCGAGATCGAGTCATTGCACTCCAGACTGGGAAACAAGAGTGAAATTCTGTCTCAAAATAGTAATAATAATAATAATATAAAATAATAGTGATAATAATAAAAGGCAGTCAAGGGAGTGCTTTTTTTTTTTGAGGTGGAGTCTTGCTCTGTTGCCCAGGCTGAAGTGCAGTGGCACCATCTTGGCTCACTGCAACCTCCGCTTCCTGGGTTCAAGTGATTCTCCTGCCTCAACCTCCCAAGTAGTTGGGATTACAGGCACGCGCCACCATGCGCAGCTAATTTTTTGTATTTTTAGTAGAGACGGGATTTCGCCATGTTGGCCAGGCTGGTCTGGAACTCCTGGCCTCAAGTGATCCGCCTGCCTTGACCTCCCAAAGTGCTGGGATTACAGGGGTGAGCCACTGTGCCCTGCCGGGAGTGCTTTTTAGATGAGGAAAAAGCCGGAAGAGACTAGCTGAGAAGTAAACAGGCAGGCCCATGCCTGGCCCAGAAATTCATCCTAGGACCAGTGAAGAAGATGAGCCAGCACCACCAACAGCCTGTTTCCTACAGGCAAGCCACCCGTTTCACACATGAGAAAACTGGGGCTCAGAGAGCCGACTTGCCTCACTCAGGGTTGTGGCCTGGAACGCTGTAGGTTCAGGGCTAATTCCTCTAGACAGTATATGCTTCACCCTCTGACCTCAAGCTGTGGTCTCCTGTGTTGGCTTGGCTACAAGTTGGAGCTCCTTCCTATTGTGGGCTGAAAGTAGTTGAGCCTACCACATGGTTCAGAACTTCCCCTGGTTATTTCATTCCCACATACAAGAAACCAGCCCCAGTCCCACACATACACACTCACACAGCTACTATTTCCAGCTTCCTTGGGGCCCACAGGACCTTAAGCGTCCACTTCTCTGAGGCAGGTAGCAGTGATGACCCTGGACATTCATCGACCAGCCTAAGGAACTGAAACACAACAGACCCCTGCACAGTTACCACCAGATAGCGGGCAGCGAGGGCGTGAAAGAAGTCAAAGCACATTAGCCACAGAGCTACCAGCCACTCAGGAAACAGAAGTCACCGTGGTGAAATAATTATCTTTCTTTGTATCGGAAAATGCCTTCACATCCATTAACTCATTTCACCTCCACAGTTCTCTGAATTAGACAAAACACGGATTCTTATATTCATTCTTCTTGTTGAGCAGATAAGGAAAAGGAAATATGCCTTTTCTAGAGAAGCAGAGACCAGAGGCCGACCCAGGTTTTCTGGTGCTTAATCCTGGTCCCATTTCTGCCCCATGTTAAGCAATCTCCTGGCAGTATGAGATGTTCATAAAAATCAGCTCTTATCTGCCCACATCCAGAATTAGTCACCATGTCCCTAGCAATGTTGTTTTGAACCCTCCAGTACATGGACGTATATGCATTCCTTTCTCTGTATCTTTTAGCTTCATAGCTGCGTCCTTTGTGAGGATACTCTTGGGATGTTTCTGAGTGGTGTCATTTTACTGTATCTAAGTGCCTGGCATGGCCTCTGGAACACGATGGGTACTCAATAAAATTGTGTTGCTTGACTGGCTGAGAGAATGGATGATATATGGATGACAGGATGAATGAATAGGTGAACAGATGAATGGATGGATGAGTGGGTGGGTGGGTGACTGGTGAGTTGAGTATTGGTTCACTTGTTTACTTGTTTTGCTTTTATTTTTCTACTAGCATCCATTACCCCTTCAAAATCACCTTGACATCTTTTTATGCAATTACTTCTTCCTTCCAGGGTATACAGTCTCAGCAGTACGACATATCAGGGACGCTAACTTCTCCCAGCCAAGAAGCAAGCAAATGACACAAGATTAGCTGGTCATACTCCCTCTCCTAGGACTGTGAATCCTTAGTAGAGTGAGACGAGGATAGGAAAATTAACTGGAATACATCTATATCAACAGTGGTTGGCCGGGCGCGGTGGCTCACGCCTGTAATCCCAGCACTTTGGGAGGCCAAGGCGGGTGGATCTTGAGGTCAGGAGATCGAGACCATCCTGGCTAACACGGTGAAACCCCGTCTCTACTAAAAATACAAAAAATTAGCCGGGCGCGGTGGCGGGTGCCTGTAGTCCCAGCTACTCGGGAGGCTGAGGCAGGAGAATGGCGTGAACCCGGGAAGCGGAGCTTGCAGTGAGCCGAGATTGCGCCACTGCAGTCCGCAGTCTGGCCTGGGCGACAGAGCGAGACTCCGTCTCAAAAAAAAAAAAAAAAAAAAAAAACAGTGGCACCCTGATGGCACTGCCAAGTAGTTCCTGCTGCCCACAAACACAGAGTGTTTCTGGTTTCTCACTTGTCATTTTTCCAAGCCAAGTTCTCCAATATCCTACCCATTCTATGAGCTACTCAACATTACCCCCAATACATTACTTTCCTGATTAAGTTAGTGTGATATAATTGTGTGTGTGTGTATATATATCTATAATTATATGTATATAAGTTTTCATCCACAGTTCCTGGCCTATAACTCCCATAGCCCTTTTACAGTCATCTGTTATAATGTTGGGACACTTTAGGCCTTAGAAACAGGCCTCAGGAAGCAGAATTTCTCTCTCTCTGACCTCTCCTGCCCTCCTTTCACCTGCCCAAGGCAGGGTTCTAATCTAATTGTGGGTCATAAGACCCTCATTCCAGAGAGGGCCCTGCCCCATACCCTGGAGGGAAGGAATGCTGCACAGAAAGGCCGAAAAGAATCTGAGCAGACAGGCCCTGATGGATTCCACCCTCGGTCTGTTAGTATTAAATCATACCCTTTTTGCCCAATCACATTTTGACATGGTTGTCCATGCTTTAGTCATGCTTATCCAACGAGTGTATAAAAGGCCCAAGAAGACAAGGTTCAGAGAGCTTCCGGATAGCTGAACGCATGGAGGCTGACAGGACAGTGAAGGAGAACTCATCCACGCGCTGGGCGAGTGGTGCACCCCAACTCCACAGGAACGGAAGCTCCTCCAGATCTTGCCTTGTGTTATCTTTCCATCTGGCTATTTATTTGCATCCTTTTTAAATGTAAGTAAGTGCTTCCATGAGTTCCGTGAGCTCCTCCAGCAAATTAATCAACCCCGAAGAGGGTGGGTCATGGTAACCCCAACTTGAAGCCAGCTGGTCAGACATTCTGGAAGCCCAGACTCGTGACTGGTGGGAAGGAGGGAGCAGTTCTGTGGAACTGATTCCTCAACCTGTGGTTTC
The DNA here is from genome assembly GCF_000001405.40 of Homo sapiens. NCBI lineage: Eukaryota > Metazoa > Chordata > Mammalia > Primates > Hominidae > Homo > Homo sapiens. Next base: position 128,460 of record NT_187614.1, on the reverse strand, counting down.
TGAGGCTATTTCCAGGTAGATGGTGTCACAGTTGAATTAACTGGTGGACACCCGGCTGTGTCCACTGCAGAACTAATTGCTTACTTGGTGTGTGGGAAGAAACCCCTACATATTTTGTCACAGAAGTCTTCTGTATTATTATGGTGTAAGAGAACAGGAAAAATGCATGTTGACTGTTTTTTCCACACTCCCAGTCCACAAAAGTTTTCTCCACTTATGAACAAATAATGTGTGTGTGTGTTTTTTTGTTTTTTTGTTTTTTTGTTTTTCCTGAGACAGGGTCTCACTCTGTCATCCAGGCTGGGGTGCAGTGGTGTGATCATGGCTCACTGCAGCTTCAATCTCCCAGGTCCAAGTGATCCTTCTACCTCAGCCTCCCAAGTAGCTGGGACCACAGGTGTGTGCCACCATACCCAGTTAATTTTTAAATTTTTTGTAGAGACAGGGTCTCCCTATGTTGCCCAGGCTGGTTTTGAACTTCTGAAGCGATCCTCTCACCTCAGCCTCCAAAAGTCCTGGGATAACAGGCATGAGCCACTGTGCCTGGCCATGAATACAAAGAATTTTAACAGACACAAGATGCAGATATGAAGGAATAGATGAATGAATAGACGCGTGCTGGACAGGATGGAGTGAAGGGATGTGTGAAAAGGTAGGAATGAGTGGGTAAGCGGAGGAGGACAGTGCTGCTCACAGAAGTTCATGAGCTAAATGGTAAAGTGAGTCCTAGGCCTTTGATGGATACGAGGGAAAGAAGGTATGTTACTCCCTCAGCCTTACCCATAGGAGAAGTAATGTGAACTGATTTTAGGAGCAAACAGGAAACTTACCCCCAAATCTCACTCTAGTATACTAGAAATCCTTTACTTTTGTATCTTTTAACTAAGAGGGAAATAAATAACATTGTCAGACCCTCATTTCACAGATGAGGAAACTTAGGCCTACAAAGGGCAAGTGGTTTGCCAAAATGTAACAAGTGGGTTTGGAGCTACAATGGGACTAGAGCTTAGGTCTCTTAATTCCCATTCCTTGCTCTTTTCACCACCCAAAGCTGACACTAGAAGGAATGACTACGGTGCAGAATTTCCAAACCCTAATTTGAGGAAATTCCCCAAGGGGACTTTTTCATGCAAGCTGGAGAGCCTCAAAAATGCAATGAATGCCTAGGAAGGTTCTAAGGGCCCTAATATTCTAACCTGAACACTAGAAAGCAGGGCAAGCAGCATAGTGGGGAAGCAGGGGACTGGGACCCCCGTCCCTGAGAATGGAAGTAATAGGCAAGAAGCCAAGGGGCTTCCCAGGACAAGCTAAAAAAGAGCAGATCCAGACTACAACTACAGAATCCTGTAAGATTCTGAAACTTTGTCACTTCCTTTCTAAGGCTTCCTTCCTAAGCCTCTCTGTGAAACTCTTTGAAAAGGGGTATGTGGGCTAGCCTGCAAGGACAGCCAGAAGGGAGAAGGATCACATCCCCCTCCGTGGCCAGGCTCTGAGAGACAGAAATCCAGTGAAGGACAGAGCATGGGGCTGAGTGTCTGTAGCCCACTGCATTGAGGGCAGGAGAGCTCAGGGCAGGTCTGAGTCATCACCATTTTCTGTGTGTTTCTTCCTAATAAGTGAAATAATGTGTAGTGTCTAGCACGGTGCCTGACAGCTCACAGAAAATCCCCAACTTCCCCTCCCCCACCGCCATGCCTTCTAACTCTCGGTGAGATGAACATCTCTACTGGGAGGGGAAGCCATTGAGGGAAGAAATGCTGGCACCTTGACATTTGGGGAAAGAAAGGGAAGGAATTGTTTTCCAAGTATCTACTTTGTGCCAGAAATGGTGTTGGGCAATTTACTGATTGCCTCATTTAATCCTTTGACGTATCCTAGGAGTTAGGTATTCTCAGCCCCATTTCCAGAAAGCAAACCAAGGTGAAAAAGAGTTAATAATTTGTTCAAAGACATATGGAAAAGTGCCAGGCATGGTGGCTCACGCCTGTAATCCTAGCACTTTGGGAGGCCAAGGCGGGCAGATCACTTGAGGTCAGGAGTTCAAGACCAGCCTGGCCAACAAGGCGAAATGCTGTCTCGACTAAAAATACAAAAATTAGCCAGAAATCACTTGAATCTGGGAGGCGGAAGTTGCAGTAAGCCAAGATCGTGCCACTGCACTCCAGCCTGGGCAACAGAGTGAGACTCCATCTAAAAAAAAAAAAAAAAAGTCATACAGAAAGGGTTGGATGTGGTGGCTCACACCTGTAATCCCAGCACTTTGGGAGGCCAAAGTGAGAGGATCACGTGAAGCTAGGAGTTTGAGACCAGCCTAGGCAACATAGTGAGATCCCCTCTTTAGGGAAAAAAAAAAAATTCTGCCACAAAAGCCACATTCAATAGAAAACATTTTTTTAAAAAAATAGCTAGGCATGGTGGCATGCACCTGTAGTCCCAGCTACACAGCAGGCCAAGGCGGGAGGATTGCTTGAGCACAAGAGTTTGAGGTTACAGTAAGCAATGATCAGCTACTGCATTCCCACCTGGGCAACATCTCTAAAGAAAAATCAAACAAAAAACGACATACAGAAAGTATGCGCTATCTGATTTCAACCCCAAGTTTGTCCTGCTTTACCAGGCTTTCTCCTGGGGCCTGGAGGCAGTGGGGCCAAGGGCAGGGGTGGGGTGTGCAGGGGACAGCAGTGCTCCAGCAATAAGAGTTCTTGAAGAGTACTTCATGAGGGGGTATACACCAATAGAGGGGAAGCCACCAGCCACCAACATGCAGAGGAAAACAACAACAACAACAAAAACAGACCCCAAGGTATCAGGAGAAGGACAGTCTGAAGTCATCTGGCACCCAGCCATTTTGGAAGAACTGATGCTTCTCCACGGGCCTTGTTCCCGTGGTCACCCCACCCCCAAGATATCTTGTGACAGGCTCCTCCAGTAACCAGAGGCAGGTGAGCGCTGCTCTGATCAACAAACACACCGCATGTGGTCTCCAGCTGCAATAAACAAGTGGCTGTGCACAGCCAATGTCCTGTGTGGTGAAGGTGAGAAGAGTGAGGGGGAGCCAAGCTGCAACCCTCAGCCTGAATGTGGTTGGAATTATGAGAGCAGTTGTCAAAGTTAGTACCTTGACATAGTGCAATGTGCATTAAAGTGCACAGTGCAAGGTGACAGAAGAGGGGAGGGGGAGGGGGTGGGGGAAGGGGTGGGGAGAGGAGGGGGAGGGGAGGGGAGAGGAATTGAGGAGCAGAACAGAATAACACAGAAAGAACCAACCAGAGCTGGACCAAAAATCGAGGCCAGGATGTTGTAGAGTCTTGGGTTCAAATTCTGCCTCCTCCTGGGAAGTCCCCTGAGCCTGCTACAAGGTCTTGGCTTGCACCCTATTGCCTCTGGCAGATCCTCCAACCAGCACCAATGAAGCACCTACCCCATGCAGGGTCCTTCAGAAACAAAGAGTGAGATAGCTTCCAGTCTCAGGTGGGGAATATTTAGACTTGTGAACAGGGGCAAAGAAGGAGAGAAACAACCAGGAAGTAACCTCCAATTTGCAGATGGGGAAAATTAAGTTTCATCAGGAGGAAATGACTTTGCCTCAGGCTTCTCTTGGGATCCCAGATTTCTAGAGGATGGGGGGAATGTCCCTGCTTTGGGCATGTTTTTAAGAGCACTGGAACAGCCAGAGCTGCTGCCCACAGTCTGAAGTCAGGAGGGGAACTCCATGTCAGATAAAAGCTTTGGAATCCAGATGGAGTAAGGTTTCATTTTCTCTGCCTGCATTTGGTTTCCTAACATCACAATGTGAGCCTTGGCTAGCAGCCAGCTTAGCTTTGGAAAAGAGTGAATGATGGGGAAAAAAAAAAAAAAAGACTGTGCCAGGAAGGGAGGGGAGGAGAGGGGCTACACTAGGCTGGAGGGGATATGGGCCTGGCTTTAGAGGATTATGCTAGGAAAAGGGGTGCCAGAGGCGTGAAAGCTGATAGGAACAAGCCCTGTGGATCAAGAGGCCCATCAGTGAGCCTGCAGGGTCTATGAACTCCTTACATGCAAAATTACATGTGTCTGTCTGTGTAGGTCTCTACAGATTGGTGGAAGTGTTCACAGCTTTCATGAGATTATTATTTTTTTTTTTTTAAGAAAGGCACACTGCCGCATGCAACACCTCATTTGGATGTGTCTGGAGTCTTGGAAGTTTGACTACCCTACATTCTCCTACAAATGGACCTTGAGAGCTTGTTTGGAGGTTCTAGCAGGGGAGCGCAGCTACTCGTATACCCTTGACCAAAGAACAGTCCTCCTCTATTGGGGAAGGTTGTCCTCTTCTGAAACTACCTTTGCAAAAATTATAGCAGTGAGAAAATTATGACAGTGAAAGAAATCTGACCTAATTGACTCCATCTTGCTTCTAACCTCCCAGCTGCCCTTGTTCATTCCTGGGCATAGGGAGCACTAACTTTGGGAGGATTTAGTTTATAGTTTAACTTTGAAACAAAGATGATAACAGCCCCTCCCTGAGACCAACCCACTCCTTGCCTGGGGACCAGAAAGCCTTTGTAAAACTAACACATTGGCCACAAGATTAGAAATGACGGCTCAGGAGTCATGCAGCCAAAGGCCTCGAGATCATGAACCTCCCCAATTGCTCCTGTAGATAATATTATTATTGTAAAACCTAACATGGGTGTTTGAGGTATTTTTCAGACCCTGCCTTCTGATGGATCAGCTGGCACCACCCAGACCAGTAAACTGGCTCATCTGGTCTTCTGGCCCCCACCCAGGAACCAACTCAGTGCAAGAGGATAGCTTCAACTCCTTATGATTTCATCCCCGACCCAACCAATCAGCATTCCCGCTTCCCGAGCCCCCTGCCCGCCAAACTACCTTTAAAAAACCCTAGCCTCCAAATTTTCAGGGAGGCTGATTTGAGTAATAATAAAACCCCTGTCTCCTGTTTAGCTGGCTCTACTTGTATCAAACTCTTTGTCTATTGCAATTCCTGTGTCTTGATAAACTTGCTGTATCTGGGCAGCGGGCAAGAAGAACCCGTTGGGTGGTTAAACCAAGTGCGCAGCTTTAGGAGGGACGCACATGGAACGGTAAAGAGAGAAGGGGACACAGGCCTAGCCAGCTAGATCAGCCAAATTGAGACAGACTGGGAGTGGGGCTTGGCTGCAGCTCACCAGCACTGAACTTTCTTTCATGAATTCCCACTGATCACAAACCCCACACCACCATCTCACTGACACCATGTTCAACCATGTCTTTTACTTAACAAATTCCAGGAACTGGCCTTAGGAAATCCAAGTATCAAACCAAGGTTGTGGAGTATTCCACCTCAGGAAGGAATGCTGAACAACTGATTTACAGACTTGTTGCCCCAGCTAGACCACCAGGTAGCCCATTACTCAAGGTAACCATTACAACCAAATAGTGCTAACCTGCATACCCTACCCCTCACATGCTTTGCCCAGCCCAGCCTGCATACCCCACCCCTGATGTCAATTCTCATGCTTTGCCTAATTAAAAAGCCCTACCGGCTCTTTGCACAGAGTCAGTCAGGGAATTCTCTCTTGTGCTGCCTCCCTTATGTCCAGGCAAAAGCTCCAATGAAGTCTTGTCTGGGAAAAGTCTTTCGGCCTCATGTCAATTTCTATTGCATGGAGAACGCAAGAAACTATGGTCGGTAACAGAACCAACCCTGGTGATCAATAGGGTGACAGATGTTGCAGCCAGATCACCCTCACATCCTCATCAGGCTTTTTTTTTTTTTTTCTTGAGACAGAGTGTCGCTCTGTGGCCCAGGCTGGAGTGCAATGGCGTGACCTCTGCTCACCGCAACCTCCACCTCCCAGGATCAAGCCATTCGCCTGCCTCGGCCTCCCAAGTAGCTGGGACTACAGGCATGTGCCACCACGCCTGGCTAAATTTTTGTACTTTGAGTAGAGACGGGGTTTCACCATGTTGGCCAGGCTGGTCTCAAACTCGTGACCTCAAGTGATCCTCCTGCCTCGGCTTTCCAAAGTGCTGGGATTACAGGTGTGAGCCACAGCACTGGCTTTTTTTTTTTTTTTTTTTTTTTGAGACAGAGTCTTGCTCTGTCGCCCAGGCTGGAGTGCAGTGGCATGATCTCGGCTCACTGCAACCTCCGTCTCCTGGGTTCCAGAAATTATCCTACCTCAGCCTCCCGAGTAGCTGGGATTACAGCCACCCGCCACCACGCCCAGCTAATTTTTGCATTTTTAGTAGAGACAGGGTTTCACCACATTGGCCAGACTGGTATCGAACTCCTGACCTCGGGTGATCCGCCCGCTTTGGCTTCCCAAAGTGCTGGGATTACAGGCATGAGCCACCGCGCCCGGCCCTTTTTTCTTTTCTTTTCTTTTTTTTTTTTTTGAGACAGGGTCTCACTCTGTCACCCAGGCTAGAGTGCAGTGGCTCAATCTTGGCTCACTGCAACCTTTGCCTCCTGGGCTCAAGCGATCCTCCTGCCTCCCCACTGAGTAGCTGGGACTACAGGCATGCCACCATGCCCAGCTAATTTTTGTATTTTTAGTAGAGATGGGGTTCGCCATGTTGTCCAGGCTGCTCTTCAACTCCTGAGCTCAAGCAATCCACCCACCTCCAACTCCCAAAGTGCTGGGATTACAGGCGTAAGCCACAGTGCCCAGCCCTCATCAGATTCTTTAATGGCTCAATTGCCCCAGACAGGTTAGGTCCAATATCTTACTTTACAGACAAAGAAATTTAGGCCCAGAGAAAGTAAGCAACTTGTTGAAAGTCATCATTAATCACAGCAAGGCAGACATAGAAAGGAAAATACTACATGATCTTACATGTGGAATCTAAAAAAGTCAAATACATGGAGGCAAAGAATAGAACTTTGGCTACCAGTGGCAGGGCTGTAAGAGAAATTGGGAGATTCTGGTCAAAGGGCAAAAAGTTGCAGTTATGTAGAATCGAATGTGTAGCATGAGGACTACAGCAGTTCCCATTTATCTGTGGTGGATGTCCCAAGACCCCCAGTGGATGCCTGAAACCATGGATAGTACCTGTTATATACTATTTTATTATGTGTTTTTTCCTATACTACCTATGATAAACTTTAGTTTATAAATTAGGCTCAGTAAGAGATTAACAACAATAATAACAAAATAGAACAATTATAACAATATACTGTAATAAAAGTTATGTAAATGTTTATGTCTGGAATTTTCCATTTAATATTTTCTGACCATGGTTGACCAAGAGTAACTGAAACCTCAGTAAGCAAAACCAGAATAACCAAAATACAGATAAGGGAGGGCTACTGTAGAGTTAATAATATTGTATTGGATACCGGAAATTTTCTTTTTTTTTTTTTTTTGGAGACTGAGTCTTTCTCTGTTGGCCAGGCTGGAGTACAGTGGCACAGTCTCGGCTCACTGCAACCTCCGTCTCCCTGGCTCAAGCAATTCTGCCTCAGCCTCCCGAGTAGCTGGGATTACAGGCGTGTGCCACTAACCATGCCCGGACAATTTTTGTATTTTTTGTAGAGACCGGGTTTCACCACGTTGGCCAGGCTGGTCTCGAACTCCTGACCTCAGGTGATCCACCCGCCTCAGCCTCCCAAAGTGCTGGGATTACAGGCGTGAGCCACCGCGCCCAGCCGAATACTGGAAATTTTCTAAGAGAAGAGATTTCAAGTGCTCTCACCACATACACAAAAATAGCGGTAACTGTATGAGGAGATGGATATATTAATTTGTTTAACTGGAATAATCATTTCACTATGTATATGTATATCAAAACGTCATGTTGTAAATATGATGTTTATTAAAAATAGTTTTTATTAAAAATAAATAAATAATAAGTCATGAAGCTGGATTTTGAACCTAGAAGTCTGACTCCAGAGAGCCCATTTAATTAAGATGCTACAAGAAGTTAGTATGACTTAATCTGCATTGATATAGCAGCTTATCTAAGACATTTATTGGAAAGTAGGCAGAGAATACAAATAAATAGAAAACACATAGGACACTGTCGCTGTGTTCATGGAGTTAAGACAAGACCAGTGAAAGGATGATTCACAATAAAAGAGTGTAAATTTACTTGTTTATTGTTTATCTCCCTTCTCCCCGTCCCCCTACCCTATATCCAAACAAGCTCCAGATGGCAGGTCTTTGCCTGTCTTACTAGCCATGGTGTCTGCAGAGCGTAGAAGGGTGCCCAGCTCACAGCAATTCTTAGTAAAATCTGTAGAGTGGGTAAGGAATGACTGAGTGGTATGGACCATGCACACTGAAGGGACAGGGAGAGCAGAGACAGCTCCATGATGGTGTATCTCACCTTACGTCTCCTAAGCACATCCATGATCATTATTTCCCTTGATCCTCTCCACCACTGCAGTGGGTCAGACAGGAAGCAGTTCCTGGTTTTCAGGAACATAATGTGCTGGGTGAATAATAATGATAGTTGCCATTCATTGAACACCCACCCTGTACCAGGCACCATACTGTTTACATGGGCTCTCTAATTTGCTTATGGAATCAGTTCATTAGCACCAGAGAAAAAATTGAAGATAGCCCATCAAGCCCAAACCTTGATTTTGCACAGGAGAAAATGAATGGTAGACATGAAATAAAAATTAGATTCTCCTCCCTCCTGTGCTCCTCACAATCCATTAGAATCACTGAAAGGGAAGAAAAATACTCCCATGGCTGGGTGTGGCGGTTCATGCCTACAACCCCAGCACTTTGGGAGGCCAAGGTGGGAGGATTGCTTGAAGCCAGGAGTTCGAGACCAGCCTGGGCAACATAGCAAGATCCCATCTATACGACAAATTTAAAAATTAGCCCAGCATGGTGCAGTGGCTCACGCCTGTAATCCCAGCACTTTGGGAGGCCGAGGTGGGCAGATCATGAGGTCAGGAGATCGAGACCATCCTGGCTAACACAGTGAAACCCCATCTCTACTACAAATACAAAAAATTAGCCGGGCATGGTGGTGGGAGACTGTAGTCCCAGCTATTTGGGAAGCTGAGACAGGAGAATGGCGTGAACCCGGGAGGCGAAGCTTGCAGTGAGCCGAGATCGCGCCACTGCACTCCAGCCTGGGTGACAGAGCCAGACTCCATCTCAAAAAAAAAAAAAAAAAAATTAGCCCAGCATGGTGGTGCACACCTGTAGTCCTTAGCTGCTCAGGAGGCTGAAGTAGGAGGATCGCTTGAACCCTGGAGTTCAAGCCTGCAGGTGATCAGTTAACTGCATTCCAGCCTGGGGAACAGAGTGAGATCCTGTTTCAAACAACAACAACAAAAATACTTTTGACATTCCCACTGCCTATTCCCACTCAGCAATCCCAACATCCCACCATCCTACCCACCCAACCTCTGTCCCACCACCACTTATACACAGATATACGTACACACACACACAGTGGAAAGGTTCGCTGGGACTCAAAGATGAGGAGCATGTCGCTGTTGTCTGCGGGTTTCCTCACCTCTATCCTTAGCTCCTGTCCCAACTCAGCATATCTAGTATCCAGGAAAACACTTTCCTTTCTTCCTTAAAGAGGGAAACTGAAATCAAGGAAAGAAAACAGAAATTGAGCTCACAGAAGAAAACTGAGCCTTGGTAATAGTTTTATGATTTTCTCTAGAAACAATGAAGTGTGGTAGAAAGCCCATGAACCCAGACTATAAGTCACTTAACCACTCTAAGCCTCAACTACCCATCTGTTTTAAAAAAGACTTTTTGTGGCCGGGCGCGGTGGCTCACGCCTGTAATCCCAGCACTTTGGGAGGCCAAGGCGGGCAGATTACGAGGTCAGGAGATTGAGAACATCCTGGCTAACATGGTGAAACCCTGTCTCTACTAAAAACAGAAAAATCTAGCTGGGCGAGGTGGTGGGCGCCTGTAGTTCCAGCTACGCGGGCGGCTGAGGCAGGAGAATGGCGTGAACCCGGGAGGCAGAGCTTGCAGTGAGCCGAGATTGTGCCACTGCACTCCAGCCTGGGCGAAAGTGAGAGACTCCGTCTTAAAAAAAAAAAAAAAAAGGCTTTTTGTAATAAATAAATATTTTTTTGTAACAAATACGAATACATATTGACTGGGGGTTTAGTTTAGACTGTTGAAAAGCATAAATTACAGAATATCCTTAAAGGCACTGACATCTTACTCTTAATGATAACATGATAATAATAGGCAATGTTATTAAGTACTTAACATGCGTCAGACGTTGCACTAAGAGCTTTGCAAGCATGAGAACATTTATAGGGACTTAATTGTCTCGATAGTTGTGTGAGGAACTATTATTATTATTATCACTGATTTATAGGTAAGGAAACTGAGACCAGAGAGATTATTAATAATTTACCTGAGGCCACCTGGACAATAAACAGGAGAAACTGCCGAGTCCCTGCTCTTAACCCACCGCCTTTTCCAGAACCTCTCACATGTTTGGTAACTTACCTTAGACCTAACGGGGCTTTGTGAAGGAAACAATTGGTAGAACATTTTTGTGTGGTTGGATGAATGTTTCTAAAGTGCTTGCAATTTGTTTCTTTAAATGAGATGGCCATACTTTCCAAAATTACGTTTCCATTGTTAATTGATTGAGCTGTAAGGAGGGTATGAGAGGATTGTTGTAAAGAGCTTGGAACAAGGCCAGGCGCAGTGGCTCGCATCTGTAATCCCAGCACTTTGGGAGGCCGAGGTGGGCGGATCGCCTGAGGTCAGGAGTTCGAGACCAGCCTGGCCAACATGGCGAAATCCTGTCTCTACTAAAAATACAAAAATTAGCCAGGCATGGTGGCGGACGCTTGTAATCCCAGCTACTCAGGAGGCAGAAGAATTGCTTGAACCTGGGAGGTGGAGGGTACAGTGAGCCGAGATCGTGCCACTGCACTTCAGCCTGATCAAAAAAGTGACACTCTGTCTCAAAAAAAAAAAAAAAAAAAAAGCTTGGAATGGCACCTGTAACCTAGAAAGGTCTTTTTTTTTTTTTTTTTTTTTTTTGAGACGGAGTCTTGCTCTTTCGCCCAGGCTGGAGTGCAGTGGCGCGATCTCAGCTCACTGCAAGCTCCGCCTCCTGGGTTCACGCCATTCTCCTGCCTCAACCTCTCGAGTAGCTGGGACTACAGGCGCCCGCCACCACGCCCGGCTAATTTTTTCTATTTTTAGTAGAGACGGGGTTTCACCGTGTTAGCTAGGATGGTCTCGATCTCCTGACCTCGTGATCCGCCCGCCTCGGCCTCTCAAAGTCCTGGGATTACAGGTGTGAGCCACCGCGCCTGGCCGAAAGGTCTTGATAACTGTTAACTGACTTACTGATGTGATTCACTGGACAGAGCTTGAGCATGGTCATCAGAAACACCTGCCTTCAAATCCCACTTATCAGCTGCGTGATCTTGAAGATGTTAATTATCTGTTCTGAGGCTTACTTTCCTCTTTGGTCAAATGAGAAGAACAACCACTCTGCCTCAAAGTCATCGTGAGGAAGAAATGTGGCAAAGTCTTCCCATTCTGGGTGATTTAGTCACCGTCAACCACCATGTTACAAGTGTGAGAGTAGCTAACAGAAAATGATCTCAGTAGGGGGTTACATTTTGTTTATTTTGCTTTTGTCACTCTCTTTTTTTTTTTTTTTTTTTTTGAGACGGAGTTTCGCTCTGTCGCCCAGGCTGGAGTGCAGTGGCGCGATCTCGGCTCACTGCAAGCTCCACCTCCCGGGTTCACGCCATTCTCCTGCCTCAGCCTCCTGAGTAGCTGGGACTACAGGCGCCCGCCACCACGCCCGGCTAATTTTTTGTATTTTTAGTAGAGGCGGGGTTTCACTGTGTTAGCCAGGATGGCCTCGATCTCCTGACCTCATGATCCGCCCGCCTCGGCCTCCCAAAGTGCTGGGATTACAGGCGTGAACCACCGCGCCCGGCCGCTTTTGTCACTCTCAATAAACACTTTTCTCTTAAATAATTCAGATGCCGGCCGGGTACGGCCTGTAATCCCAGCATTTTGGGAAGCCAAGGCGGGCGGATCACGAGGGCAGGAGATAGAGACCATCCTGGCTAACATGGTGAAACTCCATTTCTACTAAAAATACAAAAAAATTAGCCAGGCATTCTGGCCAGCTCCTGTAGTCCCAGCTACTTGGGAGGCTGAGGCAGGAGAATGGCGTGAACCTGGGAGGCACAGCTTGCAATGAGCCGAGATTGTGCCACTGCAGTCCAACCTGGGCGACACAGCAAGACTGTCTCAATAATAATAATAATAATAATAATATTATTATTATTATTCAGATGCCAATTTCAGCCTAGCCCGGACCAAATTGTTGCTAATTCTGAACTACTAAAATAGGAATTGATGAAGACTTACTGTATCCAGTTCTTTGGAATGCAGTAAGGACCCTAGCTCTAATCCAGAAGTTCCACATGGGTTCAGTTTTGAGGATACTCCTAACCACGAACCCTTTAATGTTGGGCAGTACTTAATGGACAGAGCACTGAAGTGGGAGTGAGGGCAACTGGGTTCTGATCCCAACTCTGTCATTCATTTGCTGTGTGTTCTTAGCAAGTCACTCCTGCTCACTGGGCCTTGGTTTCCTCTTGTGCAACTGAAGAACATGGAAAAAATGATCCCTAAAGTCCTTTGAAGCTTTCATATTCTGTAACTTTTGTGCCCAAGAAGGCCTTACAGTGAGATGGGATCCCAGTATTTATTGAGTTTCCTCATTCATAAAATGGGGATAATAATAGTAAATGAGTTGACACGCGCTAGGACAGTGGAATAGTGGCTGGCACAGATAAGCCCTCGGTAAATGGTAGCCAATAATGATAGAGTATGCTGTAAGATATCTTTCTCTCCCTCTGCTTCTCAACAAGTCTCTAATCAATTATTCCACTTTATAAACAAGGAAATAGAACTCAAAGACATTAAGCACTTTTCCCAAAGGTCGCTTAGCAAGTAAATGGGAGAGACCCTATGACCAGGATGAAAGCAAGAAATTCCCACAAGAGGACTCATTCCAACTCATATCTTGTGAAAAGGTTCCCAATGCCCAGCTCAGATCAACTGCCTCAATTTACAGTGTGAGTGTGCTCACCTCCTTTGGGGACTGTATATCCAGAGGACCCTCCTCAATAAAACACTTTATAAATAACATCCTTCCATGGATGAGGGAAAGGAGGTAAGATCTGTAATGAATAAGCAGGAACTTTGAAGACTCAGTGACTCAGTGAGTAATAAAGACTCAGTGACTTCTGATCCTGTCCTAACTGCCACTCCTTGTTGTCCCCAAGAAAGCGGCTTCCTGCTCTCTGAGGAGGACCCCTTCCCTGGAAGGTAAAACTAAGGATGTCAGCAGAGAAATTTTTCCACCATTGGTGCTTGGTCAAAGAGGAAACTGATGAGCTCACTCTAGATGAGAGAGCAGTGAGGGAGAGACAGAGACTCGAATTTCCGGAGGCTATTTCAGTTTTCTTTTCCGTTTTGTGCAATTTCACTTATGATACCGGCCAATGCTTGGTTGCTATTTTGGAAACTCCCCTTAGGGGATGCCCCTCAACTGGCCCTATAAAGGGCCAGCCTGAGCTGCAGAGGATTCCTGCAGAGGATCAAGACAGCACGTGGACCTCGCACAGCCTCTCCCACAGGTACCATGAAGGTCTCCGCGGCAGCCCTCGCTGTCATCCTCATTGCTACTGCCCTCTGCGCTCCTGCATCTGCCTCCCCATGTAAGTCCTGGTCTTGACCACCACAGCCCCTGGAGTCAGACTCTGCCTAGAATGCCTACCCCATCCCAATGACTGTCCCACACCTTGCCCTCTTTTCAACTGTAGCATGAATACTGTCTGAACCCCATTATTTACATTCTTATGAATTGTCTTACCCATATGTCCTGTTGTCCTTGAGAGATCTCTATGCTGCTTCATGGCAGGGATCTCCTGATCAGTTTTTCTGTCTTTAAGGTCTACACCCTCAAGGCCTACAGGTGTTCACTGAGTGTGGACTCATGTTGGGGAGATTAGTAGTCATGAGTAGCTCACACTGACTTTGAAACACGTCTGACTCATGCCTGTCAGCAGCAGGGTTTCTAAGAAATTTAACTAAACTAAAACTTCCTGAGACCCTGAGACAGCCATATTCTCTCTCATTTCATAAATGTAAAAAAAATTGGCTTATGAGAGGGTATGTGGCTTTATTAGAGTGAATACATTTAAAAAACAAATAAAAACAAGGAGAGGATAATAAAAGCTAATTAAATGGTTACTATGGATCAGGCATTGTGCTGATTTTGGCACATCTTTTTTTTTTTTTTTTTTTTTTTTGAGATGGAGTCTTCGCTCTGTCGCCCAGGCTGGAGTGCAGCGGCACGATCTCGGCTTACTGCAAGCTCCGTCTCCCGGGTTCATGCCATTCTCCTGCCTCAGCCTCCGGAGTAGCGGGGACTACAGGCACCCGCCACCACACCCTGCTAATGTTTTGTATTTTTTAGTAGAGACGGGGTTTCACCATGTTAGCCAGGATGGTCTCGATCTCTTGACCTCGTGATCCGCCCGCCTCGGCCTCCCAAAGTGCTGGGATTACAGGCGTGAGCCACCGTGCCCAGCCGATTTTTGTACATCTTATTTAATACCCACAACCCTTCTTTGAGTAGCTGTCCTTGATGTACAGATGGGAAAACAGAGAGGTTAAGTAACTTGTCCATGGAGGCACACAGCTAGGAAATGGGGAGACTGGTATTCAAACCTGGTTCCATCTTGCTGGGAAAATAAAAACTACTCCTCTGCTGGGAAGTGGCAACTGATGCTTCCCAACGTCATCTTGAATTAACTGACCAACAAGAAGTTCTCTGTTGAGAGCCCTTCTCACTGAAGCTCAACCAGAGCTCCCAAGATACAATATGCATCTCCAGGCCCTTCTTAGGATCCTGGCTGAGTCATGGAGCCTGAGCTTTGGAAGCCTCCCCACAACCTGCCCTAGGTCTCAAAGAAACCAAGTTCCAAATCCATTGAGGATGCTGGAAGGGCAAGAATGAAGCCAGAGGACCCAGGACAAGCCAGGAGGAGGCCCTGAAAGCCCAGGGCAGAAGGTTATGGTGTAGAGGGATGGATACAAGCTTGGCTCAAGGATTAGATGAGGCATTGGAATCCCCACTCTGCCACTGTTTATCCATGGCCAAGTGACTTTACCTCTCTGAGCCTCAGTTTCTGTCAAGGAAGATAACAGTTCTTTCTAAATAAATCATATAAAGTGTCCAGCACAATGTCAAGTGTGCAGTAGCAATGAATAAAAGGGTCTCCCTCCTTCCTTTCCTCTTCCAGATTCCTCGGACACCACACCCTGCTGCTTTGCCTACATTGCCCGCCCACTGCCCCGTGCCCACATCAAGGAGTATTTCTACACCAGTGGCAAGTGCTCCAACCCAGCAGTCGTGTGAGTCTCAGCCCCATGGAGCCCTCCCAGAGCCTGTTCCCTGAGGAGTCCTCTGAGAGGATGCCCTACCCACTTCCACCTATCCTCCAGCTGCAAGCAGCCACAGCTCCTCCATCTCTAGCCTCAGAGTCCCCTGCTATCATGTAAAAAGACTAGACAAGCTGTCCTTAGAGAATCGTGCCCACTCCAATGGACTATGTTCCCAGGACTCCAATCTTTTTTTTTTTTTTTTTTTTTTTTTTTTTGAGACAGAGTCTCACTCTGTCGCCCAGGCTGGAGTGCACCGGCACGATCTCGGCTCACTGCAAGCTCCACCTCCTGGGTTCATGCCATTCTCCTGCCTCAGCCTCCCGAGTAGCTGGGACTACAGGTGCCCACACCATGCCTGGCTAATTTTTTGTATTTTTAGTAGAGACGGGGTTTCACCGTGTTAGCCAGGATGGTCTCGATCTCCTGCCCTCGTGATCTACCCGCCTCAGCCTCCCAAAGTGCTGGGATTATAGGCATGAGCCACTGTGCCTGGCCTAGGACTCCAATCTTTACTAGTGTGGCCTTTACTTGAAACATGGTCTGGAATGCTCCTATGTGGGGAAGATCAAGTCAGTCATCCCCTTCAGTGAAGAACCCCATATTTCACACAGTCCCCCATATTTCACACCCAATCAAATCCACCTAAACCTCAGAGGAACTAGGGAGAAGAGGTCAGAGGTCAGGGATCTATAACTGTAGTCAAATAAAAAAACAAAAAGCCATCCATCAGAGAAGAAATAAGGAAATGAGATTCACCTTTAAATATGCAAGCTAGTATATTTGGAAAAATATAATAAACCCTACTATATAGGAAATGCCTACTATGTGTCAAATGTCTTATGTGCCTGATCTTTAAATTACACTTAGCTCTGACAAGTATGCATAATTCTCTCCATGTTTCAGGTATTGAAACTAAGATTCAGAGAGGTTTATTGATTTAGCCAAGGCTGCACAGTAAATGAGGGATGAAGTCCATCTCTAGAGCCTCCTCTTTCTACTATAGCAAAGTCATTAGTGACAATTGCTTAAGAAATTTATGGTAGAGACTTAAAAAATGAAAATGGTGCAATTCTGAAGTTTCTTATATAAGAGTGAAGTTTTTGTTTTTGTTTTTGTTTTGAGACAGAGTCTCACTCACTCTGTTGCCCAGGCTGGAGTACAATGGTGCAATCTCAGCTCACTGCATCCTTTGCCTCCCGGGTTCAAGCAATTCTCTTGCCTCAGCCTCCTAAAGTGCTGGGATTACAGGTGTGAGCTACTGTACCCAGCCAGGGTGAAGTTTTTTAATCCAAAAATTTATGACACTGGCAAAGTTAGAGGTACTCAAAGACAGACTTTGGATCTGATGAATCCTTTTAAGTATAATGGTAATATTTAACAATTACTAATTTTATTTCTGAAAACAAATATTTTTCAAAAGAAGAAAATCCTTCCCTGAGCACATACTATTGGCAGACACAGATTACTAAAGCCACTGTCCCAGCCCAACCTTATGGGACTCATAGTCTAATAAGAGGGGCAAGACAGACACAGCAATGACTAGAGTACACAGCAAAAAAAAACATGACAAGGGAAAGAGAGAGGAAACACATTCAGCTTCAGGGATTTACAGGTTTGCTGCAAATGGTGCTGTCTGAGGAGAGATTTGGCCTGGCAGAGAAAAGCCTAGGGAATGGGATATATCAGGAAAAGGGACTGTCCCCCAGGATTCTACTTTGGTTTATGTACAGTCTCCATGTAGGAAAGCACGGAGTGTCAGGAAAATGCAGCAAAAGTGCTAAATGCAGCTGTCAAGTGTAAAATGAGCTAGAACAGGGAAAGCTGAGAAAACAGGAGTCCAGTTTAGCGGCTACTGTTGTTATCCACGTGAGTAGTATTGGAGGCTGAACAGTGCCTGAAGGAAAGGAGAGACAGGAGGTTTCAAAGACAGACACTTTTGAAACCTTCAAAGGTGGAATTTGCAAGCCCTAGCAGGTGATTTGAGCTCAAGAGCAAGGGAGAAAAATGGGGGTTAAGGATGACACTGAGGTTTCCACCTCTGGCTGGAGAAGTGTAGAACCATCTTAAGCCTTGTGAAAGAGCTGTTTAAAGAGGAAAGAGCTAAGGTGCCAGCAAGATAACCCTGTGGATATGTCCAGTGGTGATGGTGAAATGAAGGGTTGGTAGCTGAGGAAAGGGTGTTAGGGCTGAAAATATGACATTCTTTTGTGGGAAAAAGGGGTATCCCAATTTTAAAAAGGCAATGCAGCCTGCCTTGGTGAGTACTGGCTCTAGAGCTAGTTTGCTTTGTTAGGACTCCAGCTATGACACTTGGTGAGTGTAGGCCCTTCAATTAACCTCTCGTAACCCCAATTACCTCCTCTACAAAATAGGGTAATAGAAGTACTTCCCCCACTGGGTCACAGTAAGATGAAAATACTTAGAATATGCTCTGGTACACAGTAGGTGCATAAATGTTAGCTTATTATTATCATTATCATCTAAATGCATTATTGCGTACACAAAAATAACAGGTGAAACTTAAGGAATGAATGAGTGAATTGCATTCATTCACTTAATCATTCAATAAACATCCATTAAGCATCAACTATGTGCCAGGCCCAGGGCCAGAGACTTAGGAAAAAACGCAAAGAAGAGAAAAGGGCAGCAGCTTTGAGAACATCCGCTCTTAAGGGGTAGGCAGAAGGAGGAAGTCAGGCAAGCAGAGGGTGCCAAAAATGGAGGTAAGGAGGGAAGACTTGGCAAGGAGGGGCTGTTCTTTGGTATCACAGTCTGCGGGGAGGTTGGGGGCAGGAAATGGAGGCCTGAGCTACCCTCATCTCAGGTATTGTTTTCCTGGCCTTTTGACTTCCTAGCCACAGGTCAAGGATGCCAAAGAGAGAGGGACAGCAAGTCTGGCAGGATTTCCTGTATGACTCCCGGCTGAACAAGGGCAAGGTCTGTGTCTGAAACTCTCACACCACCCTAAATAAGAACACAAACTCTAGAAAGTATGAGAGGCCAGAATATTGCTTCCGTTCCCTTTTCATCTCTGCACACCGGGGTGGGAGAAAAAGAGATGGTCAAGTGGCTCTGAGTGAGGCTGGGAAAGGGAAACACAAAGAGAAACCAAGAAATCCTCATTCTCACCAGACAATCTAAGGCTTCACTTTGTCTGAAAATATTTAGGCTCAAGAATGTGCAGGATACATCCAAAAATGGTTACGATGGTAAATTTTATGTTATGAATATTTTACCACAATTAAAAAAAAATTTAATGCTGTTAGGCACAGAATCAGGAGAACCACAAGAGCTTAATGACTTTGACAGACACACCAATACATGCATAGAGAAAGAATGAAAATATTAAACCAAAGAATGAATGAGTGATGAAATATTTAAATAAGGTGGGTACATAGCACATCAGAACATATTTGGGAATAATACTTCCATCTAGGGAATACATTTCTTTTTTTTTTTAATGTGATAGTAATCACAAAAGCAAAGGCGGAATTTCTGTGTTGTTTGAGACATATAATTCCTTTGTTATGCTATGTAATCATGTGGCATACTGCATGGGTCAATAAGATTTAAAAAATAAACTTCTATCTGGGTGCGGTGGCTCACGTCTGTGATCCCTGTACTTTGGGAGGCTGAGGCGGGTGGTCATCTGAGGTCAGGAGTTCAAGAACAGCCTGGCCAACATGATGAAACCCTGTATCTACTAAAAATACAAAAACATTAGCTGGGCGTGGTGGCGCACACCTGTAATCCCAGCTACTCAGGAGGCTGAGGCAGGAGAATCGCTTGAACCCGGGAGGCGAAGGTTGCAGTGAGCCAAGATTGTGCCACTGCACTCCAGCCTGGGCAATAAGAGCAAAACACCATCTCAAAAATAAAAAATAAAATAAACTTCTGGCCAGGCATGGTGGCTTACCCCTGTAATACCAGCATTTTAGGGAGATTGAGGCAGGAGGATGGCTTGAGCCCAGGAATTTGAGACCAACCTGGGCAACGTGGTAAGAGCTTGTCTCTACAAAAATAAATTTTTAAAAATTAGCCAAGTGTGGTGGTATACACCTGTGGTCCCAGCTACTCAGGAGGCTAAGGTGGGAGGATCACTTGAGCCCAGGAGGTTGAGGCTGCAGTGAGTTGTGTTCATGTCACTACACTTCAGCCTGGGTGACAGTGAGACCCTGTCTCAAAAATAAAAATAAATAAATAAACTTCTGGATGGCTGCACAATAAATAGTTGATTTTCTTCCTATGAGAATCTCTAAAATAACATATCCAGTATTTGAACTTAAGTAAAATCAGTGTTCAAATTTCAAATAATAATAAGAATAATGTGCAGGAAAAAATCCTAAAGGAAAAGCCAAAATGGGAAAGGGTAAGTAGGCAGGACTGACCCTGAAGTAATGTGTTAATTGGCAGCGCTGCTAGCAAGGCCCAAGGTCTCGCACAGGTAGAATCAGTTTCCCAGCAGACAGGTGAGGCAGGCAGCTGGACTGACCCTCATGACCCCCAACTTTTACATTTCCAGCTTTATCATCAATGACTATAGAGATAAGGCCTCTGATTCTCATAGGCCTCCACATTCTGGCTGGTTACTTGGTGCAAGTGCTTTGACATTGCCATTATCTCATGGCCCTCAACTCCCCTGAGCCACAGTGTCTAGTACCAGGACTTTTAGTCTCATGTTGCTCTCATCCACCCTAAAGGAGAAGTTTCAGAGCATTCTAGTAACAACACATGAATGGTATTTTTCCAAACTTATTCATACATATTATCCTTTGAGCTTCACAGTAATTGTGCAAAGAATTATTTCTATCTACATTTCAGAGCTTAGCAAATAGAAGCAGAGGCTTTAAGTGATTTGCACAAAATGATCAAACTAATAAATGGTGAAATGAAGACTCAAGGTCATGCCCATCTTTCGTTCACCCACCCATGCACAGATGTATTCACTTGTTGAGTGTGCCAGGCACTGCGTTGTCTAAAGCCAAATCAGATGTTCTTTTAAGAACTTCTCGGCCAGGCGCGGTGGCTCATGCCTGTAATCCCAGCACTTTGGGAGGCCAAGGTGGGTGAATCACGAGGTCAGGAGATCGAGACCATCCTGGCTAACACAGTGAAACTCTGTCTCTACTAAAAATACAAAAAATTAGCCAGGCGTGGTGGGGGGCGCCTATAGTCCCAACTACTCAGGAGGCTGAAGCAGGAGAATGGCGTGAACCCGGGAGGTGGAACTTGCAGTGAGCTGAGATCGTGCCACTGCACTCCAGCCTGGGTGACAGTGAGACTCCGTCTCAAAGGAAAAAAAAAAAGAGGCCAGGCGCCGTGGCTCACGCCTGTAATCCCAACACTTTGGGAGGCCAAGGTGGGTGGATCACCTGAGGTTAGGAGTTTGAGACCATCCTGGCCAACATGGTAAAACCCCATCTTTACTAAAAATACAAAAATTAGCTGGGCATGGTGGCGGGCGCCAGTAGTCTCAACTACTTGGGAGACTAAGGCAGGAGAACCGCTTGAACCCGGGAGGCGAAAGTTGCAGTGAGCTGAGATCGTGCCACTTGCACTCCAGCCTGGGTGACAGAGCAAGACTCCATCTCAAAAAATAAAAAAAAAAAGAACTTCTTGTCTCCCACTTATTCAATCATGACTCAGTTCTTGAGGGACACCTTATTCTCTCTGCATCTTAAGCACCCAGCACAAGGCCTGGAGCAGAGGAAGTGCTGAGAAAAGTCTAGTGATTGGCAGGCTCAGCCCTGGGCTTCAAGGCTCCGTATCCTCTTAGCTTTTCAGGCTACATGCATTTGTGTGAAGGCGATTAAAATGCACACAAATTTGTTTCTGGCTTGGAGCCCTTTGATCCAACAGATGAGGAAATGTTCTCTCCTTAAAAGCCACAAATAAAATCTTATGGAGCTCCAAATATGCCCTACCCCGATATCATCATAATTTCCCTTTATACCTTAATCCACTTCATCCCCCAAACTGGCTGTCCCGGTACTGACAAGGTCTCATCCTCCCTCTTCTTCTCCTCTCCCACAGCTTTGTCACCCGAAAGAACCGCCAAGTGTGTGCCAACCCAGAGAAGAAATGGGTTCGGGAGTACATCAACTCTTTGGAGATGAGCTAGGATGGAGAGTCCTTGAACCTGAACTTACACAAATTTGCCTGTTTCTGCTTGCTCTTGTCCTAGCTTGGGAGGCTTCCCCTCACTATCCTACCCCACCCGCTCCTTGAAGGGCCCAGATTCTACCACACAGCAGCAGTTACAAAAACCTTCCCCAGGCTGGACGTGGTGGCTCACGCCTGTAATCCCAGCACTTTGGGAGGCCAAGGTGGGTGGATCACTTGAGGTCAGGAGTTCGAGACCAGCCTGGCCAACATGATGAAACCCCATCTCTACTAAAAATACAAAAAATTAGCCGGGCGTGGTAGCGGGCGCCTGTAGTCCCAGCTACTCGGGAGGCTGAGGCAGGAGAATGGCGTGAACCCGGGAGGCGGAGCTTGCAGTGAGCCGAGATCGCGCCACTGCACTCCAGCCTGGGCGACAGAGCGAGACTCCGTCTCAAAAAAAAAAAAAAAAAAAAAAATACAAAAATTAGCCGGGCGTGGTGGCCCACGCCTGTAATCCCAGCTACTCGGGAGGCTAAGGCAGGAAAATTGTTTGAACCCAGGAGGTGGAGGCTGCAGTGAGCTGAGATTGTGCCACTTCACTCCAGCCTGGGTGACAAAGTGAGACTCCGTCACAACAACAACAACAAAAAGCTTCCCCAACTAAAGCCTAGAAGAGCTTCTGAGGCGCTGCTTTGTCAAAAGGAAGTCTCTAGGTTCTGAGCTCTGGCTTTGCCTTGGCTTTGCCAGGGCTCTGTGACCAGGAAGGAAGTCAGCATGCCTCTAGAGGCAAGGAGGGGAGGAACACTGCACTCTTAAGCTTCCGCCGTCTCAACCCCTCACAGGAGCTTACTGGCAAACATGAAAAATCGGCTTACCATTAAAGTTCTCAATGCAACCATAAAGCTGACTCTTGATTTCCTCCCGGGGAACTGTCCTTCCCCATGAGCATTAGGCACACAGGGGTCCAGGGCTTGCAAACACCTGATGTCCATCCTAGATTGGGATGACAGGGCTGAAAACAAAAGCTCTCCGAGAAGGGGGCATGGGTAGGCACAGCAATTAAACTAATCAGTGACTTACCCACTCTGGAGGGGGAGGGGAGACAATAGTCACTACGTCCCCACCCTTGAGTCCCCAAGTTTATCTTACTGCCTGCCACAGCATCTCTCTGTTTCCTCAGACCTTGGTTGGCCCTTCCTCCCTGGCCTACCCTCTACCTTATCCCCAGTGGATTTCTTTAACACCACTCTTGCCCCTGGAATGAGATTCAATGGCAATTCCAAATGCCTCAGGTCTTTCAAATAAGGACAATGAGGTATTTTGTGTTTTTCCACTAGTACACCAGCTCCTTTAAGGTGGGGTATTTCAACTTTCCCAAGCTTGTCCCTTTATGTAAACATATATTGACAATATGTATGGCCATAACAATAGTTAACATTAATTGAGCACTCACTATGTGCCAGGCATTGGCTTAGCCCCTTACATTCATCATTCTTTTTCATCCTTATAACCCTATAGGGTTAGGTACAGTTATTAGCCCTGTTTATAGTCAGGAAAACCCTTAGCAAGAGAGGGAAATGATTTGCCAAAAGCCCCACAGCTCAAAGAAAAATAAAGCAGGTGGGCCGGGCGCGGTGGCTCACACCTGTAATCCCAGCACTTTGGGAGGCTGAGGCAGGCAGATCACGAGGTCAGGAGATCGAGACCATCCTGGCTAACACGGTGAAACCCCGTCTCTATGAAAAAAAAAAAAAAATTTGCCAGGCGTGGTGGCGGGTGCCTGTAGTCCCAGCTATTCTGGAGGCTGAGGCAGGAGAATGGCGTGAACCTGGGAGGCAGAGCTTGCAGTGAGCCGAGATCACGCCACTGCACTCCAGCCTGGGCGACAGAGTGAGACTCAGTCTCAAAAAAAAAAAAAAAAAGAAAAAAGAAAGAAAGAAAAATAAAGCAGGTGATAAAGCTTTACAATTAAGTTTAAACCCATCAGGTCTAATGCCAAAATCCATGCTTTTTTTTTTCCACCCTTAATTTGCAAAATTCCAAACTTATGGAAATTTGCAAGAATACACCACATACCCTTCATCTAGAGTCAAATATTGACATTTTACCAATTTGCTTTATCTGTGTGTGGGGGCAGTGTGTGGTCAGTATACACATTTTGTTTCTGAACCACTTGAGAGTAAGTTGCAAATGTGATATCATGTCATCCTTAAAAGTGTCAGCATGTATCTACTAATAACAAGGACATTATAAATAACCACAACATGCATACCATACTCAGGAAACTTAACAATGACACAATATACAGTCCATAATCAAATTCCTCATAGTCCAGTAAGGAAGACAGACCTGTGAGCAGATTATACATATGAAAAAGACTTAAAGTAAAGCAAAGTGTACAAAAAACTGTGGTCACACTGTGGAGAGAGGGAATTCTATCACTGAGTGGGTGGATGGGCAGGGGGTAGGAACCCTGAGGGAGAATAAAGACTTCAGAGATGAGAAAACATTTGAGTGGACTTTTTGAAAGATCTGAGTGCCAGTTTAACAGGTTTACAAGTAAAAGACTGACAGGTAGAGGGAACAGCATATGCAAAAGCAAGAGGTATAAAAGGCAGCTCCTTCATCAGGTCAAATAGCGAATGCATGCTGGGCTTAATACCTAGGTGAAGGGTTGAGAGGTACAGCAAACCACCATGACACACATTTACCATTTATCTATGTAACAAACCTGCACGTTCTGCACATGTATCCTGGAACATAAAGTAAAATAAAATAAAAAGTTGAAAGAAAATAAAAGAAAAAGGCAGCTCCTTACCACACAGATAAGAGTTCAGTCTTTTGCTGCCAAAGACGGGGAGAGGGTATGTATAAAAGGGACTTTCTGGGGCCAGGCGCAGTGGCTCACATCTGTAATCCCAGCATTTTGGGAGGCCAAGGTGGGCAGATTACCTGAGGTCAGAAGTTTGAGAACAGCCTGGCCAACATGGTGAAACCCCGTCTCTTCTAAAAATACAAAAATTAGCCTGGCATGGTGGCATGCACCTGTTGTCCCAGCTACTTGGGAGGCTGACGCAGGAGAATCGCTTGAACCTGGGAGGCGGAGACTGCAGTGAGCCAAGATCATGCCACTGCACTCCAGCCTGGGCGACAGAATGAGACTCCCTCCCAAACAAACAAACAAACAAATAAATAAATAAAGGGACTTTCCCATCCCTGCCATTTTCCCAGTGAATAATCCTAAGAACAGGTCTTGATCCTAACATGGGCTTACTTGAGCTTGACAGTTCACCAGATGGTTTGATTTTCTTCTCCAGTTTATGCCTCACCACAGGCCCTCTAGTTAAGCCAGACAGGAATGACTTTCCTACTCGTCCAGTGAGCAAACTGAAGCTCAGAAAATAAAGTGACTAGCTCAAGTCCAGGCCAGTAGATACCACAGCTGGGGCTCAGAAGTGAAACCTGAGTGTTCTATTTACCAAAGTAACCTGGTCGCTTAGCACTTGGAAGCTTCTACCTCCAGAAGTCCAGACACCTCCCCTGTACCTCTCGTACCACAGAGGACAGGTCTCCTCCAGCTGTGCCCCCACTCCCCTAAAAGCCTTGTATTCCCCCCTGCAGGTTCCCTCTGGCCCCACCAGGAGAAGAAGATGGCCTATGAAAAATCAACTGATATCTCTGATGTCTCCAGGTCAATGTTCCTGTACCCATGGCTGGAATATCCAGACAAGACCAAAGGTGAGGCTGGGATGGACAGAAATGGAGCCAAGAGCAGGGGACTGAAAAAGAAATGCTACCTGGCTCTCACTCCCAGGCAAGGGTCTAGGTGAGTTCAGCAAACCCTTGGGAAACATCAGGGCAGGCCCTTGGACACTTTGATGGCTCTGCACAGTCCTCAAGGTCTCAGGCTCCTCAGCAGGGCCTACAGGGATCTCTAAGATGGGACACCTGTGTGTCTCCCCAGCTTCTGCTCCCACACCTGTACCCTGCTCTTTACCCTCAATTCTTGCACCTCCAAATCTTTGCATAGGGTGTTCCCTGTGTCTAATGCTCTTCCCCCTTATCTACCTGGCTAGTTCCTGTTTGTATTGAAGACTCAGCTTGTGGAGTTTACTCTAGGAAACCTTCCCTTATCCTCCCAGCCAGGTTAGGTACCCCTCATGTTTACCACCTGTGTCTACATCTATCTTCACATTTGTTTCCCTCTGTTAATCACTAAGAAACACTTCTGTCTCTCCAGCTAGAACAGTGGTCCTCAAAGCGTGATCCCATGACCAGCAGCATCAGCATCTTGTTAGAAATGCAAATTCTCGACTGGGCACGGTGGTTCACGCCTCTAATCCCAGCACTTTGGGAGGCCAAAGCGGGCGGATCACTTGAGACCAGGAATTCCAGACCAGCCTGGCCAAGATGGTGAAACCCCATCTCTACTAAAAATACAAAAATTAGCTGGGTGTGGTGGCGGGCACCTATAATCCCAGCTACTTGGGAGGCTGAGGTACGAGAACCACTTGAACCTAGGAGGTAGAGGTTGACCTGAGCCAAGATTGTGACACTGCACTCCAGCAGCCCAGGCAAGAGAGCAAGACTCTGTCTCAATAAAAACAAAACAAAACAAAACAAAAAACAGGAAATGCAAATTCTCAGACCCCACCCTTAATCTAGTGAATCAGATACTGTGGGTATGAGTCCCAGAAATCTGTGTTTTAACAAACTCTCCAAGTGATTTTTTTTTTCCTAATTGAGGGTTAGGGGGCAGTCTCACTTTGTTGCCCAGATTGGTCTTGAACTCCTTGGCTCAAGCAATCTGCCCGCTTTGGCCTTACTTATCTCCCCAGTGCCTGGTGAAATATCTGGTACTAGTAGTCACTAAATGCTGAATAAATGAATGCCTGAATGTATTAATTCTTTAACCTACCTTTGCAACTGCTATCTCTTTTTTTTTTTTTTTTTTTTTTTTTTTTGAGTCTTGCTCTGTTACCCAGGCTGGAGTACAGTGGCATGATCTCGGCTCCCTGCAACCTTCACCTCCCAGGTTGAAGAGACTCTCCTGCCTCAGCCTCTCAAGTAGCTGGGACTATAGGCATGCACCACCACCCCTGGCAAATTTTTATTTTATTTATTTATTTTTTGAGACGGAGTCTCGCTCTGTCGCTCTGTCGCCCAAGCTGGAGTGCAGTGATGCGATCTCAGCAGGCTCCGCCTCCCGGGTTCACACCATTCTCCTGCCTCAGCCTCCTGAGTAGCTGGGACTACAGGCACCCACCACCACACATGGCTAATTTTTTTTTTTTTTTGTATTTTTAGTGGAGACGGGGTTTCACCATGTTAGCCAGTATGGTCCCAATCTCCTGACCTCGTGATCCGCCCGTCTCGGCCTCCCAAAGTGCTGGGATTACAGGCGTGAGCCACTGCGCCTGGCTGGCTAATGTTTTTTTTGTATTTTTAGTAGAGATGGGGTTTCACCATGTTGGCTAGGCTGGTCTCGAACTCCTGACCTCAGGTGATCTGCCTGCCTTGGCTTCCCAAAGTGCTGGGATTACAGGCAGAAGCCACCAAGCCTGGCCTGCAACTGCTATCTCATTTGAACCACACACATACTCTTATCCCTCTTGCCAGAACTCAGAAAAGCCATGGCTCCTGTTCATCTGCCCTTGTCCTGCTACCAGGTAAGACCCCTTACTTTTGCTACCCTGGGAGCTGTATCAAAGTTAGGAGGGGCAGCAAACTATCCCTTCCCATTAAAGCCAGCTCACAGAACCCTGACATTTACCCCTGGGGCTGCCATTAACTGTGATCTTGAACAGTCACTTTCCCCCTCAGAGCCTCAGGAGCTTCCTGTGTCCCAGGCTAACCCCTGTCCACCTCCCTTTGTAGAGTTGTTATGAAACAAAGTCTATGAGGCCTTGGCTATGCAGAAAGTGCTTACTAATGGAAGTCATTTTTATTAGTTAACACAGGGACAGTTAGCAACCCTCACAGTTTGGGTTGCCAGATGAAATACAGAATGCCCAATTAAATTTGAATTTTGGATAAACAACAAATGGTGTTTTAGTACAAATGTGTCTCAAATATTTCATTCATTACCTAAAATCCAAATTTAACTTGACATCCTTGTATTTTTTTGTTTGGGAGCGGGGAGCTTTTTTTTTTTTCTTCCTAAATCTGCAACCCTACTCACTGTGAGTCATGCTCCATTTTTTGAACTTATGCCAATCACTTGAGAACCCTTATTATGATCTCTTCAGTACAAAGTTGGGAACCACAGCTGAAGCCCCTCTTCCCTGTTGCCCAGATCTGTTGCAAAGAGTGAAAGAAAGGCTTAAGAAGAGACAGGGATGAATCCTAGCCAAATCTTCAGAGAAAGCCCCTGATCCACTCAAAATCCTCCATTACAGTGACAGCGGTAGTTTCACAATTGTTTAAGTGATAGATTATTTTAAGAAAGTCTGTTTCCCTGCTAAACTGTTAAGTTCCATGAGGGCAGGGATAACTGCAACCCTAGCACCCAGCACAGTATCTGGCACATAGTTGGTACTCAAATAAATATCTGAATGAGCAATAGTCTGTCTTTTCCCCACCTTTATCCCACATCCTCCCCACACCTTGCCTTTTCATTTCCCTACTCAAGTGTCATTTTCAAAGTGCTTTGAGATCCTCAACTAACCAAACTATGTATTCAAATCGATTTACAGATCACCAGTGGCTTCACAATCTGGATCTCTCTTTTGATCTTTACAACAACCTTGGTAGGGACACAGAACAAGGATTATTAGCTTTGTTTTACAGATAAGAAGACTGAGACTTTGATAGGATGAAGTAACTTGCCCAAGTTATGCAAGGGGTTAGGTGGTAGCTGTGACTCCAGCTCAGATGAGAGGCTAGAGGGCATCTGTTTCACCCTGCCCTTCCCTCCCTTTACCCCCTCCTCCCCATACCCTCACAAGTAAGGGCCTAGGGGACCCCTCTGACTGTTCTGCCACTTGCAACCCCCAGATGCCAAAGGAAGAGTTTCCCCCAAGTCCAGAGTGCTGGAGGCAGCATCCGAGCAAGCCAAACTCAGTCCCGTACTGCTACTTCAAGAAACCTGAGATCTACACGCACTGGCACGACCTGTATGATCAGCGAGAGGAAAGGGAGGCTGAGAAGATGTTGAGGAAAATGAGAGATGACTGTAGGTGTGTTTTGCTGGCCTCCATATTCTTCTCACCCTCCACATCTTCTAGGAAAGTGAGGAAGGGCAAGGAAGGGGTGGGCCAGGGAGTAAGGCAAGTCAGCCTACAGGTCCCAGAGAGGAGCTTAGGGCGGCTCGGCTTGGCTCAGCTCCATCTGGCTCGGCCGGCTCGGCTCGGCTCGGCTCTGGTGGATATCACTGAGTCCTCATCTGTCTTCCTCTGGTCCCATATCTGAGCTGGGCTGTAGCCCTGTGGCAGAAGTGAGGTTGCAACCTGAGGAGGGAAGGTACAAAGGGACCAAAGCTGCCTATGCAATTTCTCACACAGGTACATCAAAGAGGTACATCAAACCCACATCAAAATGTTCCATCTCCCAATGAGCAAGCTGACTATAAAATCTGAGATGCGATCCAGGCCCTTAGAGCCTACCCAGGACCCCCTGAAGTGGCAAAGATTAAGGGTCAGGACCATGTGGGAGAGGACGTGGGGGACTCCCTCCCTGTGGGTGCCCTTCCCTTGGGCTCACACCATCCTTCAGCCCTCAGTCCTTGCCTGAAAAACAGAGGTAGGGTAGGAAAAGGGATTGGATTGGATGAGCTCCCTTTAGTTTGAAATTCTTTATTTTTCTCTGTCTTCCTTTCCACTGGCTGCCTTGGATGGGCAGGAACTCACAAAAAGCCTGGAATCTCCCAGAGAGGATGAGCAGTTCTATGCAGCACAGGTGAGAAGAGGCAAGGATAGAGGAGGGTGGTTACAGCCAGGAGTTGGCCAAGCTGGAAAGTAAAAAGCTGCTTGACGTGATGGTGGTTGTGGGGATGGTATTCCAAGCACAAACTCCAGCTGTATCCAGAGAATGGTAACTCCTGGGGATGATGTCCAAGTTTCCTTCTCTTTCCTCCATCCCTCTTCCTGCAGGCTCTGGGATGCTTACGCATCAGTGACAAGTTTGTCATGGAGGCACTACAGCAGGTGGTGAGTCTGAGAACTGCTGGAGTTCAGGAAAGAAGGAAACAGGGTCTGAGATGTGTGGCATGTGGGCACAGACGAGGCTCCCCGGGGTGCTAGGATGGCGGGTCAGATCCAGTAAGGACACAGCCACCACTGTGCAGCATGACCCATCCCATGTCCTTGGCCTCTTCGAAGAGCAGCTGGATCTAAAAGATAGGGAAGGAAGAATCTGAAGATCTCCCTGGTCTAACCGAAAAGACATTGGACTGAAAAGCCAGGAAAGTCTGAAAGCCAGAACAGAGTACATTCTCTGCCTTTACTGGAAACACCGCATATGTATACATCAGCTTACCACTGGGAACATGCATTCTTTATATCCATAATCTCATTTAACTCTTACAACAACACCAGGAATTAGTATCTGTATTTCTCTAAATGAGAAAATGAAAGCTCTGAGAGACCAAGGGACTTGCCCAGGGCCAAGTGGCTACAAGATACCAGATAGAGATTTGAACAAACATCTAACTCCCAACTGTATTGTTCCTTCCATTGAACCATTTTGGCTGTATTCTGTATTTGAGAATAGATAGGTCACTTTCTAGGCTTCAGTTTCCTCTTTTGTAAAATGAGAAGTTAAGCTGAGACAATCCCTAAAGCTCTGACATTCCATCACCTTATTATATGTTCCTACCACCCGCCTCTTAAATTAGGCCCAAACTGGTCCAGAGAAAGTGAAGTACGAGGCCTACCGAACCCTGGCCATCCTGGGTGAGTATGTCTTCTCCCTTGGTGGGGAGTTGAGAAAGTGCAACCACTTTCTCCTTTGGGTAAGGACAAATGGGTGAGGAGCATACACTTGCTCCAACCTACCATTTGGCAAGGCCTGAGAACTATCCCAGTTATGTTGAACCAAGAGAGGAAGGTGGGGTGAAAAGGGAAAAGAGATTAGAAAGAGGGAGAGGGAGGGCTCTTGGAATAGTGTTCACATTCAGCCAGCTGCCCTGGTATCCTGGGAAGATGAGCAACACTGTGGTACCTAGGACTTGGAACTTAGGTCTCGATGGCACAGTGGAGTTCAATGGGTCCTTGCAGAGAGGGGCAGTACCAGAGGCTCTGCCCTGACTTGAGGCCCCTCCCTGTCCAGGTTGCCTGAATAAGCATGTGATCCGGGCTCTCATCAAACAGCTGAAGGAGAAAAATGAGGGTCAAAGGATGGAGACTTTGACGGGGCTACGAATGGCTCTTAACTCCTGGGCTGCTGTCTCTAAAGACAAGGTGATTGGGAGGACAGTCTTTAATTGGGGGCAAAGCTGGACAAGGTAATTGATAGGTTTAGCTTGGGGTTGGGTGAGGAAGAAGGTAACCTAGCACAGCTTTGATAGAGGAAGACACTGTCCTTGAGGAGTTCCCTCGGGAGTTGAATAGAAGCATATGGCTTGGCCACTTACTAGTCCATTTCTGAAAAGCCAAATTTCAGAGCTGCAGTTTGTATTTAAAATGGAGAATGGAGACAGTACAGATGGTTCCTGATTTAGATGGTTTGACTTACGATTTTTCGACTTTACAATGGTGCAAAAACAACACACAGTCAGTACACTCCTTAACTTACTATGGGCATGGCATTACAACCTCATAAACCCATCCATGGGACGTCATTGTAAATAGAGGAGCATCTGTAATTGTCTGATAGTACTGTTGAGAGGACTAAATGAGATAATGTATGTAAAACACCTAGTACAATGCCTATGCTCTTTAAATGGTAACCATCATTATTATCATCATCTCTAAAATAACTTATTATGGTAAAACCTGTCAAGAAGGGACGGGGCCCAAGAGAGTCCTCAGACCCTACTGTTTTTTTCTCCTTTAGTGTTCTCTTACTTTGACCCCATCATTGCTCTATGTAAAAGAAAATCCATCATTCATCCATTTATTCAGCAAATAGATAATAAACAGCTATCATGTGCCAGGCACTGTCCTAGGCCCTTGGGATATAGCAGTGAACCAGACAGGCAAAGATCTCTGCGCTTATGGAGGAGGTTACATTCTAGTGGGGGAGACACATAATAACCAATAAATTTATTTTTAGAAAATTAGGCCAGGCGTGGTGGCTCACAAATCCCAGCACGTTGAGAGGCTGAGGCAGATGTTCACTTGAGGTCAGGAGTTCAAGACCAGCCTGACCAACATGGTGAAACTCTGTCTCTACTAAAAATAAAAAATAAAAATAAATAAATAAATAAAAACTTAGCCAGGTGTGGTGACCCACACCTGTAATCCCAGCTACTTGGGAGGCTGAGGCAGAAATGCTTGAACCCAGGAGGCAGAGGTTGCAGTGAGCCAAGATCGCGCCATTGCACTCCAGCCTGGGCAACGAGAGCAAAACTCCATTTCAAAAAAAAAAAACCAAGAAAAAGAAAATTATGTAGTATGTTAGAGGTGACAGGTACAATGGAAACAATTACATAGCAGGGTAAGAGTGATCAGGTGTGACAAGTAGGAGTAGGGATGGGTTGCAATGTTAAATACAGTAGACAGGGAAGGCCTCATTTAGAAGGTACATTTGAGCAAAGACATAAAGAAAGTGAGTGGGTTAGCCTTACAGATATCTGAGAGAAGACATTCCAGGCAGAAGGACCAATGCAAAGGGAGGAGTATGTTTGGCATGGTTAAGAAAGCAAAGGGGACCAACACAGGTTCAACATGCGTATCAAGAAGTGTTATTTCTCTTCGAGGCCCATCTACCCCAGCCATGACATGATGTTTGTCCGCAACGACTGCAAGGTGTTCAGATTTTGTAAATCTAAGTGTCATAGAAACTTTAAAAAGAAGCGCAATCCTCGCAAAGTTAGGTGGACCAAAGCATTCCGGAAAGCAGCTGGTAAAGAGCTTACAGTGGATAATTCATTTGAATTTTAAAAACATAGAAATGAACCTATCAAATACTAGCAAGAGCTATGGAATAAAACTATTGACGCAATGAAGAGAGTTGAAGAGATCAAACAGAAACGTCAAGCTAAATTTATAACGAACAGATTGTAGAAAAATAAAGAGCTACAGAAAGTTCAGGATATCAAAGAAGTCAAGCAAAACATCCATCTTATCCGAGCCCCTCTTGCAGGCAAAGGGAAGCAGTTGGAAGAGAAAATGGTACAACAGTTACAAGAGGATGTGGACAAGAGGATGCTTCTTTAAAATCTCTGTAACCATTTCTTTTTTTTTTTGAGACCGAATCTCGCTCTGTCACCCAAGCTGGAGTGCAGTGGCATGATCTCGGCTCACTGCAACCTCGGCCTCCCGGATTCAAGCAATTCTCCTGCCTCAGCCTCCCAGGTAGCTGGGATTACAGGCATGTGCCACCACGCCCGGCTAATTTTTTTGTATTTTTAATAGAGACGAGGTTTCACCATATTGGCCAGGCTGGTCTCGAACTCCTGATCTTGTGATTCACCCACCTCGACCTCCCAAAAATAAATAAATAGGCCGGGCATGGTGGTTCACACCTGTAATCCCAGCACTTTGGGAGGCTGAGGCGAGTGGATCACGAGGTCAGGAGATTGAGACCATCCTGGCTAACATGGTGAAACCCGGTCTCTACTAAAAATACAAAAAATTAGCTGGGTGTGCTGGCGGGCGCCTGTAGTCCCAGCTACTTGGCAGGCTGAGGCAGGAGAATGGCGTGAAACCGGGAGACGGAGCTTGCAGTGAGCCGAGATCGTGCCACTGCACTCCAGCCTGGGCAACAGAGCGAGACTCCATCTCAAAATAAATAAATAAATAAATAAATAAAATAAATAAATAAATAAATAAATAAATAAAAATAAGGACTTTGAAGAGAGTGTGAAAAATAGCAAAGTTCTTGTTTTTTTTTTTTTTTTGAGACGGAGTCTTGCTGTGTCACCCAGGCTGGAGTGCAGTGGTGCAGTCTCGGCTCACTGCAAGCTCCACCTCCCAGGTTCATGCCATTCTCCTGCTTCAGCCTCCCGAGTAGCTGGGACTACAGGCGGCTGCCACTGCGCCCAGCTAATTTTTTTTTTTTTTGTATTTTTAGTAGAGATGGGGTTTCACTGTGGTCTCGATCTCCTGACCTCATGATCCGCCCGCCTTGGCCTCCCAAAGTGCTGGGATTACAGGCGTAAGCCACCGTGCCCGGCCGAAAAATAGCAATGTTCTTAAATGATGTCCTTAAATAGGCGAGAAGAGATAAGGTCTAAGACACAAGTGGAGACTGGCCTTAGATAGATGGTTATAGTCTATAGTTAACAAGTAGAAAGGAAGGGTGTATGGGTGCAAGTGTTGGAAGCTGGACAAAAGTAGTCATAGGAGTCTATGGAACTTCCTTTCTAGTTGCTTTGATTTTCTCACTGAAGTAGAAAGCAAGGTCACTAGCCAAGAGTAAGAATAGAGGAAGAAGTGTTCCAGAAAGGGTGTGAATTGGAAGAGTGAGAAAGAGAACTGCCCAGGGAAAAACAGTATGATTACCAGACAGCATTAAGGGTCTATATGAGGTCTGTGCTCACACATTTTAACAAGATCATTCGCTGCAATAGTGTTTTTCTCCAGGAAGTGCTGGCACAAAGTAGAGAGTTGGACTGTAGTTCTGTCCAGGGAGTAGAATGAAGCAAGAGTGGGTAAGGGAGCTGAGGGTGAGGAAGGGGAGTGATTACAGCAGGATCATGGAATTTAAGCTGGGTCAAGAGGGACAGAGGTGTGGAGGAGTGCAAAGGTGGCAGGCTCAATGGATTATTTAGTCCCTTGTGGAGTCAAACAATTCTTGGACTCGGGAGCTGGAAAAAGAGGTGATGGTCAGAGAGTGGGATCCATGAAATGGAGATTATGGAGAAGCTGCATTTGTGGGTAATGATCAGGTCTCTCAGTGGGATTAGTGGCTGAGGCAGAGAAGAGGACAAGGATATTGGAGGAGAGGTATGGGATCACTCACATGTATATTCTTTTAAATGACAGGAATTAACACAGCAGAAGTGTTGAAGAGAGTAACAGTGATCCATCCATGAGATAGTTATAGAGAAATGAGATCTGACCTAGAAGCAAGTAGGTGACAGCAAGAATAAGTTAATTGGTTGAAATAATCTGATGCACAAGATTCATTTTAGGGAGGAAGGTGAATATAGTCTGGAAGCACAAAGCCTGGCATAAAGTACATAGCCCCTCCCCTTAGCCATTTTGTCTCCCTCACAGAGGACTCAAGTCGGGGATGAGGGCAAGCTGGTGCCTGTACTACAGACACTGATCAAGAAGTCGTCCAGTGAAGCATCTCTGGAGGCAGCCCTGTGCCTGGGTTTCCTGAGGCCTTGCAGCAACATGGTCCAAGAGTTCTTGTTGCAGTGCCTGTGCCAAGGACTCAAGACCCAGCGGATGAAGGTGTGAGGGGCAGGAGGCTGGGATCCCTGGGGAAACAGAAGCCACTGCTGAATTGTGTGTGGTCTGGATCCTGCCATCCTGGTGGTGGAGCACTGCAGGATCCTCTGTGTGCTTATGACTATGTCCATGTATGAGTATGGGGTCATATGGACATATAAGCGTCCATGTGTCTGTGTATATTTGATAGGTGTGGGTGTTCATTTATGTATATGCACACATGAACTTCTGTGGTCAAGAGGCGAAGAGGCAGAAAAAAGGACCTTAGCTGTTCCTCACCAGTTCTAGGCTCAGACCTCAAGTCCACCTGGCCACACAGATGCCTCTAGGCCCTGTACACCCTGCCCTACCCTGCCCCCTCATAGGCACTTAGGATGCTGGTCAAGGTGATGCACGTGCACTCAGCCCCAGTCATCAAGGCCATCCTAGACCAGCTGTGTTCTTCCAGTGTCCTTGAGGTAAGCTCTGGACTGCCTGAACCCTTCCTTTCCCGGCACTAGGATAGGGTTAGGGGATGAAGAAGGGAATCCATCTTTCACACCTCCCCACTAACCCTCACCCCCGACCTCAGGACCGCTTTGAAGCCACCCAAATGCTCAAGACCATTGGGCTGGAACAGATCCAGGCACAGGGGCTAGAGGAACTCACATTTAACCTGCTCAGGAGGAAGACGCATAATGAACCCTTCCTTGTAAGTGAGACCAAAGCTCCCAAGCCCAGAGACACCCAAACCTTTCTCTTTTCCGTGTTCTGGAGACCTCCCCTGGCCTCCACCGAAGTATCACATTCATCCTGACCTACTCCTGTTCAACTAATGCAGCCCAGGTTTTTATATCACCTTGCCTTTGCTCAGGCAGTTCACTCAGGTTAAAATGATCTGAGTCATCCTTCCTTCTATAAGGTAAAAAACTGTCTCATACTATTCACTCGCACCAGTAAGTAATCCGTCTCCCCTTCTGCCTACTAAAAATACTGTATTGCTCCTTCAAGACCGATCCCAACGATACCTCCTATGGGAAGCTTTCCCAAATCACCAATCAGCATTAACCCTACCTTCCTCTATGTTCCCTTGCTTTTATATTTACTATAGCTTGTTATAAAACTAGGTGTTATATTTTTTTTCTTTTTTTTTGAGACGGAGTCTTGCTCTGTTGCCCAGGCTGGAGTGCAGTGGCGCGATCTTGGCTCACTGCAAGCTCTGCCTCCTGGGTTCACGCCATTCTCCTGCCTCAGCCTCCCGAGTAGCTGGGACTACAGGCGCCCGCAACCACGCCTAGCTAATTTTTTGCATTTTTAGTAGAGACGGGGTTTCATCGTGTTAGCCAGGATGGGCTCGATCTCCTGACCTCGTGATCTGCCCACCTCGGCCTCCCAAAGTGCTGGGATTACAGGCGTGAGCCACTGCGCCCGGCCCTAGGTGTTATATTTCTAAAGACATTTTTAAAAAATATAAATCAGATTGTGCCTTCTCTGCATAAAACTTTCTATTGGCTCCCAATGCCCTGTGGATGGCTTATGCTGCTTCCACAGCTCAAGCCTGCTTGCCTCTCTAGCTTCATCTCTCACCATTCTCCCCACCAGAACCATGTACCAACTATGCTTACGACAACCATGTCCTGATTTATACCTGTTGTCCCAGGGTAATTAGAGCACTCAGAGTGCTTGGAAGAGTCCATTTGGTCACCTCTCTGAGTTGAACTATTTTCAGCTCCCCATCCTCTCTGCACCTTCTCCTGCCTCCAGATTTTTTAATATGCTCTCCCCTCTGCTCTTAAAATCTGACCAACCCCAACCCTCTGCCTGGTTAACTCCCACTCACCTTCCAAGTTTCATTCAGCTCGGGCATCACCTCTTCCAGGAAGTCTTCCTGGCACCCAAGACTGAGTTAGGAGACCCTCCTATGTGTACCCCTACACAGTATTATAATTGCCTATTTACCTGTCTGCTTCCTCCACCAGACTATGAGCTCCTTAAGGCAGGGACTCTACATAGCACAAAGGAAATGTTCAGTAAAGATTTGAGAGGCTCTTAAGTGTACACCCTTGCATTCCCTCTCTCTGTTGACTCATTTTGATCCCTCTGCAGGCTGTGAGGCAGGCTGTGGCTCAAACTGTGGAAGAGCTCAAGTTGAAGCCTACGATGATGAACTTGGTGGAGGCGTGAGTGGCCTGGGAGCTGCCAGGGCCAAATCCTAGGCTGTGGGAAGGGGGCAGAGGGTCAGTGAGAGGGTCAGTGGGAAGGGGTCAGAGGGTCAGTGAGAGCTGAGAACCTACAGTGCAGCAGGTCCTCAGTTCTCCCTTGCCCATGCCCCTAACCAAGTAACTCTTTGACCCCTGAGCTTTTGTTCATCTGTAAAGAAAGAGTAATAATACCTACCAAGGTTAGGTATAGGTTGCTATAAAGCTCAAATTATGACATGAAAAGAACTTTTTTTAAAAAGATAAAATTTCTGGACAGTCCTGATCATCATTCAGTGCCTCCTGGCAAACTGTGGTGCCTCTTTTTCCTCTCCCTGCCCCTTTTCTGATCCAAGAAACAAGAGAAGGAAATGAATGAAATTAGCATCACTTTGCCTAATTCGCTCTGGACCTGAAAAGCAACCAGCCTCCCTTCCACTTCCCCTACTCCTTAATTCAACTATAACATACTCACTCCCTTCTACACAGACAACTGATGAACCCAGATGCCACTGCACGCCAGGAAGCAGTCATCTCTTTGGTAAGGCAGGCTCTGCTTCTCTGACCCAATTCCTGTGTTGATGGCAGGGGGAGTAGGCGATTGAGCAGAGTCACTGAGGGGAATAAAGGCCTGTAAACTTCGGGGAAGTTGTTTATTTTAGAATTCCAGCCCTACCGAACCTTTTCTTCAGGGTTGGGGGTAGGTGGGCTAAGGGACAGAAGATTGATGTGAGGGGTGTTGCTTAGATGCTGCAGAAATTGTCTTCAGTCTTCCTAGCAAATAATGGGCATTAAAGTCCCATGCAGTGGTTCCAAATGGCAAGGAAAGGAGTATCTCAGCTGGGAAACCCTATCTCCCCCCTCTCTATGCTGCAGAGTCTCACAAAGGGGCTAGAATGGGAAAGAGTATAAGGTGTCTTCCTGGGGCTGGCTACATAGGCACTCTCACTCTGCCTCTGCCAGGGTGTCCTGGGGATCCGCAGTCCACAAGTGTTCCACTTGCTCCTGGACTTACTAGATGCAGAAAACCACCAGGCTGTGAAGAAGAGTGTAAGTAAGGCGTTCCTGCCCACTTCTTCCTCTTCTCTAGCCCTCCTTCAAGCTTCTCCCACCTATCTCACCACCATTTGCTCCTTGTCAGGAGGAGAGGGTCATGAGCCCTTAGACACTGTCCCTTGACCTTGTTCCTTGGGGCCACAGTGCCCTGTGGCTAGAATTCCCCCCTACTTTGGGTGCCCCCTCTCTGGAGCCTCCCAGCCTGAACCCAAAGTGAGCCAGCACTAGGACCTTTGTTTCAATGCAGCTACAAGAAACATTAATCCTTTGTGCCTCAATTGATCCCTGGATCCAAAACAAGCTGAAAAACAAGGTTCTCTCTGTATATGAGGCACCTAAGACCAATGTGAAGGCAGAGCCCACAAGGTTCCAGAAAGAGCCTGAGAACCCAGAAGAGTTAACTATTCAAGACTTTCGACTTGCAAAGCTGAACCCCTTGTTTATTGCAAAGTCCATCACCAAAGTAGGCCAAAAGAAAACGCCTGCTTTCCCACCGTGCTGCTCGAAACCACGAAAACATAGGCCACAGGTCATAGGGCCCTGGCAGCCAAGGATCAAGAAACAGCTCCGGGTCCTTGCTGAAATTGCCAAATAAGTCAATTCTTTGGGCCTACTCCCCGACTCCCTCCCTGAAGATGCTTCTCAGGCTCCCATGAGAAAACAATCTATACTTATCTTCCGTGAATAAACAAGTGTCACTCTACCTACCACATTTCTCTGAATCACTACTGCCACTTCTGTTCATCAGAAGCTCCACTGGAACACAGGTCTCCTCATTCCTACCTGGGTATACTTTCCACTCAGCCACATGCCCTTCTACCAGAGGAAGGAGGGAAGGACAGAGCCAAAGCTTCTCTGGACGGCCAGCCTGCCTCCCTAAATCAAGTGCTTATCTGTGTCCAGAATTTGATGGCAAAGCTAGAGAAGAGTCTGCCTAGAGACAGAAAACTAGGAGAAAATGCTGGAAAGCTTGGATCATGTCCTCTTACTAACTTGCCCTCACCCCCCACCTTCCTACCAGTGGTCAGGAGATAATTAAGCTTTAATCAGAACCAACCATCCTCTCTGCTGCCTCTTCAATCTAGGTACCTGCTTTCTATCCTTTCCTTTGAAAGACCCTATTTACTCTCTAGGTCATTCCCTTTGAAAGACCCTTCTTATTCTCTAAAACTGCCTTAATTTCTCCCCTATTTCTACTGAAGCTTTAGTTTCCCTTTGCCAACAGGACCTACCACACCAATTCCAAAAAGCTACAACCCCTATCAGGAAGGAAAGGCCCAGACTTTGGAGTCAGACAAATCTGATATCTAATCCTAAGGTTCATCACTTTTTTTTTTTTTGAGACGGAGTCTCGCTCTGTTGCCCAGGCTGGAGTGCAGTGGCGCGATCTTGGCTCACTGCAAGCTCCGCCTCCCGGGTTCACACCATTCTCCTGCTTCAGCCTCCAGAATAGCTGGGACTACAGGCGCCCACCACCACGCCCGGCTAATTTTTTGTATTTTTAGTAGAGACGGGGTTTCACTGTGTTAGCCAGGATGGTCTCGATCTCCTGACCTCGTGATCAGCCTGCCTTGGCCTCCCAAAGTGCTGGGATTACAGGCATGAGCCACTGCGCCTGGCCAGTTAATCACTTTTAACTTTGAACAAGTTATTATTATTAAAAGTTAATACTTAACCTTTGTGATTTTGTTTCCTCACCTATAAAATGAAAATAATAATACCTGTTACCTCAGAAAGCTCCTATGAGGATTACCATAAAGGTTAACAGTGCCTGTCATTACATAGTAAACAATCAAATATGAACTTTTCTCTCCTTTCCTCTTTAATGTTGTCATGTGAGCCTCTGACCATCAGAGGTTAAAAACGACTGTCTCCTTTCACCTCCTCTTCTTCCCCCAATCCTACTGATTTACTGGGAGGTCAAGTTCTTCCCCTCAAGCATAGAAAAGTCAAAATAAAACAGACGCTCCTTTCTACTTCCCCGCACCCCAGGTTCTACAGTAATCCCAACAGTTATTCTGAATTCAGTGCAGGCTGAGCGTTCCTAATCCCAAAATCCAAAATGCTCCAACTAGAAACTTTTTCAATACCAACATGACACTCAAAGAAAATGCTCATTGCAGCATTTTGGATTTGGGGATTAGAGATATTCAACCTGTAAGTATAATGTAAATACTCCAAACTCTGAAAAAAAAATCTGAAATCCAAAACATTTTTGGTTCCAAGCATTTTGGATAAGGGATACTAAACCTGTATAGTGTGTCACTCAGAATTATCTCCCAACCTACCCCATCACTTCTAGATTCATGTTTTGCCTGTGAGCGAGCTGTAAGTAAAAACCAAGGGTGGTTTCACTATTTTGAGTGTATGCAGCACTGCCTGGGGACCCCTCTAATATTGTGATGCCAAAGTCCAATGATAGGAAAGATGTTCCTCTTTTGCCCACTCCACTGCTTTGGGTCCATGAGCAACATAACCCAAATTTCCCTGTGCCTCAAAAGCCTGTGAGTACAAAACATGACCTTACTAACTACATAATTCAAACTCAACTTCTGCAAAATCCTGCCCACAGATCCCCAACCACTCCACCTCCATATTTTTAGGTATTTCCAGAGGACGTCTTATTATTCAACCAGATACAAATATCTGCCTAGTAGCACCTCAATCCTAATTTCACCAGTCCCCACCAGAAGACAAGATGGCAGTGAGGGGCATAAAGGTTTTCACAGAGCAGTCACCATCTGGTACACCACCAATGTACGAGAGCCCTCCCAGTACCAAAGCTACCTAGATCAAACACTCTTAGAAGTCTACTTTATCCAAGCAGTCGCTGGCTTCTCTCATAGTCCAAAGACACCCACTGGTCTCAGTTACTGGGACTGATCCTTAGACACTATTCAAAATGTAAGTCCCTCTCTTTTCTCTCCTCTAACCCAAACCTTTCTAATGGGATCTCTGGATGCTTCTTCTGATGGCAAACAAAAAGCATTCACACCCTCCACTCTCTCCCTCAAACCTTCTCATCTATCTTTCAGGCTGTAACTGAAAACTGGCTATTGACTGGGCCCCTTTCTGAAATCGCTCAGGTGTTGCTGATTCTCCTAAATCCCTCCCAATATCACCACTGTTTTGCACATTTATATAAAAATCAGTGTTTCAGCCAGGCGTGGTGGCTCACCACTGTTTTGCACATTTATATAAAAATCAGTGTTTCAGCCAGGCGTGGTGGCTCACGCCTGTAATCCCAGCACTTTAAGAGGTCGAGGCAGAAGGATCACTTGAGGTGAGGAGTTCAAAACCAGCCTGGCCAACATGGTGAAACCCCGTCTCTACTAAAAATACAAAAATTAGCTGGATGTGGTGGAACACATTTGTAATCCCAGCTACTTGGGAGGCTGAGGCAGGAGGATCATTTGAACCCGGGAGGGGGAGGTTGCAGTGAGGCAAGATCATGCCATTGCACTTCAGCCTGGACGAGAGTGAAACTCTGTCTCAAAAATAAAAAATGAAGAAAATAAAAAGAAAAATCTGCTGGGCATGGTGGCGCACACCTGTAATCCCAGCACTTTGGAAGGCCGAGGTGGGTGGATCACCTGAGGTCAGGAATTTGAGACCAGCCAACATAACAAAATCCCATCTCTAATAAAAATACAAAAATTAGCTGGGTGCAGTGGGAGGCACTTGTAATCCCAGCTACTTGGGAGGCTGAAGCAGGAGAATCGCTTGAACCCAGGAGGTAGAAGTTGCAGTGAACCCAGAAGGTGCCACTGCACTCCAGCCTGGACAATAGAGACTCCATCTTAAAAAAAAAAAAAGAAAAGAAAAGAAAAAGAAAATCAGTGTTTCTCTGAGGATCCTGCTCACCAACCAGCAATTACCCACTGGTCCATTTCTCCATTTCCTCTCATTCATTGCCTGACTCTTTGTCACCTCTCTGATGGCATCCCTTTGGACAAACATTCAATACTCCAGCCCCTCAGTCCTTCATCTCAATTACAAAGACATTTCCCTTCCATTCACTTCAGCTACCCACTTCCAACGTTACACCTAACCTTTGTCATCCCTAGGAATTGCTCTATCTCCAAAATGTTCACTTCTCACTTTCTGACCCAACCTTCAATCTGTGCAGCTCTTATTATCCACACAAGTTCTTTGAATCTCATCACCAACACTAAGCTCCTGACTTCCTTCCATCCTCCCTCTTTTTTTCTTACTCAACCTGGATCCCATCCATTAATCACTACCCTCACTTTTGTCATCTCTGATCATCTCTGATCAGTAAAACCCCTACTCTAAATCAAACTGCCTCTGCCCCTATAACCACGTTGCTATCAAAGCTGTTGAAAAATCACATATCCATACAGACTGGAACCCCCAAATACTTGCCTTTTTTTTTTTTTTTTTTTTGAGGAGTCTGACTCTGTCGCCCAGGCTAGAGTACAGTGGCGCGATCTTGGCTCACTGCAAGCTCTACCTCCTGGGTTCGCGCCATTCTCTTGCCTCAGCCTCACGAGTAGCTGGGACCACAGGCGCCCGCCACCATGCCTGGCTAATTTTTTGTATTTTTAGTAGAGACGGGGTTTCACCGTATTAGCCAGGATGGTCTCAATCTCCTGACCTCGTGATCAGCCCACCTCAGCCTCCCAAAGTGCTGGGATTACAGGCGTGAGCCACCGCGCCTGGCCTGCTTACCTCCTACTTTAACTGAGCCCTTATTGTCACCTGGCAGATTTATGGGTTCCTAGGCACACACTTCCCTGATCCCCACAGTGGTTATAAGTCAAGCCTTCTCTCCTAACCTCACATATCCTACAATCTCTTAAAACTTTCGGCCGGGTGTGGTGGCTCATGCCTGTAATCCCAGCATTTTAGGAGGCCGAGGCGGGCAGATCACAAGGTCAGGAGATTTGAGACCATCCTGGCTAACACGGTGAAACCCTGTCTCTACTAAAAATACAAAAAACTAGCCGGGCATGGTGGCGGGCACCTATATTCTCAGCTTCTCAGGGGTTGAGGCAGGAGAATGGCGTGAACCCGGGAGGCGGAGCTTGCAGTGAGCCGAGTTCGCGCCACTGCACTCCAGCCTGGGCGACAGAGCAAGACTCCATCTCAAAAAAATAAAACAAAACAAAAAAAAAAACCCTTCTATTATATTACTTCCCCAAACTCTGCAGACTATTATACTTTCTCATCAGGAAAACAAAAAGACATCAGATGGAATTACCTCAACTTCCTCCTGCCACCTCGGCTATACGCATCCTTGTTTATAGCACGAGAGTAGGTAAGAGTACAGGCTCTAAGGCAGATGCCTAGGTTAGAATCCTGGCTCTGCCACTTACTAAAGATTTGATCTGGGCAAGTTGCTCAATCTCTCAGTGCCTCTGTTCCTTACTGTACCCCCTAAAAAGCCCCTTCCCAATGGCATTCAAAATCATTTACACCATCTACCTCTTCTGTGAAGTATTTCCGGTATCTCCTAGCTTCAAAGGATTGTTGTGAGTTAAATGAGATAACACACATAGACTGCTTATAACAGTGCCTGGCACACAGTAAGCTCCCAATTAATGTTAGTCGTTTTTACTACTATCAGCATCCACACCTATTCTTACCTCCAACTGCAATGCAAGAGGCATTCTCTTCTTCTAAGGCAAATCCTTCACCGACCTTCTAGACGCCACCCCTTCAAGAGACTTGAACATCAATTATTCATGTATAAACATGCTCAATTCTCACCATCTTAAAAATAACCTTCCACAAGCCAAGTATCCCCATCTAGCTACCTCCTCCTCTCACATCATGCCTCCTCTACCCTTCATAATCAAATTTCTTTGTCCACATTCCCCGTATCCATTTCCCCAATTTTTATTAACTTTCTATTATGCATTTCTATTATCCCACTGCAGTTTGAGTTCAGAATTCAATTGTCTGCCCAAATTGCTTTTGCTAAGGCAGTGGTTCTCAACAGGGAGCAATTTTGCCCCCTAGTGGCCATCTGAAGCCATTTTTTAGTTGTCACAACATGGAGAGGTAAGGGCTGCTACTGGCATCCAGTAGGTAGAGGCCAGGGATGCTATTAAACATCCTACAACGCACAGGGCAGCATCCCACAGGGCATTTTCCAACCCAAAATATCAACAGTATCAAACCCTGCGCTAAAATAATGTGTAACTATGTTGCT
Source organism: Homo sapiens (assembly GCF_000001405.40). Taxonomy (NCBI): domain Eukaryota; kingdom Metazoa; phylum Chordata; class Mammalia; order Primates; family Hominidae; genus Homo; species Homo sapiens. The sequence continues at coordinate 84,011 of NT_187614.1, read as the reverse complement.
CAATGTAATGAATGCCTTCTATCCTTTACATGAGGTAGCCTGGCTTAAGTACTTGATACTATTAGCTTCTCCTTTCCTAAAATTCATTCTTCCTTTGGGTTCCACTGACCACGCCTCACTGGCCATTCCCATTCTAGTCTGTTTTAGGATCCTCTTCTGCTCATCTGTTAAATGTCAGTATTTCTCCAAGTTTCCTCCTAGGCTCTTCTCTTTCCATATATTGTCTCCAAAAACTAGAATCACCTGGGGCTCTTTTAAAACATGCCCAAGCCTCCGGGCACAGTGGCTCACGCCTGTAATCCCAGCACTCTGGGAGGCCGATGCGGGCGGAACATGAGGTCAGGAGTTCGAGACCAGCTTGGCCAACATAGCGGAACCGCTAAAAATACAAAAAATTAGCTGGGCCTGGTGGTAGGTGCCTGTAGTTCCAGTTACTTGGGAGGCTGAGGCAGGAGAATCACCTGAACCCAGGAGGCGGAGGTTGCAGTGAGCCAAGATCGTGCTACTGCACTCCAGCCCAGGTGACAGTGCAAGACTGTGTTTCAAAAAAAAAAAAAAAAAAAAAGCCCAGGTCTCATTCACAGATGTGTTTTGGAGGTTAGGAACACTAGGAAGAAACATTTGGAAGGGAAGCTCAAAAGTTCTATTCAGTCCACATTTTTTTAAACACAATTATTTTACATCCAACTGCAAAGGTCAAGTAGGCAACTGGGAGGGGAGAACTCAGGACTGGAGATGTAAATTTGGTAGGCATCACCATATTAGATGATATTTAAAGCCATATCCTGGATAAGCTTGCCCAGGATAAAAGTGATTAAGAGAAAGGGGCTTAGAAAAAGCCCCGAGAAACTTCCAACATGTAGAGGTCAAGTTGAGAAGGCAGACATGTAATTCAGTAAGGCAGATAATCAGGGGAACATGGCATTAAATGCTACTTTCTGAGCTGCAGAATTATGTCTCTACCTAGAAGTTTCATGAGCACTCTGAACTCAACACATTCAAAACAGAATTAATTCCCATCTTGCCTGCAAAGCTGTTCCTTCCCTAATGAACAACATATCTACCCAATCACGCAGGCCAGAAACCAGACTCTTCCTTCTCCGCTATTTCTGACATCAAACTAAATCCTGTCAAATTTCCCTCTTGATTTTTCAAATCTAGTTATCTCCTTCCCTCTAGTCACTATCTGAGCCTCAAAGGCCAATATAATCCCTTACCTGGCTGTCTCCAGTCCAGCCTTCCCACAAGGCAGTCATAATCATCATCCGATGCCACTCAAATCAGATCATGCCACACCCATTTACCATCTTTTAATGACTCCCTGTTTGGAGGGAGGTAAAAAGTGAAATGCAAGGACCTTGTCACAGAGCTTGTTTACCTCTCCAATCTTTTCTTTTGCGTGACCACCCTTGAACTCTTCCCTTCAGTCACAAAGAACTACATACAATTCTCCTCAAGTGCAGATCCTGCTCCCCACTGTCTTAGCTCCTGATTTGTTCATGTCATTTCCTTCTGGGAACACTATCTTCTTGCCTCTGTACTTAGTGAACACTATTTTCTCAGCCTCTGTACTTAGTGAACTCCTAGTCTTCCCTCCACATTCGCCTTTCCCTACTCCCATGTGACTAAATTTAGTGTCCTTCAAATCAGCCCTCTAAGCACCTTGAACTTGTTACTGGTGCACTTATCGACTATGCTTTCTGTTTACTTGGTCAGCAACATATCTAGAATCTGATCCAGTGCCTTACCCATAGTTAAGAGTAGAATAAATAGTTCTCTAATAAACAGCAAATAACATACATATGTTGCCATCTTAACCCTGGCTTGTAAATCCTTTCTTTTCCTTGGAACTTCATATTCCCAGCATCTAAAACACTCCCCTAAATAAATCGTTGTCAAGTGATACTAAATAACTATATCAAAATCACCTGGTAAACTTGAGCTAAATAAGTATTTCCAGCCCTAACTCCCCATACCTCATTGAGCTCTGATCCAGCAGACCTAGAGGGCTGGGAATCTAGGAATCTAAATTTAACAACCTAGGAATCTAATTTTAACAAACTTCAGGTGATTCTGACTTGTCATTCCTGGGAACCACTAAACACAGTAGGAGCTCAATAAATATTGTTTAAAGTAACATTTTAATTTACTGAAGTATATAATTCATTTCCTAATTCTTTAGGATTAGAGTCTAATGTAACTGAGTCCTGAGTGTGACAGAACAATGCACTAGTATGTACAAAAGTCCACAAAAACAAGCAGCCTTTATTGCAGTATTACAAAACACTTTTCATTTTGGCAATATTTTACAACGCATTTAGCTCCAAGGGTTGGGGAGAAGGTTGGAAACTAAAGGGGGAAATCTCAACAGACATTTCTAGAAGAAAAACTGTCCCAGCCCTCCCACCCAAATAAAAATCCAAATGTCACTTAATTTCACTACCCAAGAAGAGGCCACGAGGAAAGCAGCAGGCAAAACTCTGGCAATTTCACTATGGATCATGTCAGAGACAAAGGAACATTCAAAACAGTCATCAGTATGGTCGGTTGCGCTGATCATTTCTGTAGTCGTTTCTAGGAATGAAAAATAAAGAGCCGGACTAAATTCTAATTTTCTACGAAGGGGGAGCATTAGACACTTCTTCAGGGTACTAGTGATTGGCATCAGCTAGACAATTTCTAAAGAATGACACCATGCCTCATTTATTTCTGTACTCCTAGAAGATACTTAAATGTCTAATTTACCAGCTTTAAGATTCACAAAGTTCCTAGAAGAAGCTTTGCTTCACTCTCTTAAAAATTTTCCACTTAAAACTCCAAACCACAAATATTTCAGAAGATCAGAAACTGTCCCAGTTCCAGCACTCTAAATAGGAGAGTGGCATAGTGGAATGAGCAAGCACTTACATGTATGAATTCTGGATCTGCCACTTACTATGTGACCTTGGAAAAGTTACACTAAATGACTGACTCTGTAAAATGGGAAGTATACCTACTTCATAGGAATGACAGAAGGACTAGAACTAAAGAATATAAGAACACTTTACAGTATTGGCCATACAGTAAGCAGTGTTCAATAGATGGTAATTAGGTTACTCATAATTACTAATAGCTAAAAATTATATAGTGCTTACTCTGGGCCAGCAACTAGTACAACGTAATCTAATACAAGTCTAAAAAGGACGTCTTATTAGCCCCATTTTACAGATAAGAATACTGACACTCCAAAGGATTAAGTAACTTTCCTAAGATCACACAGCTAATAAGTGGTAGAGTTAGGATTGAAACCCAGACAGTCTGCTTCCCAACTTTATGCTCTTAACCATATTCTATACTAATTCTCACTGCCTTATATTGCCGCTGGCATACAGGTCCTTAGTATAATAATTGAAGTTACTTTCTATCATTGGTCTTCTTCTGCCTCTACACCATTCGTGTGCACAAGACATTCCCATCAGTGGTTTTCATCTGGAAAAGTTATCAGTATCTCCAGAAAAACAACTGCAGGGTAGTATATATGATCTGAAAAAGAACCACCCTATGAAAGGTATGTTCCTTCACTTAGATTAGGAACTCTTGATTTACACAGTTTCAAGTTATTATCTCTCAATCTCAATTATCTTTATGAGAAAAAAATAATACACAGATACACCGAAACAAATAAAGATTTATGAATAAGAATTTCCAGCAGGTGGACAGGCACAGTGGCTCACGCCTGTAATCCCACCACTTTGGGAGGCCGAGGCGGGTGGATCACGAGGTCTAACATGGTGAAACCCCGTCTCTACTAAAAATACAAAAAATTAGCCGGGCGTGGTGGCGGGCGCCCATAGTCCCAGCTACTTGGGAGGCTGAGGCAGAATGGCGTGAACCCAGGAGGCGGGGCTTGCAGTGAGCCGAGACTGCGCCACTGCAAAGAATTTCCAGCAGGTGCTGTGGCTCACATCTGTAATCCAAACACTTTGGGAGGCCAAGACAGGAGGAATGCTTGAGGCCAGGAGTTTGAGACCAGCCTGGGCAACATAGTGAGACCCTGTCTCTACAGAAAATAAAAAAAATTGGCGAGGTGTGGTGGCACACACCTATAGTTCCAGCTACTTGGGAGACTGAGGCAGGAGTGTTGCCTGAGTCTAAGAGTTTGAGGTTACAATGAACTATGATCATACCACTGCACTCTAGCCTGGATGACAGAGCAAGACCCTGTCTCTGTCACTAAATTTAATTTTTATTGTCTCTAAAAAATAAAAATTAAAGTTAAAAAATAAAAAGTTCCAAAACAAAATTTTAGAAATTGCTAAGCAGGAAACTAAATCATCTTCTCCATCCTGAGAGAACTGGCAATGGGAAATTCAAGTTCCAAAAAATTGTTAAAATGTGGTTCAAATCCCCCAATCTAGGTGCAGTGAGGTAAAAAGGTTAATAAACACATTCTAATACTCACCTTCCTCCCATTTTGCCTCCATAGCCACCTCGGTCTCCTCCGTAGCCCCCACCTCGGTCTCCTCCATAGCCGCCACCACTCCTGTCTCCTCCATAGCCTCCACTTCGGTCTCCACCGTAGCCACTGCCACCACCACGGTCTCCTCCATAGCCCCCCCGGCTTCTGTCTCCTCCATAGCCTCCTCGATCTCCTCCATAACCTCCTCGATCTCCTCCGTAACCTCCTCGATCTCCTCCATAGCCTCCTCGGTCTCCACCATAGCCTCCACCTCGGTCTCCTCCATAGCCACCTCGATCTCCTCCATAGCCACCTCCTCGGTCTCCTCCATAGCCGCCTCCTCTGTCCCCACCATAGCCGCCGCCTCTGTCCCCACCATAGCCACCCCCACTTCTGTCTCCACCATAGCCGCCCCCACTTCTATCTCCGCTGTAGCCACCACCGCTGCTTCTGTCTCCACCATAGCCACCCCCACTTCTGTCTCCACCATAGCCGCCTCGGTCTCCACCTCTGCCCCCACGACCTCTGTAGCCCCTCTCTCCACCGTAGCCTCTCCCCCGGAAATCTGCAAGGTAGAAATGCAAACAATGAGGCCAGCAGAAACAACGTAAAGCCCCCTTAATGCTAGTCAGAAGATAAGCACGATGCAGATGCTATTAAAAGGCTGACCCACCTCCTCCTGAGGGACGAGAGTCCTCTGGTCTAGGCTCATTGCACTGATTGCAGGAATTCCTTCGAGCAAAGTTCATATTTCCGCATGACCTAAGAAAGGAGGAAAATATAATGCTCCTATATAGTTTCTAATGGACTCAGAACCCCTTTCTGTATCCTCCACAGCCCCAATCCCAACCCCTACTCTCACCAAAGTAAACAAGACACTTACGGATTAGGGCAAACCCAATCCCCACTTTTGGGGTCTCCACCTCTCCCTTGAAAGCCTCCACGACCTCTATATCCTCCACGGCCTAGGGGGATGGGGCCAGGGGAGAAAAATCAGCAGCAGATATTAACAAAACAGAAGAAAAGCATCAGATAACATAAGAGTAGATACCCATCAATACTTAGGCAGCACTCTGCAAATTAACCCCTTATACCAGGACTTTGTAATTCTTTGATTTGGGTCTTGTACTTAGTAAACAGAGGACCTTGAAAACAGACCCTAGGCACACAACACAGTGCAAATAATGCACTAGAAAACTTCAAAGTCCATTTTCTGTAATACAGGTTGAGTATCCCTTCCCCCAAATACTTGGGACCAAAAGTGTCTCTGATTTTGGATTTTTCAGATTTTGAAATATTTGCCTTATACTTGCGAGTTGAGCAGCCCAAATCCAAAAACCCAAAACCTGAAATGCTTCAATGACCATGACCATTTCCTTTGAGCATTATGTCGGTGCTCAAAGTTTTGGATTCCAGAGCATTTCCAATTTCAGATTTTCAAACTTAGGATGCCTAACCTATACCCTACTTAGTTTGAGAATCTCCATGAAGAAGATTAGGTGAGAAGACAAAAACTCCAAATGTAAGAATATGAATGCAAAGGCCACAGTAACATCCACCCACAAAACAGAAAAAGAAAAAAGACAAGAATATGAATCCAATAGAAATAAAGAAGCTGGGCTGGGTGCAGTGGCTCACACCTGTAATCCAAGCACTTTGGGAGGCCAAGGCAAGCAGATCATCTCAGGTCGGGAGTTCGAGACCAGCCTGACCAACATGGGAGAAACCCCATCTCTACTAAAAATACAAAATTAACTGGGCATGGTGGCGCATGCCTGTAATCCCAGCTACTTGGGACGCTGAGGCAGGCGAATCACTTGAACCCGGGAGGGAGAGGTTGCGGTGAGCCAAGAACGCGCCATTGTACTCCAGCCTGGGCAACAAGAGCGAAACTCTGTCTCAAAAATAAATAAATAAATAAAAAATAAAAAAAAAGCTGGCAGTAACTGTATCAGGCAGCTTAAAAACTGGTCAGATTAATTACCTAATTAGGTATCATTAAAACAATTGCCTCGCCAAGCACGGTGGCTCATGCCTGCAATCCCAGCACTTTGGAAGGCCAAGGTGGCTGGATCATGAGGTCAGGAGTTTGAGACCAGCCTGGCCAACATAGTGAAATCATCTCTATTAAAAATACAAAAATTAGCTGGACATGGTGGCGCACGCCTGTAGTCCCAGCTAGTTGGGAGGCTGAGGCAGGAGAATCACTTGAACCCGGGAGGCGGAGGTTGTGGTGAGCCGAGATCACGCCACTCCACTCCAGCCTGAGCAACAGAGTGAGACACCATCTCAAAAGAAACACAAAAACCAAAAAAAAAAAATTGCCTCCTGATTTCCAAGTGAACAGCAAATCACAATAAAGCTTTCCAAAGGGATTTCTACAACCATTTCCCACTACTTTCTTAGCTATTACGATATCTCATTTACCTAATATATTCAGTACCTGAACTCATTTTAAGATAGAGGGAAAAAGACCTAGCGAGAGAAAAAGCAGTAGCAAGTTCACACAAATAGAAACAGAGTATGAACTCAAACTTAAACCCTTGGATAGTATCCAGGACTGTACGCAGCAAGGATCTTACCTCGCCGCCCACCTCCACTTCCACCTCCTCTCATGAATTCAGGTCTTCTAGTGGCAAAGGACACTTTAATGATGTTGCCATGGAATTCTTTTCCTAAGAAAAAAGAAATCAGCTTTGAAGCAATGCTACTCTATACCTCCACCTGTCAACAAAAATGAAAAAGTCTTGGAAATCTTTAGTTTCAGAGGAGTAACTGACATGTCCTCACAGAAATTCAAATGCAAAGAGTCAAGATAACAGTGCTAAAAGTGACATTATCTACTGAAAAGAGCATATCTGTCACTGGGAGACAGTCACTTCTTACTAAGCTTAAAAAAAAAACAAAAACAAAAAACAAGGTGGAGTGGTATGTGTCTGTAGCACCAGCTCCCAGCTACTCAGGAGGCTGAGGTGGGAGATCACTTGAGTCCAGGAGCACGAGACCAGCCTGGGGAAGGAGATGGTGTCAGGGGTGGAGAAAAAGGCCAGGTGCAGTGGCTTATATCTGTAATCTCAGCACTTTTGGAGGCTGAGATAGAAGCCTCACTTGAGGCCAAGAGTTTGAGACAAGCCTGAGGAACGTAATGAGACCCTTTCTCTGAAAAAATTTTTTTAATTAGCTAGGCATGGTGGCATGCGCCTGTAGTCCTAGCTACTCAGAAGGCTGAGGCAGGAGGATTACTTGAGCCTGGGAATTCAAGGCTGCAGTGAGCTATCTTCGTGCCACTGTGTACTAGCCTGGAAGACAGTGTGATACTCTCTCTCCAAAAAAAAAAAAAAAAAAGCTGGGCGTGATGACTCAAGCTTGCAATCACAGCACTGTGGGAGGCCAAGGAAAGCTTGGGGCTCAGGAGTTTGGGACCAGCCTGGGCAACATGGGGAAACCCTGTCTCTACAAAAAATACAAAAAAATTAACTGGGTGTGGTGGCACCTGTGGTCCTAGCTACTTGGGAGGCTAAGGTAGGAGGATCACCTAAGCCCAGCAAGTCAAAAAAAAAAAAGAGTCAGGTGCACATGTCTACCTGTTCCCATGGGGAAAAAAAAACTAAAACCTGTATCTAATATTTTTACATGGGAAAAAAAGCCAGCTGTAGAATATGTGAAGTATGGTACCATTTGTTTATTTAAGGGAATGAATACGTGCGCAAGTGCAGTAACATGTACGTATTTATCTACACATATGCTTATATGCATTGCCTACTGTGCTTACTAGGGGACACAAGATCACTGGGATTCAAAGGTGAAAAAGAAACTCATATTTTACCATATGCCCTTGGTACCATTTGAAATTTTTTTTATCATTTCCAAAGTAATATAACAATTGGTAACTTTTTAAAAAATAGTAGTAAATAAGAATTGGCAAGATTTGAACTATGGAGTTAGGTTTAAAAGGCTCATATGCCCTATGGGCAAAAGTCACTATAATTTCTGAATATACCATATGCAAAAGACATAGCTTCATGATTCATTTCTCTCATTCTTATGAAAGCAGCAAAGTAAGAAAGAATGGACTTAGCCTTCAAGAGCAAGGTGATGAAGTCTGACAAATTAGTCTAAAAAAGTAAAGAATACAGAGACGGGGACAGACAGGGTACTACAATTTCATTTTTTTTTTTGACGGAGTCTTGCTGTGCGTCACCCAGGCTGGAGTACAGTGGCGTGATCTCGGCTCACTGCAACCTCCAACTCCCGGGTTCAAGCAAGTCTCCTGCCTCAGCCTCCTGAGTAGCTGGGATTACAGGTGCTCACCACCGCGCCTGGCTGATTTTTGTATTTTTAGTAGAGATGGGATTTCACCATGTTGGCCAGGCTGATCTTGAACTCCTGACCTTGTGATCCACCTGCCTCAGCCTCCCAAAGTGCTGGGATTACAGGCATGAGCCACCACGCCTGGCCTACAATCTCATCTTTAAAGAAGTAAAAGAGCTGGCCCAGTGCGGTGGTGAGCGCCTGTAATCCCAGCACTTTGGGAGGCTGAGGCGGGTGGATCACGAGGTCAGGAGATGGAGACCATCCTGGCTAACACAGTGAAACCCCTGTCTCTGCTAAAAATATAAAAAATTAGCCGGGCGTGGTGGCATGTACCTGTAGTCCCAGCTACTCGGGAGGCTGAGGCAGGAGAATGGCGTGAACCCAGGAGGCGGAGGTTCAAGTGAGCCGAGATTGCGCCACTGCACTCCAGCCTGAGCAACAGAGCAAGACTCAGTCTCAAAAAAAAAAAAAAAAAAAAAAGGAAAATAACGCAATTATGTTTTTGGAAGATGGAGGTACAATAATCTTGAAACTGAAAGGAACTGCAAGTGTTTGTCAATCCAGCATAGTTAAGTACTTTGGAAAGAGTAGATCCAGCACGGCTGAGTTTGAATCCTGACTCTGCGACTTACTCTATGATCCTGGAAATTACTTAGTTTCTCTATGCATCAGTTTCACTCTCTGTAAAACGGGAGTAACAGGGCATATGTCTCATAAGATTATTATGAAGATTAAATTGAGTTAATGCGTGTAAGGCTCTTAAAGTTGTGCTTAGCTCATAAACCTCAGTAAACATGCAGTAAGTGTTAGTTACTGTTAAATTAGGGTGCAACAAAAATGATGAATTTGTAACATGGGGAAATGACTACCTTTAAATGTTAAATGAAAAATACCGTAAGACAAAACTCTATTTGGAGTATTACAAGATACATCTTAAAACACCAGAAGGAAAATTATTAAGAAATATTATCAGTGGCTACCTTTGAGTAGAGGGCTATAGAGATGTTTTACTCATTTCTTCTACTTTCTGTTAAAAAAAGCATCTCGGCCGGGTGCGGTGGCTCACGCCTGTAATCCCAGCACTTTGGGAGGCCGAGGTGGGCGGATCACAAGGTCAGGAGATCGAGACCATCCTGGCTAACATGGTGAAACCCTGTCTCTACTAAAAATACAAAAAAATTAGCAGGGCGTGGTGGCGGGCGCCTGTAGTCCCAGCTACTGGGGAGGCTGAGGCAGGAGAATGGTGTGAACCCGGGAGGCGGAGCCTGCAGTGAGCCGAGATTGCGCCACTGCACTCCAGCCCGGGAGACAAAGCGAGACTCCGTCTCAAAAAAAAAAAAAAAAAAAAAAAAAAAAAGTCTATTTCTTCTAAGTATGTATTAACTTTATATTTGAAGGGAAATTAGCCTAAATTTTACTTTATTTATTTATAGGGTTTTTTTTTTTGGAGACAGGTTCTCGCTCTGTTGCCCAGGCTGGAACACAGTGACTCAATCACAGCTCACTGCAGCCACGACTTCCTGGGCCCAAGTGATCCTCCCACCTCAGACTCCTAAGTAACTGGGACCACAGCTGCACACCACCACGTCCAGGTTATTTAAAAAAAAAAAAAATTTTTTTTTTGTTTTAGTAGAGGCAAGCTCTATGTTGCCCAGGCTGGTCTCCAACTCCTGAGCTGAACTGATCCTCCTGCCTCAGCCTCCCAAAGCACTGGGATTATAGGCATAAGCAATGCCACCTGGCCTAAATTTCAAACTATAAAGTCAGGGGATGAGAAATCACTTAATGGGTAAAATGTACATTATTCAAGTGATAGATACAGGAAAACCCCAGACTTTACCACTATGCAATATATCCATGTAACAAAATGCCATCTCTGTACCTTTTAAATTTATTTTTTTAAAAAGAAAAAATAACATACTGTCAACCAGGCCAACTCTCTACATCTGTATCAGGGTAGCCTCATGCACAAGGCATGATATAACGAAATATGCTAGACCAACAACGATAGAGCTCATCTCATTTCTAAAGGTACATAAAAATTCTGACCTGTATTCTTAATATCTGCAAAAGTAAACATGAATATAATCACTGTCACCCAGAGCATATTCTCACTTTCAGACTAGAAAACATTTATCCAACTTCATGCTGAAAACTATACGAATGAGGCATACCATCAAACCAGTCAATGGCTGCCTTAGCTGAAGGAGGGTCATCAAATGACACTGTTGCCTCCCCCTTTGGCTTTCCTGTGTCCTTGTCTGTATAAAGATTTATCATTGGTTTTCCGGTCTTCTTATTTGTCTGAGGAAAAACAGAAACACTTGGTGTTAGCATTTTTAAAATAAGTAATCATGTATCATTTAGATAATCAAAGATTTATTTTTTTTACAAGGAATTCACACATTCATACTATAAAATACTATGCACCTAATAAGTTACCTGTAGGTTTAGACAAGCATAACTCTCTAAGCTACACTAAGTGAAAACCAAGCTATAAAAATGATATAGTATACTGTTTTATCTATGTATAATTTTTTTTAATTGAGACAGGGTTTCACTCTGTCACCCAGGTTGGAATGCAGTGGCACGATCATACTCAATGTAGCCTCAAATTCCTGGACTTAAGTGATCCTCCCACCTCAGCCTCCCGAGTAGCTGGGACTACAAGCAAGTGCCACCACGCCCGGCTTTTTTGTTGTTGTAGAGATGGGGTCTTGCTATATGGCTCAGGCTGGTCTCAAACCCTTGGCCTCAAGCGATCCTCCTGCCTCAGCCTCCCAAAGTGCTGTGATTAAGTGCTGATTACAGGAATCAGCCACCACATCCAGTTTATAATTTCTTTAAATCCACAGAAATTAAATGTAGATAATGCTTCATGTAAATACGTAACTTTTTTTTGAGGTGGAGTCTCGCTCTGTTGCCCAGGCTGGAGTGCAGTGGCACAATCTCGGCTCACTGCAACCTTCACCTCCCAGGTTCACATCACTCTCCTGCCTCAGCCGCCCAAGTAGCTGGGACTACAGGCGCATGCCACCACGCCCATCTAATTTCTTGTATTTTCAGTAGAGACAGGGTTTCATCGTGTTAGCCAGGATGGTCTTGATCTCCTGACCTTGTGATCCACCCGCCTTGGCCTCCCAAAGTGCTGGGATTACAGGTGTGAGCCACCACGCCCGGCCGTAAATATGTAACTTCTAAAACGTTACACTGGGATTTGGCTGGGATAAGACAAGGGAGAATTTTACTTTTTCAAAACTCTGTGAATTTAGGCCAGGCATGGTGGATCACGCCTGTAATCCCAGCACTTGGTGGGAGGCTGAGGTGGGAGGATCACTTGAGCCCAGGAGCTCAAGACCAGCCTGGGCAATAATAGGGAGACTCCATCTCTAAAAAAAAAAATTTTTAACTAGCTGGGTGTGAGGACATGCATTAGTGGTTCCAACTACTCAGGAGGCTGAGTTGGGAGGATCACTTGAGCCCAGGAGATTGAGGCTGCAGTGACCCATGATTATGCCACTGTACTCCAGCCTGGATGGAATGAAGCAAGACCCTGTCTCAAGACAACAACGACAACAACAAAATTACATATTTTGTGTGTAATTAATTCCTTAACAAATTATAACTCCCAAAGAAAGAAAAAAGTGAGTAGGCCGGGCACGGTGGCTCATTCCTACTGTAATCCTGGGACTTTGGGAGGCCGAGGTGGGCGGATCACTTGAGGTCAAGAGATCAAGACCATCCTGGCCAACACAGTGAAACCCCATCTCTACTAAAAATACAAAAATTAGCTGGGCGTGGTAGCGCCTGTAGTCCCAGCTACTCAAGAGGCTGAGGCAGGAGAATCACTTGAACCCGGAAGGCAGAGGCTGCAGTGAGCCGACATCGCGCCACTGCACTCCAGCCTGGTGAAACAGTGAGATTCTGTCTCAAAAAAAAAAAAGAGTAATTCCACAGACACCAAAACAAGGGCAGATGTAAACTGATTTCAAGAAACTGTTACTATCTAAACATTACTAAGGCTGCTTTCTAGTTGAAGAGATGAAAAACATATGCATGAAAATAGTGCAAAAGACGCTTTAGTGAACAATGAGCAATTACAAGATAACGTATTATCTCTAGCATAAACATTAAATAACCCCTCCCAAGAGCTCTAACAACTTGAACTTGCATATATTTCAGTCTATAAAATGTTCTCAGCAACTCCTTTATTTCTCACAGTTATAAGAACTAAGCAGAGACTAATTTTAGAGTCCTAAGATGGAAGCTAAAGCACAGGTAGACTGTGGAAAGGTAAACACAAGCAAGGAATAAAATCTTCATATATTCAACAAATTTAGCAAACGTCTACAGACATAAACGAGCATGTGCATCACAAAATTTTAAGAGACAAGGCGTACTGAAGTATGTAGGCTTACTACATAGTCTATGTATTGTAATCAGAACATTAATTATGAGATTTTCAACATATAATATTTTTACTCACCTTGATAATTCCTATTTGTTTAAAGAACTCCCCAACTTGATCTGTAGACACACCCTCCCCAAGTCCTTGCACAAAGATTGTGTTGTTATCTGAATTATCAGATTCTGAATCTAAGAGAAAAAAAGTGATGGTTAATTTTACATATTCCTTGGTTATGACATTCTGTTCAGTAATCAAAGACAATAATTTATTGTCCAATATTCAATTGTTTCTATGACCAAAAGGAAAGGACCAATATAAGAACAACCTTATATAAACATGCAAAGTATTCACAGTAATTATTTGGTTGATCAATTCTTACAACTAAATTTCAAGTAAAGTGGATCAAGTCCACACTATGTGAAATACCTATATACCAATTAAGGATGATCTTACAAACCTCACTCTTCAGATTCAGACATAGGGCTAAACGTCATGAAGAGATGGAGTTAGTTTAGCATTTCTTTCTCTGGAGAACTCTAATTCTTTACGGTTAAACATTTTTAAGATTCTCTAGTACAAAATTCTCCAAATCTGATACTTTGAACTTCCAAGCAAGCCACAAAGCAGAACTGCTGGTTTCCCATTCATTGCAATAAGCTTTGTATATACCAGAGTGCGGAGGCACCTTGTACATGTTACCTGACATGCACACTTTTGGATTAGTACAACAAAGAAAGAAAGATGTATAAGAATTCAGTCCATGAAGGGATAATTCAGAAATTGCCATCCACATAGAATACTTTGGCATCTTAATAAAAACAAAAGTTCTGATTTCAAATTTTTAGCTCAAATAGATTTTTAACCTCTAAATTATAACTTTCAACAGGCTCCACAGGTAAATCTGTAGCCTTGAATTTCATTTAAATAAAAAGCCACAGAAAATTAGTGACCTCTACCCAAAATAAGACAATTCTCTCATGTATGAATTTAGGTTTCTTGAATTCACTAAGTCAGCACACTTAAGCAGACTACCAATCCAACGTAGGATTTTCTTTCTTAAATAGTTTTTCTACTTCTAATTCCACAATGATATAAATTCTTTCATTAATCTGATTTGCAATAATTTTAAATAATTAATGCTAACTAGCAGTAAAAATTCAAGTATTTCTTCACGGAAGAAAGAATATGGGAAAGCACAAACAGCAATTTTCCCCAGCAAACTGTCCCATCAATACTCCTGAATTTTTCTGACACTTCTTTAGAAATAAAGCTCCCCAGCCGGGCGTGGTGGCTCACACCTGTATTCCCAGCACTGTGGGAGGCTGAGACAGGCGGATCTCGAGGTCAGGAGTTCAAGACCAGCCTGGCCAGCATGGTGAAACCCTGCCTCTACTAAAAATACAAAAATTAGCAGGGCATGGTGGCGCGCACCTGTAGTCCCACCTACTTGGGAGGCAGACGCAGGAGAACTGCTTGAACCCGGCAGGTGGGGGCTGCAGTGAGCCAAGACTGTGCCACTGCACTCCAGCCTGGGCAACAAGAGCGAAACTCCATCTCAAAAAAAAAAAAAAAAAAAAAAGAAATAAAGCTCCCCAGTTCTGGCAGCACTATCAAATTAAATCTTCCTCCTGTACTAAGCCCCTCCAAACACACACTTTTCCCATCAAAAAAAAAACTAACATTTTCTTAATGGCAAAGTGACAAACCACCATAAACCTTACCAGCATCTGTTCTGGGTCCATAATCCCTGTGACCTAAGGGAAAAGAAAAGAAAAAAGAGCTATTTAAGGCAATTTATTTAAAATCATTAACAAAAAAAATAGTAATAAACCAAGGCATGAAAAGTCAATACTTCCAAAATCCTTGAAAGTCAACCATCACAGATTTACAAAGTAAATATATAAATTATGTTTTATTTAAAGTTTAGGAAATCAAGATGAATGTCAACATTTCCTTTAACTTGTCCTAGACAGCACCTGCCACTTTAGCATTATGCTAGTATCACTTTTGTTAAGCTCTGGTTGTAAAGGCTGATTGGACAACCCTAATAATTTAAAAACACCATGTCAGCTACCTTTATAAGAACAAATTGTCAAAATCCAGTGAAGGTGTCATTCATTGGTCACCACAGACTCTTTCATGCAAATTCACTGTGTAGAAAACCCATTGGACTGTTTTGAGATCAACTTTGGCTTTTTAATGTTTACTTTGATATATATATGTGTATATATATATATATAAAATTTTTTTTAAAGCACACAACACACACCAGCCTCAACAGAGTAAGAAAGGACTTTTGACTACATCTGCGGGATATTGGTGGCTTTTAGATTTATATAGCATTTCCACTGAAACATTTTGGGATACTCAGCACTTACCACCAAAATTTTTGAAGCCACCGCGGTCACCACCACTGCAGAGGAAAAATTGAAGAAATGATTTCTTCCTTAAGTCTCTAATGTGCTGAGCCCTGGGCTCAATCTACACTTAACTGTCACAAGTAGAGTGCTTAGGAAAACAGTAGCACCTCTAAGTTTTCAGTAAATTCCATTTCACAGAGTTCTAAATGTTGTTTCCATCTAAGTGTTTTCCCAAGGATCTATTTCCACAAGATGTCTTTTCAAGCTTATTACATATCTAATATACTCTTATTTCTAAATCTTCCCAACCCCAAGCCAAAGGGATACTATTAAACCATAACATAAAGCTGGAGGCACAGCATGAAAAATACTAAACTAGAGTAAGTATTTTTTCCAAACGGTTATTTTCTAAATATGAGAAAAAGAAAAAAGACTAGAAGAATACAAAGCAAGGTTAAGATTTTGATGGTAGAACGGGAGAGAATAAAAACTTGAGTATTAGGATCTGCTATGATACCAAATAGTGGATTTTATGAGATGAATTTTAAAAGTGAAATACAAATATACACAAAAGTTGAGACTGAATAAAAGCAGTCTTAAAATTTCAAATCATTCAAAACCCTTATAAAAGACTAAAAGAGCATCACTTAAAAACCGCCCTCCTACTCTATACCCACTATACTACATCTCTTCACATCAGAGCTACGGAGGTTCATGCTGCCACATGCTCTGTACACTATCAGTAGTGCACATTACAGACAGCAGGCAACATATTCCAAACAGGACAACTTTTTTTTTTTTTTGAGACAGAGTCTCGCTCTGTCACCCAGGCTGAAGTGCAGTGGTGGGATCTTGGCTCACTGCAACCTCCACCTCCCAGGTTCAAGTGATTTTCCTGCCTTAGCCTCCCTAGTAGCTGGGATTACAGATGCGTGTCGCCACACCCAGGTAACTTCTGTGTTTTTAGTAGAGATGAGATTTCACCATGTTGGCTAAGTTGATCTCCAGCTCCTGGCCTCAAATAATCCGCCCACCTCAGCCTCCCAAAATGCCAGGATTACAGGCACGAGCCACTGCGCCAGGACATAGACTTTTATCTGGCAAATTAGAATCACAAGGACAGTGGTCCTTGTGAACATGGCTTTACGTAAGAAATCTAAGGTCTCTCTTATCAAGAAACTCTTTAAATACCCATCCAATAAAAGCTTGTTTCTCTTAACTGAATTCTGTAATCCTTTAAGATTCATATGCTAACATGGCAATAAAAACACTCAAGTTTTCTGATACCAGATGTTCTACTACTAATGATCTTATTCTATTATAACCCAAGAATCTAATCTAAAATACTGAAGTCTCTCACTGCTTAGAAATCTCTGCTTTATGGATACCAATCTTATGGGGGGTGGGGGGAGGAACCCTCAACTCTAGTGATTACCCTACCCTATAAATGGCTTTTCTGAGCCACACTGAGATAAAACACTCTGAAAAAAAATTCTCCCTTCTTAATACATCCATTCTATTTCACTATGAGGTAAAAATATTTCCACTTACAGCTGCCTTAGGTACAGACACATGCATTTTAATTTGTTGTTACTTTTTATATGATTTCCAGGATGCCTTTTTAAGCAGGAGACTAAGGCTATTTCAAGGCAATATAGACAATATGAAACTCAGGCCCTTCCTATACAGTTTGCCACTGAATTTCTAAGACTCCTACTTCAGAACAGGCAGTACTAAAGCCCTCCCTTTACTTCTAAATGACATGTATATCACTGCCTAACTCTTTAAGAAAGGGAAGCCAACAGAGTTGAGATTAAACTGCTGAAAATATTATTAATAGAAACCAAGGTATCTCAGAGGTTTTTTTTTGTTTGTTTTTTCCCAGACGGAGTCTTGCTCTGTTGCCCAGGCTGAAGTGCAGTGGCGCAATCTTGGCTCACCGCAAGCTCCGCCTCCCGGGTTCATGCCATTCTCCTGCCTCAGCCTCCCGAGTAGCTGGGACTGCAGGCGCCACCACGCCCGGCTAATTTTTTGTATTTTTAGTAGAGACGGGGTTTCACTGTGTTGGCCAGGATGGTCTCGATCTCCTGACCTCGTGATCTGCCCGCCTCAGGCTCCCAAAGTGCTGGGATTACAGGTGTGAGCCACCACGCCCGGCCTCTCAGAGGTTTTTTAACTCCAAAAAGTGATAAAAAAGAACTTAAGCCCACGTTCTTATGCCAGTAGGTTAAAGTTCCGAGGATAAAGATGACTTTTAAAATGGGAAATTGGAGGTCACTGGGTTCACGAATAAGTGCTAGAAGAAATGCCTCTTACTTTGTTGCCATCTTAAGGGAATACCAAACCTGGCCACAATGGATGGAAAACATGCAATTTCATACATAGCTAGTTCCTATAATTTCCATTCTGGCCAGTAATATAACTTTGAACAACAGAAAAAGGACATACCCCTGGCAAAAATAAAGGGATATAAAACAAATGACATTTAAATAGGTTTATGATTTCCTATTCCTCCATATAATACATTTGAACATCATCTTTTTTTTTTTTTTTGCGACGGAGTCTTGCTCTGTCGCCCAGGCTGGAGTGCAGTGGCGCGATCTCGGCTCACTGCAAGCTCCGCCTCCTGGGTTCCCGCCATTCTCCTGCCTCAGCCTCCCGAGTAGCTGGGACTACAGGCGCCCGCCACCATGCCCGGCTAATTTTTGTTTTTGTATTTTTAGTAGAGACGGGGTTTCACCGTGTTAGCCAGGATGGTCTCAATCTCCTGACTTCATGATCCGCCCGTCTCGGCCTCCCAAAGCACTGGGATTACAGGCATGAGTCACTGCGCCCGGCCTTGAACGTCATCTTTACTGTGCATTTCCTTTGAAAATAAAGCAGCTGAAGATTTCAACACATGGCCATAAATTTGGAAATACCATAGTACACTGGAAAAAGAACTAGTCTTCAAGAAACTCAGGGTACAGTCTTAACTATAACTAATCAATCTTGAAAATCTGGACATGTCAGTGGTTCTCCATAAGCTTCAATCTCCTTAACAAAATAAGGGTCTGTCCCCTTACTAATCAAAACATGATGGAATATAAGCGTAAGCATAGCCTGGAAGGTTCTGAGAAAAGCAGGATCTCAGGCCCCACCCTAGACCTACTGAATAAGAACCTGCATTTAATAAGATCCCCCAAGTAATTCATATGCACATTTAAGTCTAAAATGTCTAGACATTTGGTTTAGGCATTGATCTAGATGATCTGTAATTTTATGCAAAGCCTTCTTTCAAGTTCAAACGTTTCAATCATTTTCTCTCTTCTTATTAGAAAATTATCCTTTTTAAGGAATTTATTAAATACAGAAAATAACCTTCAAGTAGTACTATTAGATATTAACAGAAGATGTGCCTGAGGTTAACAATCTTTCTTTCAAATCTGCATTAATGTTACAAGTCCCTTTTCTACATGCTAAGGCAAATCAAGACACAAAGGTACTTGAACATCTGAGTCAAGATGTTGACACAACAAATTTGCTTTAATTCCCAGAAAAAGCAGAAAACATTTACACATAAAGAATTCCTGAAGTAGCAGAGATATTTAACAGAAACACAATATAAGCATACTCAACTTTATTGGCAGAGTACCCCCTGCATAAGAAAACTAGCTGGTTTTTTTGTTTGTTTTTTGAGATGGTGTCTTGCTATTTTGCCTAGTCTGGTCACGAACTCCTGAGCATCAGTGATCCTCCCACCTCAGCCTCCTAAGTAGCTGGGACTACAGGTACGCGTCACAGCCCCCAGCTAGTTGCATACTTTTTTTTTTTTTTCTGAGACAAGAGTTTCACTCTTGTTGCCCAAGCTGGAGTGCAATGGTGCAATCTCGGCTCACTGCAACCTCCAACTCCCGGGTTCAAGCGATTCTCTCACGTCAGCCTCCCGAGTAGCTGGGATTACAGGCACCTGCCACCATGCCCAGCTAATTTTTGTATTTTCAGTAGAGACGGGGTTTCACCATGTTGGCCAGTCTGGTCTTGAAGCCCTGACCTCAGGTGATCCACCTGCCTCAGCCTCCCAAATTGCTGGGATTACAGGCGTGAGCCAATGTGCCCAGCCAGTTGCATATTCTTGACCCAAACACAGACAGTTCCCCCAAGTTCAAAACCACAACGAGCAGCCCACACGAAGGCATACTCTGAGGGTTGTTTCACTGTTACAGCAGTACATATTTCGAAGAGACAACAGATTCCATTTCAGATGCTTCTCAAGAAAGAAAAAGTTCTTTGACAGAATCTCTACTCCAGGTCTCTCTCTCTCTTTTTTTTTTTTTTTTTTTTTTTTTGAGATGGAGTCTCGCTCTGTCTCCCAGGCCAGAGTACAGTGGCACGATCTCGGCTCACTGCAACCTCCGCCTCCTGGGTTCACGCCATTCTCCTGCCTCAGCCTCCCGAGTAGCTGGGACTACAAGTGCCCGCCACCACGCCCGGCTAATTTTTTGTATTTTTAGTAGAGATGGAGTTTCACCATGTTAGCCAGGATGGTCTCGATCTCCCGACCTCGTGATCCACCCGTCTCGGCCTCCCAAAGTGCTGGGATCACAGGCATGACTACCACGCCCAGCCTCCAAATCTTTTAATAAAAAAAAAAATAATAAAAATAAAATAAAAACCTAACTATATCTATTTATGGACTAAAACTGCCAAGAAGTAAAAGGACAATGCAGGAATCTCTATTCTTAGAAAATTTCACTAACTAGAGAGAAAGGACTTGGCTAAAAATGGAGAAAGGTTAGCTTAAAAACCCATGCTGTGCTTGGGTTTTCAGACTACTAAATCCAGAATACAATTTTCTGAGTGTGAGGAAAAGACCAACATTAATTCCACATTTAAGTGACTCAATGGATTTAAGTACTATTCTCCATAACAGCTGTATTTACATTTTATTTCCTCCTATGTCTTACATGCATGGTAAAAAGGCTTTCTGGATTCAGCATTTATCAACATCTCAGGAGGCCAAGAATCTATCATTCTAGAGCTGCACTGTCCAATACAGTATCCACTACCTACATGTGGCCTGTTGAGCACTGGAAATGTAGCCAGTCTAAATTAAGATGTGCTCTAAATGCAAAATACAAAATGGATTTCTAAATTTTAATATGAAAAAAGGAATGTACAGTACTTTTTTTTTTTTTTTTTTAAACATTTGAAGAGGTATGGGGCGGAGGGGGAAATGGAATTTGACCGACTCACTATTGCCCAGACTGGAGTGCAGTGGCTATTCATAAGCACAATCATAGCTCACTGCAGCCTTGAACTCCTGGGCTCAAGCAATCCTCCTACCTCAGCTTCCCAAGTAGCTGGGACTACAGGCGTGTGCCACAGTGGCCAGCTAATTTTTTCATTTTTAAAAGATGACATCTTACTATATTGCCCATCTAGTCACAAACTCCTAGCCTCAAGCAATCCTCTTGCCTCAGCCTCACAAGTAGCTAGGATTACAGGCGCAGGCCATCATGACCAACAAAAAGAAATTTTTTATATTGATTGCATGATGAAATATTTTGAATATATTGAGTTAAATAGATTTTCTCATTTGTTTATTTGTGCTGTTTTCTTTTTAATGTGGCTATTAGAAAATTTACAATTAACTATATGGGTCACATTTGTGACCTCCATTGTATTTCTATTGGGCAATGCTGTGCTAGACTCACCAGAACGTATACATATTTTTATTTTTTAGACTGATGTATACAGTGCCCTTGTATACATGTGTATTTCTACGGCAGTTAACTGAATACTCTTTTAAGAGGGAGAAGATCCTCAAAAATCTGGATTTTAGGCTTGACACATTAAAGCCTGAAACAGCTACTAAATTTGATGGCATACTAATAATGAAAAGCAATTATTTATTAAGTTCTGGCAATTTTAGAAGGTGTTAATCACAATGCTAAAATTAAAAATCACTGGGAGAATTTATGCCCTTAACTTCTAGTCCACTAAGATGTCCATGTCAATTTTAGATGACAGTAAGAAATTTTCTTTTTTTTTGCTACAATTGCTTTTTCAAAGAAAAAGATTAAGTTTCCTGTAGTCCCTATAATCTTCACAGATTTATCTCTCTTTCACACTTGGAAAGCTGATGGTTTCTTTTTGACCGGGAATTCTTCTTCTAGCCAGGCAATCACACCATCTGTAAGTCCAAGAATGTCCCATCCTTTACCTTATATCCAATCCTCATCCACAAATTATGCCCCTTCTTTTTTTTTTTTGCGATGGAGTTTCACTCTTGTTGCCCAGGCTGGAATGCAATGGTGTGATCTCAGCTCACTGCAACCACCAACTCCCAGGTCAACTGATTCTCCTGTCTCAGCCTCCCGAGTAGCTGGGATTATAGGCACCCACCATCGTGTCCAGCTAATTTTTTGTATTTTTAGTAGAGACGGGGTTTCACCCTATTGGTCAGGCTGATCTCGAACTCCTGATCTCAGGTGATCCACCCGCTGTGCCCTCCAAAGTGCTGGAATTACAGGCGTGAGCCACCATACCTGGCCCATGCCCCTTCTTCTTTTAATATAAACCCAACTAATGCCAGATATTCTTCAAACAGCCCCCAAAAGAACTATTTTTTTTTTTTTTTTTGCGACGGAGTCTTGCTCTGTTGCCCAGGTTGGAGTGCAGTGGTGCGATCTCAGCTCACTGCAAGCTCCGCCTCCTGGGTTCACACCATTCTCCTCCCTCAGCCTCCAGGGTAGCTGGGACTACAGGAGCCCGCCACCACACCCGGCTAATTTTTTTGTAGTTTTAGTGGAAATGCCTCGGCCTCCCAAAGCGCTGGGATTACAGGTGTGAGCCACCGCACCCGGCCAAGAATTGCTATTTTTAATTTGACTGAGAACACAAACGGGAGTGTTGATGAAGACTAATGAAAAATGTTTGGGTATTCTGGTACTTAAATGCAAAACTGTGTGGGAAAAAAAAATCTTAAAACAGGGCATCTATATTCAAATTCAAAACATTTTATCCCAATAAATAAGCTAAAAAGCACATCTTTAAAAAGATGTTATGACACATAAAAATAATTTTATGTGTTATGACACATAAAAATAATATGAACTTCAGCCAGGCGTGGTGGCTCACACCTGTAATCTTGGGAGGCCAAGGCGGGCAGATCACGAGGTCAGGAGATCGAGACCATCCTAGCTAACACGGTGAAACCCCATCACTACTTAAAAAAAAAAAAAAAAAAAAAATTAGCCGGGTGTGCTGGCACACGCCTGTAGTCCCAGCTACTCAGGAGGCTGAGGCAGGAGAACTGTTTGAACCTGGGAGGTGGAGGTTGCAGTAAACTGAGATGGTGCCACTGCACTCCAGCCTGGGCAACAGAGCGAGACTCCATCTCAAAAAAAAAAAAAAAAATTATATGAACTTTAAATTTCAGTATCCATAAATGAAGCTTTACTGGAACACAACTCTGTTTATTCATTTACATATTAATTACGGCTGCTCTGGTGCTCCAAGGGCAGAGATGAATAGTTACAATAGAAACCATATGGTTCACCAAACCCAGAACATTTACTATCTGGCCTTTCACACAGCTTGCCAACTCAATATAAAGAGTAATCGGCATCCATACGGATTTCTAAAAAAGGCCTTTCATGAACATCTCAACAAATAACAGAGTATAAGGCAAGATTGCAGATCCCTTCCTCACCCGACCTTTCCCCCACTGAAACCAGATCAGCACATCATTTGGACCAACTAGATATTGGACTTCTGCATATGATTTTGTATTAAGGGGTATTAAAGGAAAATAAAAAATTTAGTTTATAAGTCAGTATCTAGGCCACAAATTATATGAAGTATGTTGCAAGGGGTTTATAAAAGTACTTAATTGGACCCCAGGGTTGATTAAGGTACTGCTTCCCTCCTTTGTCAGGAGGATCATTCAAAGTCCTTTCGATCCTCTAGTTACAAGATGAGTCACAAATGAAAATACATTTTTTTTTAATGTTTTTTTTTTTGAGACGAAGTCTTGCTCTGTCGCCCAGGCTGGAGTGCAGTGGCACGATCTCGGCTCACTGCATGCTCCGCCTCCCGGGTTCACAACATTCTCCTGCCTCAGCCTCCTGAGTAGTTCGGACTACGACTACAGGCGCCTGCCACCACGTCTGGCTAATTTTTTGTATTTTTAGTAGAGACGGGGTTTCACTGTGTTGGCCAGGATGGTCTCCATCTCCTGACCTCGTGATCCGCCCGCCTCGGCCTCCCAAAGTGCTGGGATTACAGGCATGGGTCACCATGCCTGGCCAGTGAAAATATATTTATAATGACTTCCCTACCTATTCCCTATCTTCTTCCACCATTCTTAGACACAGTGATAGTTTAATAATCGATTAGGATGTAACTGTAATTTCCTTATGAAGAAAACTAAAGCTATGATGTACTATAAAACATATAGCATTTCAAGGCAGCCAATTATCCAAAACATATTAACTGGTAAATTAAATATACCTGTTGGTTATCTTGTTTGGAACAGGAGGGAGGCTATTATTAGGTAGAGAGTAAGCACCATGTCACTTTACATAGTCCATTTATATCCACATGATGGCAGACTGCTCTTTGACAATGAAGAAGCATAGAATTTATTTGTTTTACTTTGGTAAACTGACTTTGGCTATCAACAGACTTAATGTCCAAGTCTTATAACATTTTTCAAATATGTTTAAAATTTAGTTTTTCCAAAAAATCAAAGCACTGTACACTAAAAATAGAATATAAGGCAGTGAAATCAAATCCTGGCTCACTTGAAGAAATAACAGTCTGTGGGCAACTGGTTGTTTCTCAGGTCACCTCAGGGGACAGATGGTCCCTAAGGTGCAAAAGAATGAACTGGTGCTGATATATGACTGATAAGTTTCTGTAACGGGCCACTGACCATTTCAATTCC
This sequence comes from Homo sapiens, assembly GCF_000001405.40. Classification (NCBI taxonomy): domain Eukaryota; kingdom Metazoa; phylum Chordata; class Mammalia; order Primates; family Hominidae; genus Homo; species Homo sapiens. The sequence goes on along the minus strand of NT_187614.1, from coordinate 59,559 downwards.
CAAGGAACATAAATTACCTTTTAGCCTGTGTATTTACACACAAATATGCAACCTGCAAACTTCTTCTGAGGACAGATGTCAACTACTTTTTCATTTTTTTTTTTTTACAGTCAAAGTAGTAAACTTGCAGATATATCTAAAACCAATTTTCAAACCAGCTTCATAACATATGCTGTAAGTAAATAAATACCAAAACCTGATAACACTAGCATGGAGAAAAGAAAAGCTGAATTAAAAAGACATTCCTTTACACAACTTAGTCAAGACAAAATACACATTACTATGTGATGTTACACTAATTATTCCAATAATTATTTACTTAAGAAGAGGGACAAAACAGTTTTGTTACATTAAATCTTTCTCTTATTTGCCATCCCCACCTTTCTACTCCATTACTGCCTCCTAATACTTTCCCTTCCCAAGGAGATTGGAGATTAAGAAATAGCCTCTGCCCCTCAATCTAGAATTAACTTACCTTTTATTTTTACATACAAACACTGGATTTCCCAGAGTCGTCTTTTAAAGGAGTTAAGATTCTAGCTCTGGCAGGAAAGTCAAGTGATTTAATCACAACCATAGTTGTTTCTCTACTGGTGTTTAACATGTACCACATAAACTAACTACTAACATAGCCAATTCTAAGGTCATTTATGTGAGATATTAAGACTGAAAATACACTTTTAATTTCTGCCTTTTTCTCCAATATATAATCCCTTTTTAAAGTCTCTTAACTAAATTAGATGCTGGAATTGATCCAGCCAAGTAACACCTTAAAAAAAAAAAAAAGAGGAAGAAGAAGAAATGTACGCATCTTTATCTACATACTTACCTTGATCCTGTCATAGGACCTCTTCCATCCTTGTCATATCCCCCACGCCCTCTACCTCCTCCCTGTGACCCGCCATATCCTCTATTATCTTCTCCATACCTACTCACATCACGACGGTCATCTACAAAAAAGAAAATATTACACACAAATAACCACTCTCATTTCTAAAGCTTCAAATAACAATGTTAAATGGCTCTTTAGGCCACACATATCCTTATAGAAAATGGCACATGTGCACACAACTCAAATGCAAGTCATCATAAAATCATCTGGAATTACATGTTTTTGAGAATTTTATCTGTGTCAAATTCCATTCTGCTAAACTGACATGGCAAAACAGTAATGTATCTGTGTCAAATTCCATTCTGCTAAAGTGACATGGCAAAACAGTAATGTGGAACAGTATGAGTTAAAATACAATCTTAGCTACAAGAACCTTAGTAACTTAGATGAAAAGCACGACCCCAATCTTTTTTTTTTTTTTTTTTTTTTGGAGACAAGAGTCTCGCTCTGTAGCCCAGGCTGGAGTGCACTGATGCAATCTCGGCTCACTGCAAGCTCTGCCTCCCAGGTTCACGCCATTCTCCTGCCTCAGCCTCCCGAGTAGCTGGGACTACAGGTGCCCGCCACCATGCCTGGCTAATTTTTTTTTTTTGTATTTTTAGTAGAGACAGGGTTTCACCATGTTAGCCAGGATGGTCTCGATCTCCTGACCTCGTGATCTGCCCACCTCGGCCTCCCAAAATGCTGGGATTACAGGCGTGAGCCACTGCGCCCGGCCCCCCAATCTTAAAAGTTACCACTTTCTTCACTTCAGAAACATTTAAATGTAAATTGAGCATGGACAAGGAATAACTGAATCTTCAAACTGAGAGAAGATATTTAGTGAATGTGCTTCCACTTTTACTTATTTACTTATTCATTCAATTATTCAACAAGCACTTACTATTTACTATTCAATTATTCAACAAGCACTTACTTACACTTACAATTATTCAACTGAGCACCTACTATGAACCAAACCATGTACTAGGCCTTAAAGGTACATAAATAAGTACCCCAAATCAAGTACAACACCAACACCAAAAGAACTGGTACCAGCAGTATTGTCAAGGATCAGAGTTCACTGAGACAAAAAGGAAATTCACGTAATCAGCCATCAAAAGTCATGACCATCTGAGGGCCTCCAAGTTCAGAAGTAGAAATCTGATAAACTAGTTTTGATTACCATGAGAGGGAACATATCTTCAAGGTTACCCTAAATTTTTACAAACAGGTGAAATCCTCTGTGGTTCTTTTAATCAGAAATTCATACAAATAATTCTGAGAGGGGGAAAAATAATAATAGAGGTCAGTAAATCTTACCTTGTGTGTGGTGGCTGTAGTTTTCCCTTTGTGAATGATAGGACTGCTGGTTTTGACTATAGGAATCATGCTGCTGATCATAATTTGACTGCTCATCATATGAGCCTTGATGTTGATCATAGCCTGACTGCTGGTCATATGAATCTTGTTGACCATAGTCTGGCTGGTCATAGGAAGGTGCTCTTCCACCTTGGCTAAATAGAAATGGAGAACTTAAGAGACTTCATAGGAAGATTACATTTGCTGTAGCAAGTTGGCTGAAACTGATGTTAAGAGTCCTGACCAGTTAGAGACATTAACCATATTTATGACTACCTTCTCATGGTAATTAGTTATCTGCAGTCTCCTGGAATTCCCTGCGAAAGACGATTCTGCCAACATTGAAGAGGTGCCACATTATGAAAAAAAATGTATCTTTGAAAACTGCAGTAAAGCAAAAAATTACTATGGCTTTTTACTATCTCCTTGAACTTTTTTTTTTTTTTTTTTGAGACAGAGGTTCACTCTTGTTGCCCAGGCTGCTGGAGTGCAATGGCGCGATCGTGGCTCACCGCAACCTCCACCTCATGGGTTCAAGCAATTCTCCTGCCTCAGCCTCCCGAGTAGCTCAGATTACAGGCATGTGCCACCACGCCTGGCTAATTTTGTATTTTTAGTAGAGACGGGGTTTCTCCATGTTGGTCAGGCTGGTCTTTAACTCCTGACCTCACGTGATCCACCCGTCTCGGCCTCCCAAAGTGCTGGGATTACAGGTGTGAGCCACCGAGCCTGGCCTATCTCTATGAATTAAAAAAAAAAAAGTAAAAGATGCTACAAAGTACAGTAATATGTCTGACTCTTTAATAAACATGCCACAAGAGCTGAGTCCTTTTAATAGTTACAATGAAAGGCTCTATATCACTGAAGTTTAACAAGTGTCTTCTCTTAAAATATTTTTAGATCTTTTCTCTTAGAATTATCTTTAGAACCTATAGTACAGTCTTCTAAACATCTTCAGTGATAGTACATTTTAGAAAACAGTAAAAGAACCTGCTTTGTAACACAATTTTTTTTATCTGAAAAAAACTCTATCAGGTAATGAGACTGCTTATTCTAGCGATTTGAAAGGAAAATTCTAAGTATCTTCAGAACAATATTACTGTATTAATTACATGCTCTCAGGGTGGGAATGTTAAAAGGCAACATTTAATTGGATTTGAGTTCCAGTAGGTTTACTTATTATAAAAATGGGCTGGGGGGGGACAAAAAAGATCTCATAACTTAATAGTTTACATTTTATTCTTCACCAGAGGATCAGAACAATCTAATAAAAGATCAGTATGTTCCCTAACTCCCTGTCGAAAGCACAACACAACCACAGTCCAAACCCTAGCACTTTAAAATGGCTGTCAAATCAAACTTAACATTTCTTTTCAGACTATATTTATAGGTCATGCTTCCAAAAATACATCATTTATAAAACGATTCTCCTTAAATTTAAAACTAACCAACAAGGCTTGAAGAGTTATTTCTCTTAATGTAGTATGCCTTCTGGATATTATTCCCTACATTTGTACTCTACTTTCTACTTTTCAAAACACTCTCACATCTGTAAGGGTGATAATTTGACCTCACCAATCTTTCCTCAATGCTTTTATTTAATTTTCACTTAGAATAAATGTCTTCACTGTAGAAAGAAAACACTAGAGACCTCAGTTTTTAGCCACGTCACTTGATAGGCCAAATAATTTCTTTACCCTCTGTAAAATGGGAATCACTGACACTATTTCATAGTGGTATCTGAAGATCAATCACATTAGAGAATGCAAAAGCATTTCACAGAATGTAAAGCACAATTTTTAAAAAGTAACTTGCTATTAAGTAAATAGCATAAAATTAAGTACCAGCTCTTTAAATCTGAAAGGTAAAAAAACTTTATAAAACCTGAAATTTATCAGTAAATATTCACCTACATATATCAAAGAAAACACATTTTAGGGTATCTGATATATGCGTAAGTTTTGACCCTTTTAAAAAATATTTTTGTCCCTGAAAAGTTAATATATTCAAATGGTTCAAAAATAAAATGGAAATTTAAAAATAGATGTTGAGAAGTCTTAATTCTAAAGACAGGTTTTTATTTAATCTCAGGGATAAAGCAGAGGTCCAAAATTTTCTAACATTTTTAAGGACATCAATTTATAGCTAAACAATGATTTCACAAATACATCATAAGAATCAAATGACAATGCTATTTCCACATTCTCCATAATATACAGTTGTAAAATCCACACTCCATTAAAATTTCCTTTAAAAAAAAAAAAAGTTTAAAGCTAGGATTTTGTTGGTTAAATCTGTTTAATATCAGTGTTATTTCCACTGCCCAAAACAATCTCAGTATTTTACTATTTCCTTACCTTCCTGATGATTCCATGTTTTGCTGCTGTCCCTGGTTATTATATGGTTGCTGGCTATATGAGCTCTGCTTTTGATTCTCATAACCACCATAGGACTGTGAATAACCTAAAGATTAGATGAGTATATCATTTAGTGAAGGCTCTGATTTTTCAATCTCTGAAACAACAAATTTAACAAACTAGTCCAACCTGACTGACTTTGTCCATAACTGGAGTAACCGCTGTAGTTCTGTCCATAAGAGGAATCAGTCGTTTGCCCATAGCCAGAATAGCTCTGAAATTTAGGTAAATACTCAAGTTTCATCACCTACTTAAGATAAAAATAACTACTTATGAAGAATACAATTTATATTTCAACCTACTTGTGATGCTTGTCCATAGCCTTGGCTGCCTGGATTTCCATAGGTAGAATAACTGCAAAAGAAAAATTTAATACTTGAAAGAAATGTGTAGAAATTTTAAAGTTTAAATGAAGACCTTGCCTTCATTTTCAACTTTCAACTCAAATACAAGCTTCTTTGCTGAGAAATCATCAATCTCCCTGTCTCTAGAGTCTAAATTGAAAGGTGACGATCAAAGACTGTTAAAGAAATACATGAAGTCACTCCCAGATCTCCTGAATGGGAAACAAATACCCAAAGTTTTGTTTTCACAATCTTGCAGAAATAAACAAAACTTGGTAAGAGCTAGAAAATTCCAAGAGAATTATGCTTGGGTGTGGGGGGAATAAAAACTACATAGCAAGACTTATAATAAATACCTGAAGCACAAAAATGATGACTACACAAAAAATGAACACCTTACTCAATTTAATCACATCTTGACAGATTAATTTTTTCCCACCATTTGCCTTAGTTAAATGGCTTTAACTTCCTAAAAGATGCACAGGGAGGCACTAGAAGTCCAGTTTAAAAGTCTCAATAATTAGAGGCATGTTTATCCCCACAGTACAGTCATTGAATGAAATTATACCGTATCCTCAGTATTGTAGCAGGGCCTGGCACATAGCTCAATAAATATTTGTTGACTGACTAAATAAATGTACCCTCCTGGGATTTGAATATTAATTTTATAGTATATAAGCTCTAACAAGTCAGAAACAAACTTTCTGAATCTATACTATGACTTTCTAATATCCAAAGAAAACTAAAACACTTGCAAAATTTTTTATCATTTTAAAGGTATCAAGTGCTAACAAGATTCCTTAACTTTTGAAAATACATTTCACCAAATAAACATTTTGCTAGATACCTACTAGGAAGTTAGCACTATCTTACAAGATCAAAAAAGTCAAATCAGTTTTGTTTTTCAGGAAGCTTAAAATTTGACAAGATATCTGAGGTGCTATTCTGAGTATCTTACACTGAGCTGTAAAACATTTATCCTATAAGTTGAAGGCTGTATTTTGGTAAGAGAAGCCCACTGCATATATACACTCACATAAAAATAGAACTTCCTTTTTACTGTGAGGATGGTAAGCACACTAAAAAAACGCTTAATATTTTTTATGGTATTTTAAAAAAATGTGCTCTGAAAAAACACATTAGCATATTATACACCATAATAAAACGCTTTTTCTAAAACAACTGTTGAGTTCAATTGCTTAAACTTTTTTTTTTTTTTCGAGACAGGGTCTCGCTCTGTCACCCAGGCTGGAGTGCAGTGGCATGGTCATAACTCATTGTAACAACCTTGAACTCTTGGGCTCAAGTGATCCTCCCACCTCAGCCTCCCAAGTAGCTAGGACTACAGGTACACACCACTATGTCTGGATAATTAAAAAAATTTTTTTTTTAGAGACAAGGTCTCGCTATATTACCCAAGCTGGTTTCTAACTCCTGGCCTCAAGCAATCCTCCCATCTTGGCCTCCCAAAGTACTGGGACTAGAGTCATGAGCCATAGCGTCTGACATTAAATTTCTTTAATAATTGTTTCTTCTAAGAGATTTCCTAAATAAAACATAAACTTTACAATACCAAGGAGATTTGTTTTAATCTGTAGGAGGTATATTCATTGATGCAAACAGATTTAAGAAAAGGAAGAGGCCAGGCGCAGTGGCTCACACCTGTAATCCCCGCACTTTGGGAGACTGAGGCGGGCGATCACGAGGTCAGGAGATCGAGACCATCCTGGCTAACACGGTGAAACCCCATCTCTACTAAAAATACAAAAAATTTGCCGGGTGTGCTGGCGAGCGCCTGTAGTCTCAGCTACTCGGGAGGCTGAGGCCAGAGAATGGCGTGAACCTGCGAGGCGGAGCTTGCAGCGACCCGAGATCGCGCCACTGCACTCCAGCCTGGGCGAAAGAGCGAGACTCAGTCTCAAAAAAAAAAGAAAAGGAAGAAGCCCAGTAGAGTGGCACATGTCTGTAGTGGAGATTACAGTTACTTGGGAGACTGAGGCAGGAGGATCGCTTAAGCCCAGGAATTTAAGGCTGTAGTACACTATGATTTGCCACTGCACTCCAGCCTGAGCAAAACAGCAAGACTCTGTCTCAAAACATAAAGAAAAACAGAAAGGGAATAAATGTCTTACAGCACCTATTTACACTGACTCTCTTCACTCTGTGACAAGCTAATATTTAACTTATGACATCCAGCATCAAGTCTCAAGAGAAGAAGCTTGACAAAATTCACCTCAGTTCTACCCTTTCATATTATTAAAATGTATGTATACTTTACCTTTGCTGCTCACCCCCAGACTGACCGTAACTTCCAGAATCTAGAACACATAAAAAGAATTTTAAATCTTATTTAAAATTATGGTTCCTTCAAAGGCTGACTTTAGCTCATACAGAAGAAATGTGGTAAGAAAATGTAAAGAACTGCAGAAAGAAAAACTAACTCAAGTTAAATACTATGAAACAAGAAATTTGTACAAATAGTATTTACTTTTTACAATAACTACGTATTTGCAAACTACTATTCTACATGTGTGCTAGGGTCACAAGAACCCAGTGAACAAATGTAAACAGTGAAAATCCATTCTTTAAACAGACTCAAGACCTTAAGCAATATTATTATATACAAAAAGACATCTGTTAAAACTAATCAGGTCCAAAAAGGGGAAAGACATGCACTATGACATCCCCAGGATTACATCTACTTGAACATCCTTACCACCCCAAGATATACACCATTCCTCTGTATTGGACTGCTTTGGCTGTCAGCACCAACAAAAATATTTCCAAAGACTTGCTAAAAAAAAAAAAAAAGCAGCTAAGTTAGTTGCTCTATTCTGATTTTACCAAGCTTTCAGGGATTCAGCCAATTGGCACAGCAAGTCAGCAATACCTGCTTGTAGCTTCAATTTAGCAATCAAAAAAATGACCAAGGGACCGGGCATGGTGGCTCACACAATCCCAGCACTATGGGAAGCTGAGGCAGGCAGATGGCTTGAAATCAGCCCAGCCAACATGGCGAAACCCCATCTCTACAAAAAACACAAAAACTAGCTGGGCATGGTGGCATGTGCCTGTAGTCCCAGCTACTCGAGAGGCTGAGGTGGATCACCTGATCCAGGGGCGGTCAAGGCTGCAGTGAGCTGTGATTGTGCCACTGCACTCCAGCCTGCACGACTGAATGACACTTCTCAAAAAAAAAAAAAAAAAAAAAAAAAAAAGTGGGGGTGGGGTGGGGGTGGTAACATAAAAAATAAAGAATTTGAACTATGAGCTTTTCTCAATACTTCAAAATGTCAATCATATCAAAAATTACTGAAGAGGTTCTATTTATCTATCCTTCAGGCTTTACTCAGAGTCAAATGAATGACCAAGTATGTGACGCATAAGAGCAGATTTTATGAAACGCTTTTGCAACTGCAAAAAATGGCTCTAAGTCGCAAACTGTTGACCATCAGGCCCAACCTCACTCAATTTGAAACAAAAATCACTGTTGTCAAATAGTTCTAAAACACACCAAAACCTAATGAAATTTTTCTTTCTTCTTTTTAAGAGATGAACTCTTCCTGTCACCCATGCTGGAGTGCAGTGGTGCCATCACAGCTCACTCCTAGACTTGAGTCATTCTCCTGCCTCAGCCTCCTGCGTAGCTGGGACTACAGGTGTGCAGCACCACGCCCAGCTATTTTTAATTTTTAGAGATAGGGGCTCAGTAACTTTCTCTTTTTAAAATTTAATTATACAATATGTCCTTAGAACAAACTTTTTCATCCAATTTATATAACGCTACAATATGAAAATATTGCCACCAAATATAAGTGGGTGATACCAAATTTGCCACTTTTCTGCAGTAAAGCTCTCCAATTAGACCGAACAAGATTTTGTTTAATGCTTAAGAATAGTAAATGAAGGCCAGGTGTAGTGGCTCATCCCTGTAATCCCAGCATTTTGGGTGGCCAGGACAGGAGTACTGCTTGAGCCCAGGAGGTCGAGGCTGCAGTGGGTCATGATTGCACCACTGCACTCCAGCTTTAGCGACAGAATGAGACCCTGTCTCAAAAGAGAAAAAAAGTATTAAATGAAATCTTGACACAAACTACTACTTCTATGAATATGGAGGGCATAAAACTAGCTGAAATGAAAAAGAAAAAATTACACATCACTGCCAGGCCCATGAGAAGATAGCTAGAGTTGTAGCTAACAACCAATTAAGAAAAATCGGAAAAGAATACACAATCTAATTAGACCATTAAGAGATTAGATGCCTCTATGAAATGACAGGAAATCAGATTATCCCAAATCAAAGGATGAAAAGGGTTATGAGGGGGAAAACAATGAGTAAAACAAGGTATTTGTGGATGCATGAAGCTTTAGGTTAAACTATATCCTGAAGCATGGATGTAGGTTCTCCCAGTGACAAAATACATAATCGCAGCATATTTTCTTTAGGTTCAGGCAAAATTTTAGTAGGGTACAGCACATAGGTCCTGTAACCCTATCTCAAATCTAACAGTAAGGCCCTTAATCTTAACCCAGTCATTTCAGCCCTCTGAAATTATAAATCTAACTTCTTTAGCTGGCTAGCTTAAAAACTCCCAGATGATATAGAAATAAGCGTACTGACTAGTAAATCTGTCCCTTGGTATAAATCCTTGAGTGATAAAGTGCAGGTGTTTTACATTCATCAGAGAAAATCAGTTTATAGATTAAGGCATCCTAAACAACTGTTCATTGTGATTATTTGACAATTGTGCTTTGTGTCTGGACCTACGAATTTAAATTTAAAGTGCTTTTGAATTTCCAAGTGTATAGTTTTGATTCTCTTTGTGTTTTTTCCTAATATTCCACTGCAGCCAGAAAAGTTATTTTATTATTCTTGGTATTTGCTCAGATTTCCTGTTTTGCTTTTCCCCCTTGGCACATGTTCCCTGTGTGCCTGAAAATAATTATGTATTTTCTAAATTTCAAGTGAATTCTATCAGTCTATAACATTATGCTCATTAGTTGTATCACTCATATTTTACTAATGTTTGGTCATATTCTTACTGTTTGCCTGATCTATTAATTACACAAAGAGGTATTTTTTTTAACTTCCCATATAACTATGGACTTGTCAAGTTCTTGTAATTGTCATTTAGGTTTTATATATATACATATATATATACACACACACTTTTTTTTTTTGAGACAGAGTCTCACTCTATCACCCAGGATGGAGTGCAGTGACACGATTTTGACTTACTGCAACCTCTGCTTCCCAGGTTCAAACAACTCTCCCGCCTCCGCCTCCTGAGTGGCTGGGATTACAGGTGCCCACCACCTTGCCCGGCTAGTTTTTGTATTTTTAATAGAGATGGAGTTTCACCATGTTGACCAGGCTAGTTTCAAACTCATGACCTCAGGTGAACCGCCCGCCTCGGCCTCCCAAAGTGCTGGGATTACAGGTGGGCCTGTTTTCTGTATATATTATTAGGCACACAAAAGTATAGGCCTATGTTCCTGGTGATTTCCTTTTAACATTACGTCTGAACTTTATTTTGGCTAGTAACATAACTTAAAAAAAAAAATCAGCTGGGTGCAGTTGCTCACGCCTGTAATCCCAGCACTTTGGGAGGCTGAGGTGGGCAGATCACAAGGTCAGGAGATCGAGACCATCCTGGCTAACATGGTGAAATCCCGTCTCTACTAAAAATACAGAAAATTAGCCGGACGTGGTGGTGGTGGGCACCTGTAGTCCCAGTTACTCGGGAGGCTGAGGCAGGAGAATGGCGTGAACCCAGGAGGCGGAGCTTGCAGTGAGCCGAGATTGCGCCACTGCACTCCAGCCTGGGCGACAGAGCGAGACTCCATCTCAAAAAAAAAAAATCACCTTTTGGTTGGTGTTTGCAAATTGCTTGAGCTGAGGAGTTCAAGACCAGCCTGGGCAACACAGAAAGATCCTATCTCTACAAAAAATTTTAAAAATTAGCCAGGTAAGGCAGTGTGCACCTGTTGTCAGTCCCCGCTACTCTTAAAAAAAACAAAAACAACAACAACAACAACAAAAAAAACAGAAAAAAGAAAATTCAAAGTCAATGGTTACTTTCTCTCTAAACTCTAATGGATAATTTCATTATTTTCCAGCTTCTTCAAATATTTAATTAGTCTGTTATTAATCATACCACTGCTTCCTATTTTCTCTAGTAGGTTACTGGTACTTCATAACCTGCATTTTTACATCAATGTATCTAGGTATGAATGTTTCATGTTTAAATCTAGTGTTCAATTCAAAATGTTCATTTACTTTGGAAATCAACTATTGATTCTTCCTCCATTTTCTCCTTCTCAATCTCTTATTAGATGTATGACAGGAGTTTTTAATCTATTTCCCATGTTTCTTAATCTTTTTTTGCGGGGGGGGGGGGACAGGGTCTCGCTCTGTTGCCAAGGCTGAAGTGCTGTAGGACAATCACAGCTCACTGTAGCCTCGATTTCCTGGGCTCAAGCAATCCTCCCACTTCAACCTCCCGAGTAGCTGGGATTACACATGCATACCGCCACATTCAGCTGATCTTTTTTGTATTTTGTAGAGATGGGAGTTTCATCACGTTGCCCAGGCTGTTTTCAAACTCCTGAGCTCACGCGATCTACCCACCTCAGCCTCTTAAAGTGCTGGGATTATAGGCATGAGCCACCATGCCTGAAATCTTTCATTTTCATATCTTATCCCCCTGAATTGAATGCTGGAAGATCACATCTACCTTCCACATCTGTGAGATAAGTCACATCCATCATATCTGTAATTCTTTCTTCTGCTAGGTCTGCTATTCCAACTTATTCACTTTTCCTAATTAATTCTAAACGTTTTACTTGATTCTTTTTCAAATCTATGTGGCTTGTTTTATTAACACCTTGATCTTTTTTTTTTTTTTTTTTTTTTGAGACAGAGTCTTGCTCTGTCACCCAAGCTGGAGTGCAGTGTCTCAAACTGCAACCTCTGCCTCCTAGCTTCAACCAATTCTGGTGCCTCAGCCTCACAAGGATCTGGGATTACAGGTTCCCGCCACCTCACCTGGCAATTTTTATACTTTTAGTAGAGATGGGGTTTCGCCATGGTGGCCAGGCTGGTCTCGAACTTCTGACCTCAGGTGATCCACCTGCTTCAGGATCCCAAAGGGCTGGGATTACAGGCATGAGCCACCGCACCCGGCCAACCTTGATCTTAGGGTTGATTCCTTCCTTTAGGTTTATTTTAACAATTTTAAACATAAAAATATTCTCTCAGATAATCTGTTAGAGGCTCTAATCCTATTTGTCATTGACTCTCATTTCAGTGAAATGTTTCCTAAAGCTCTGCAATTTACTATGAACATATCTTTTGCAAGGCTTGCTTTATCTGAAATTCCTTGTGATCTAAACCATGAAATTTCCTCCAGAAAATGTTTTTCAGGTTTTTTTTTTTTTTTTTTTTTTTGAGATAGAGTTTCTCTTGTTCCCCAGGCTGGAGTGCAATGGCGCAATCTCGGCTCACCACAACCTCCGCCTCCCAGGTTCAAGCGATTCTCCTGCCTCAGCCTTCTGAGTAGCTGGGATTACAGGCATGTAGGATGCCTTAATTTTTTAAGTAGAGATGGGGTTTCTCCAGGTTGGTCAAGCTGGTCTCGAACTCTCGACCTTAGGTGATCCACCCGCCTCGGCCTCCCAAAGTGCTGGGATTACAGACGTGAGCCACCACGCCCAGCCGTTCTTCATGTTTTTAACAGAAACACCAAGGGTATTACCAGCCCAGAAACCATTTTTACGTTAATTTGTCTTAAAGTTTCCTGGAGCCTAAACGTCCATGTTACCTTGTCATCTCTTATGTTGGTACTAAGGTTTTTTCCAGTTCATTCCTTCACATAATGTACAGTCCTTTAACTCCATAACACATTAAGTCTAGAATTTATGTTAAGAGTCTCAGTTCCCATTACCTGGCGTTAATGGTCCGTACGTTTTATCTCTGGTCCCTACACAGTTACTTGAGCAATAAAACCCAGGTGTCTAAAAAAGGTGTATGCCCTCCTCTCCAGGGTAGCTGGCAAGTTAGCTCTTTGCCTGCCATGCTGGCTCCTACTTCATTTTTGGCACTGGGGGTTTGTCCTTTCTTAGTTTTTCCATTTTTTTAAATCTTTGTAGATAGATTTTCAAGTTAATCGTGGTCTGCCACACTGCCAGAATGAGAAGTTATCTTGACTTTGTAATTTTTATGTGTGTAACTGATTTGAATTCGTTAAGGTGTTAGCTAATTCACGTTGTAAACAGTATTTGAATGTTAGACTCTGACTTATAATTTCTACAATTTTGATTTATTGATTACTTCAGTGCTTATACTTTATTAGGTTTTTTGGAGTGGTTGAGTCAATTTGATATATTAAATTTACATGTGTAGTCTGGAATGTTTAAAGGACTTAACTAAAATTATTAATGGCATTAGTTGTTTTGGGGGATTTTAATAAACATTCATCAAAGAACAAGTCAAAAGCATTATTTTTACACAAAGTCAAAGGTATTATTTTTATACACTTATTACAAAACATATAAATAGTATACCAAGCCTAAGAATATAAAGAGTCTAGCTTTAATTAATTGAATGTTAATTTAAAAACAAGCGTCTAGTAAGTAGCCCTTTTCACACACCGAAAAGCCAATTTCGTATTTTAAAAAATACTCGAACTACAAAATAACAAATATCTGGTGTCTTAGTAACTTGAAGATCAATACTAATGATTAAGCCAGCTTATATGCTTATATGATACATGAAAAAGCCTGTATTTTACAAATAGCAAACCACTAAAACTTCGACTTTCCACAGAAGCCATTGTTTTATATCAATAATTATGTTAAAGATCAAGACAGGCTAAAAGTTTTTAATGAGGACTGAAACCATTAAAACTTGGTAAATTTCTCCACGAGGGTAGAATTTTAATTTCTGTTTAAACCACGGGTAGATGATACACTCTTGTGAGGGTGTACTATAAGAACTTCTAAGGAGCTTTATCAGACTTCATCCCAAATTACGTACCTAGAAAAAGATGTACCAATGTCTACTTTGGAATAAGAAATTATTTCTTGTTTGAGCAAGGATTAAGCAGAAACTGAAAGAAGTGCAGTTTATAGCCTCTTATATGAAGTAGATGGGCACCCCTCAAAAACAAATCAATATCCTGGCTCCTTAAATATCAACATTAATCTAAGTAATGTATAGCATGCTCCTGTCCAAAGGTTCCCGCTAATTTGTAGTCTTCTCAGATCGATGCTTCATTTTAGTCACACATTTCTATCCTGCAAGACCGGGTACCTGGGTTTTTTGTCTAGTTTTATAACACTAGGCAGGTTTGGCCTTACTCAAAATATAAGACTGCAAAATGCCTGTTTCACCTCAACCACACGGTTTCAGGAAATGTTCTGTATTTCCAGCAGAAAACTGGTATCTAACTCTCATGATGGTTTCTAGCAAGTGGATAGACACCTGGGTCTTTGCGGCCCGTGATGCAGCCTAACAATAGAGGACCCTGTGTGAACAGCTAGATCTGCTAAATCAAGAGGACATCCATGTTCTAGACTTTTTATTCTGGTTTAGCAGGATCCAAACTGGTTGTCCTGAAGAGACTAATGCCTCTCTTTCTCTTCCACACAATGGGTGGCCTCTGCCAAGTTAACTGCTTCGTGGGGGGAAAAAAGATTGCCTTTCCTTTGGTCTGCATGTTTTAAGGTAAATGCCACATACACCTACAGGAGCTTATCAATAATAGATAGACAAGGCTCACTTTCAAACTCTTTCAGGAGATAAACTGGTGGGGAAGACGAATGGCAGGAGGGTGAAGAGGAAGCTAAATTACTATGCAAACACCCCCAACTCAAATCCAGGTGGTTACTGCAGAGTGAATAACGATAAGTACGATTTCGTGTAAGGCAACGTCCTTTGAAAGGGCTCCCAGAGCGTCAAGGCCCCCACCTGATGAATGGGTGAGTCAGGCAGGCCCAGCTCCACTTCGAGGATGGGAAAACTGAGGTACGAGGCGGCGAGATGACTGGCCCGAGGCCTCGCTGAAAGATCCGAGGCGGAGCGGAGAACCAGAAGCACCGCTTCTCTCAGGCTGATGCTCTAATCTCGGCTCCCCCCGCCCCTACGATGGCGTAGACGGCCTCCGCCCCCCGACTCACACACACCCTCCCCCGGGAACGGCAAGTCTCCTCGGGTTCCAAGGACAGGGTCAAAAGACAAGAGGCCCGAGGCGCTCCCGCCGTGATTTGCAGCCGGGGAGCCATTGGGAGCGTGCGTGCCTCCAGTTCAACATGGCGGCGGCAGCGGCCGCCCCCCCACCCCAAGCCTCCCTCAGGGCCGGAGGCTTCTCCTCAGGGCCCTCCGGTGGGCGGGAAGACAGCCCAACCCCGCCAGGACCTTCTCGTCGCTGCCGCTGCTCGCTGAAGAAGTCACCTACCCGACATGACTAACGGCCGCGGCGCGGAGGCCCCACAGCCCGCCGAGAACAACGAATACGAAAGCCAGGCGGCGCGGCGGCCGGAGCTGTACTGAGGGCGGCGCGGCGGGCTGAGGCGGACTGCGGGACCCCGGCAGCCAATCAGCGGGCAGCGGGTGGTACCACAAAGCTGCGGCAGGAGGGATGTTTCTGCACTGGTACTAGCCGCCGAGCCCTGAGGCCTTCCCAGGGCCCTCTATTCCCCCCTCCGCTAGCCGTACCATTATTGAGAGGGAATTGAGAAGAGAAAGTACCAATGCCACGATCACGATCGGGGAGGAAGTGGAACCTACTTGCTCCGTCTTATTTACAATCCTATTTCTCACTTTATTGGGTGTGATGGAATTTGCGGTTAGGAAACGAAAGAGGAGGGACCTTATAAACACAGAGTATTTGGTTATGCAAAGCCTTTCTTTCCCTACAATTTCGAATGGTACGTCCTAGCTGGCGGCTTTTGCTGCAGAGTGCTTGGGCCACCTGGGGGCGTTCGGAGTCGGCGAGCTCTGGGACTGTGAGTCGTGACCAGCTCGCGTACCTGATCGCTTCCCGGTTTGTTGTAACTGTCTCGCCGAGTAGCAAACAAGGATGCTGGAAGAAAAGGGTACATTAAAACGAAATCGTACACGAATCTGACCCTGAGAATGTGGCGGGGCGGAGGGATCGAGCTTTAATTTTCAGCACTATAATAATAGCTGACTCTTAATTGTCAGGCACCTTACATCATCTCATTTAATTCTCACAACAGACTGATGAAATATTTTCCCCATGTTGCAGATGAGAAGACAGAATTCATTTGACCTAGGTCGTACAGCTAGTAAACGGCCAAGGTGGAATTTGAAGCCTGGTAACCCAACGATATATTGCATATGAGTTTAACCAAAATGCTGCACGGCCCAGCGGGGTGGGCCCAAGGCCGCTTGGGCTCTGCAGCAGGAAACGGGCTGGAAAAGCTCAGAGAGCCAGCAAAGACGTTTTCCGGGAAGGCATGGTATCTGAGCCAAACCCTAGGTGTTGTGCAGAAGTTGACCGAGTAAAGAAGTGAGCAAAGTACTTTGCAGACTAGTTGTGTAACAAGTAGTTCTTCAAGGGGAGAGTAGAAGGAGATGATGCCCGAAAAGGAGGGGGCTAAATAGCTGGGGCCTTGTCAAATGCATTAGAGTTCCCACTTTATCTTGGAGGAAATGAGAACCACTCACCAGAGGATTTTATAGGAGAGGAGTAATATCAGATTTGTATTTTCTGGCTGCCAAATGAAAAATGCACGGGGATGAGAGGCGCTTAAAAGCAGAGACCAATTAGGTGGCCAGTGCAGTAATTTTGGTGAGAGATGACAGTGCCCTGGACTTAGGTAGTAGCTCTGGAGACAGAGGTAAGTGAAGCGATCTCAGAGATACCCCGGGGTAGACTAGACAAGAGCTGGTGATCACCTGGGTTGGAGAGGGTAGTGGAGAGAGAAGAGTCTGGGGTGAATTCTGGGTTTCCTGCGTAGACACGGGGGCCGGGTGGTAGTGTCATTGACTGTGATAGGGAACAAAAGGAGGAGCAGGTTGCAATGGAGGTGAAAAGGGAAGTTCAGAGTTAATACCTTCAGGTCAGAAAAAAGACGTGAGGTCATCTCTCCCCATTATACCAGCAGTGATTGTGCCCTCAACTCTAGATAAAGAGGGTCACAGAACGCTCTAGATAAGTTCCAACAAGCAAGACTAAAGGAGTGAAAATTATTTCATGACTAAAAACCATTAAACTGTTTAGCATATATATTGAGGAAGGCAGCTCAGCAGAGAAGATGGGCATGTCCAACAGAAGAGAATTGGGTTATGGAGGGGAGGGGAAGAGGTAATTCTAGAAGATCCCTAAAGGGACCTAGAGGGTTGTTCTTTTTTATTTATTTTCTTTTTTTGAGAATTTTTTTCAAAGAAGGAAATACCAAAAGTGTTACTCATCGACTCCTTAAGTTTGTACCACCATTTATTCATTCACTCCTCCTTCAATTGCCATCTCTGGAGGTTTACTATGTGACAGGCTCTGGAAGGCCTTGGAGAGACAGAAATAGGAAGGAGAGCCTCTGCCTTCCAGGAACTACAGTCTCATAACAGGAACAGTGTGAACCTGTGATTTCTTTTTTTTTAACTTTTATGTTAGGTTTGGGGGTACATGTGAAGGTTTGTTACACAGATAAACACATGTCACAGGGATTTGTTGTACATATTATTTCATCACCCACATATTAAGCCCAGTACCCAATAGTTATCTTTTCTGCTCCTCTCCCTCCTCCCACCCTCCCCACTCAAGTACACCCCAGTGTCTGTTGTTTCCTTCTTTGTGTTCATAAATTCTCATCATTTGGCTCCCACCTATAATAAGTGAGAATATGCAGTATTTGGTTTTCCGTTCCTGTTAGTTTGCTAAGGAGAATAGCCTCCAGCTCCATCCATGTTCCAAAAAGTTTCTTGTTGTCTTCATACTATTTGTTTCTGTATTTGTCTTCCCCTACTAATGTACCAACCCTCACACCATTTGTCCTGATAAAATTCTGTAGATAGTCTCAGAGGCTGCGTGTCTGCTGACCTGCTGCCACCCGTGCATCAGGACCTGCACTAACTCTATCTTGTCCTGCCAAACCTGTGATTTCAATCAACTGCTGGATGTGCTAGGATTGGAGGATGCAGAGTGCGCTCTGAAAACACAAAAGAAGGGCACCTTGCCCACATGAAGGATGGGGGGTATCAAAGAGGGCTTCCTGTGGGAGGTGCCCCCTAAACTGAACTTTGAAGAAAGTACAGGAATTAGGCAGCGAGGATATACCAGGAACATCATGCTCCAGGCAGAAAGGGTTGTATTTGCAAAGACTGGGAGAGAGCAAAGTTCTGGGAATTGCAAGTGGTTCAGTCTGGCTGGTCTATGGAGTTGCAGGAGTGAGGAGTTGTAATAAATGGAGTGAAAGAAGTAGGCAGAAGCCACATTCCAAAGAGCCATGTGTGCCTTACAGAGGAGTTTGAACATTAAATTTAAAACAATGGGGAACTTCTGAGGAATGTAATCAAAGGACTAACATTTTCTATATCCATTATTTCTAGAATGGGCCTATGAAACAGGTAGTGCTGCTATCCACATTTGGTCAATTAGGACACTGCAGCTCAGGGAGGTGAAACTCTTGAGCAAATTCACACAGCTGATGAGAACTCATACCCAGGCCTTTGGACAATGCTCAGTGTTCTTTTCACAGTGTCGCTGTTCTCCCACACTGGGATACAAAGAACTCCTCCCAGGTCTGCATTGCTCTGGGGCCTCTTTCCAAGGGTCCTTCTCTACCACAGACTGACTCCTGTGCCCTCCTGCATTCCAGGTCTTTGCCTGGAAATGATTCCATTGCAAATGGTTATCTGCAACAAACTTAAGCCATCACCCAGGCATTTTTTTTTTTTTTTGAAACGGAGTCTCACTCTGTTGCCCAGGTTGGAGTGCAGTGGCGTGATCTTGGCTCTCCGCCTCCCGGGTTCAAGCAATTCTCATGCCTCAACCCCCCAAGTAGCTGAGATTACAGGTGTGGGCCACCACAATCAGCTAATTTTTGTATTTTTAGTAGAGACAGGGTTTCATCATGTTGGTTAGGCTGCTCTCAAACTCCCGACCTCAGGTGATCTGCCCGTCTGGATCTCTCAAAGTGCTGGGATTACAGGCTTGAGCCACTGCGCCCGGCAATCACCCAGGCATTCTTCATGCTGCAAGATCCTGCTCCCTCTACATCCTCCCTCCTGGCCTCAGGCTGCATATTTAGGGAAGACAGCAGGTACATTTTTACACATCAGCTTTAGCAGAATGTATCTGAGAAGGTCTCCAGGCCGAGCGCAGTGGCTCACTCACACCTGTAATCCCAGCACTTTGGGAGGCCGAGGTGGTCAGATCACCTGAGGTCGGGAGTTCGAGACTAGCCTGACCAACATGGTGAAACCCTGCCTGTACTAAAAATACAAAATTAGCCGGGCGTGGTGGCGCATGCCTGTAATCACAGCTACTTGGGAGGCTGAGGCAGGAGAATTGCTTGAAACTGTGAGGCAGAGGTTGCAGTGAGCCGAGATGACATCATTGCACCCCAGCCTGGGCAACAAGAGCAAAACTCCGCCTCAAAAAAAAAAGAAAGTCTTGGTACTGGGCCTGTTGGCCCTGGATCCATTCTTCCTGTCCTCACAGGGGAGCAGACCCCTACAGAGTTGCCTTGTTTCAGTTTCAGAAAGTCCCTCTGGTGGTATCTTTCAGCTTGAATTGGCCGAGGGGAGACGTGGTGGGAAATTAGGTGGAAGAAGAGAGGAAGAAAGGAAAGAAGAGGGTTATCTTTCCCCCTCCCACTCTGCCTCAGGGAAGTCTCAGAGCTCCAGTTTCCATTGGTGACCCCGGCTCCTTGGCCCTAGTAACCTGCCTCCTCCCTCTGTCCCCCCACCTACAGCTTATAGTCTTCTTGCTATTGATCATTTCTGAGTTGCCTCCATCCCCTGCTTGGCTTCCCCAACCTTTCTACCAATGGTATAGGACCTTGTAAGGACATTGTAAGGTTTCACTTAGAGTGAGAGGGGAAACCATTAGAGGGAGCCATTTGAACAGAGAGGCCCAGCAGGATCTGAACTGCTTTACCAGGATTACTCTGCCTGCTGTTTAAAGCATAGACTCTAGAGGGCAGGGAAAGGTTATTGCTCTGACCAAAGTAAAAACCAGACCATGATGATTTTTTGCCTTTTTTGAAATCCTCTGGAACTCACAGTTGTACTGCATAATTCAAGGCTTGCATGCTTTGCCTGTTTGCTCTCTAGTTGGGTTGCATAATTCCTTTCTGAATGTCCAGTGCCCAGCACAATGCCTGAAACAGTAGGCTTTTTTTTTTTTTTTTTTTTTTTTAGACAGAGTCTCACTCTGTCACCCAGACAGTGCAGTGGCACGATCTCAGCTTACTGCAGCCTCCGCCTCCCAGGCTCAAGGGATTCTCCTGCCTCAGCCTCCCAAGTAGCTGAGATTACAGGCATGTGCCACCACACCTGGCTAATTTTTTTTTTTTTTTTTGAGACGGAGTCTCACTCTTGTCACCCAGACTGAAATGCAATGGCTCGACCTCCGCTCACTGCAACCTCTGCCGCCCGGGTTCAGCCTCAGCCTCCCGAGTAGCTGGGATTACAGGCTTCTGCCACTGTGCCCGGCTAATTTTTGTATTTTTAGTAGAAACGGGGTTTCACCATTTTGGCCAAGCTGGTCTTGAACTCCTGACCTCGTGATCCATCCACCTCGGCCTCCCAAAGTGCTGGGATTACAGGCGTGAGCCACCTCGCCCGGCCAATTTTGTATTTTTAATAGAGACGGGGTTTCACCATGTTGGCCAGGCTGGTCTCGAACTCCTGGCCTCAAGCGATCCGCCTGCCTTGGCGTCCCAAAGTTACATTACAGGCATGAGCCACCACGCCCAGTCCAACACTAGCATTTTTTTTTTTTTTTTTTTTTTTTTTTTGAGACGGAGTCTCGCTCTTTCGCCCAGGCCGGAGTGCAGTGGCGCTATCTCGGCTCACTGCAAGCTCCGCCTTCTGGGTTCACGCCATTCTCCTGCCTCCGCCTCCGGAGTAGCTGGGACTACACGGCGCCCGGCTAATTTTTTTTTTTTTTTTTTAGTAGAGACGGGGTTTCACCGTGTTAGCCAGGATGGTCTCGATCTCCTGACCTCGTGATCCGCCCGCCTCGGCCTCCCAAAGTGCTGGGATTACAGGCGTGAGCCACCGCGCCCAGCCCCAAGACCTAGATTTTTTAAAAAATTGTTCATGAGTTTCTTCTCAGGTTGACTTCCCTCTGCTATCCTTTCCTTTCCTCTTCTCTGCATGAAGGTGGCTCTTCCTTGGCTCCCTACAGGCTGTGGGTCCATGCAGAAAACACCCCAGGGACCTATCCCTATGTCCTGTATGTCTAATGAGTTCCTGGAGGTCTGGGTCTCCCAGGTTCCCCCTCCATCTCTTGAGTCTTGGGGGCTGTGCGTCCCTCCATGTCTCTCCCCCACGAGTGGCAAGAGGGCTACACCTACATGCTGAGAGCATCCACTGCTGGTCTCTAATGCAAATTTGTGAATAACCTACTGGAAAATGTTTGAGAAGCAGCAAGAGTTTATTAATTTTATCAGTCTTTCCAATGACTCATTTTGACTTTGATGATTTTCTTTTTCTTAGTCTGTTTTCTGTTTCAGTGAATAACAATCTTATTATTTTCTTTCTTCTGTTTCCTTTGGGTTCAGTTTCCTCAACTCTTCCTAGCTTCTTAAGGTGGAAGCTTCATTCTTTTATTTTACACCTTTCTTCTTTTTGAATAGAAGCATTGAACGCTACAGATTCTCTTCTAAGTGCTGCTTTAGCTTCATAATGCCGTAGTTTTTCATGTGACAGGTTTTCATCATTCAGTTATTTTCTAATTTCCCTGGTGATTTCATCTTTGTCCCACAGATTATTTAGAATTACATTCTTTATTTACAAATATTTGGGGGGGTTAAATATCTTCTTGTTAATGATTTCTAATCAAATTCCATTATAGTCAGAGAATATACTTGGTATTATTTTGATTCTTGAATATTTATTGAGACTTGTTTCTTGGGCCAGCATACAGTGTATCTTGGTGAATGTTCCATGTGTATATGAAAAAGAATATGTATTTTTCACTTGTTGGGTGTAATAACCTATAAATGTCGGTTAGGTCCATTTGGTTCATTGTGTTAAGATTTACATATCCTTATTGATTTCTGTTTATTTAGCAGTTATTAAGAGTTGGGTACTAAAATCTCCAGATATGATTGGGAAGTTTTTGTTTCTCCCTTTAGTTCTTTCAATATTTGCTTCATGTATTTTGAAGTTCTTATATTCATTTAAGACTATGATATCTTCTCGATGAGTTGATCCTTTTATTAGGAAATCTCTCTCTTCTTCTTTAGTAGTATTCTTTTTCTTGAAGTATACTTTGTCTGATATTAATACAATTTTCTGATGCTTACTATTTGCATGGTGTACCTTTTTCTTTCTTTCTTTTTTTTTGAGACAGAGTCTTGCTCTGTCCTCCAGGCTGGAGTGCAGTGGCACAATCTCTGCTCACTGCAAGCTCCGCCTCCCGGGTTCACGCCATTCTCCTGCCTCAGCCTCCTGAGTAGCTGGGACTACAGGCGCCCGCCACCACGCCTAGCTAATTTTTTATATTTTTAGTAGAGACGGGGTTTCACCGTATTAGCCAGGATGGTCTCGATCTCCTGACCTCATGATCCACCTGCCTCGGCCTCCCAAAATGCTGGGATTACAGGCGTGAGACACCGCGCCTGGCCCAACACTAGCATTTTTAAAAAGGAAAAAACAATGGCATGTAATAAATGAATAAATAAATGGGGGAAAAAAAGAGCATGACTTGTCTTTCTGTCTCGTCTTTAAACTCCTCAAGCTCAAAGGCCTTATCTAGGACTTCCTTATGTCTCTCATGGGGCACAGAGTAAGTGTTCAGTGAGTGTTTGTTGAAAGAACGACAACCACCTGGTGCCAATTGCCACAGGCAGTGTGTAGCTGTTGTCACCACCCCACTCCCACCCCAGTGGAGGCGTCCCTGAAGCCCTTCTCCCCTGGCCTTCCTAGAGAGCGGCCCTGCCAGGGTGATTACTCTGAGGCTCCAGTGCAGGAGAGGGAGGCTCCTTGTAAATGACCAGGCTACCCCGTCCTCCCAACAGTGGCAGGCGCTTCCTGTTTGGGTAGAAAGGAACCAGACACTTTCCTGTTAGCAGGTCTTTTAAGCAAAGCAGCAGATGCTGAGCAGGTCCTGGCCCAGGCTTTCAGGCCAGATGCCTGGTGGTTAGACAGCCTTTATGTGGAAGGGAAGTGGGGCACAGCGCCAGATTGGCCAGGCTTTTATTGTGCTCCTTGCAAGTCTGCTGGGTCCTGGTGTGAGTAAAAAACAAGAAGAGGATGACGCCCTGCTAGACCATGATGAGAGTTAGGGAAGATGGGGCTGCTCTGAGACACAGATCATTGCCAGGAGCGGAGGTGCTCGTGTGACTGTCCTGGGGCAGGTTTGTGTATGTCATTTGGATGTAAGCGTGCTCCAGTGTGAACCTGTGCACAGAATGCATGACTGTGCTTTCAGGTCTGTGCACCCAATATCCAGCACTTTGCAGGATTTAACACTTTCTTTCTTTCTTTCTTTCTTTGAGATGGAGTTTTGCTCTTGTTGCACAGGTTGGAGTGCAATGGCGTGACCGTGGCTCACCGAAACCTCCGCCTCCCGGGTTCAAGCGATTCTCCTGCCTCAGCCTCCCAAGTAGCTGGGAGTACAGGCATGCACCACCATGCCTGGCTAATTTTGTATTTTTTTTAGTAGACATGGGGTTTCTCCATGTTGGTCAGGCTGGTCTCGAACTCCTGACCTCAGGTGATCCTCCCGCCTTGGCCTCCCAAAGTGCTGGGATTACAGGTGTGAGCCACCGCACCTAGCCAAATTTTTGTATTTTTAGTACAGACGGGGTTTCACCATGTTTTTCAGGCTGGTCTCGAACTCCTGATCTCAAGTAATCTGCCCTCCTTGGCTTCCCAAAGTGCTGGGATTACAGGCTTAAGCCACCGCGCCCAGCCGGATTTAGCACTTTCTAATTGTCTAGCTTGTTCCGCATTGCACACGGGATAGCAGAAAAGGCAGGAATTATTTTCCTCCCATTTTATAATGGCAGAAACTCAGAGAGGTTAGTTGACTTGCAAAAGTCACAGAGAATGTGAAAAAGTTGAGATTCAAACTCAGGTTTATCTTGCTCCAAATTTCTTACTTTTTCCAGTCCCGTATGAGCATATGTGTACACGTACGGGGGAGCAGACAGTGAGGTATGCCTGTGAATGGGACCCAGACTGCTGAGACCATATCCCCACGTGCCAGAGAGAGGACATTTCCCTTCCAGAGGCAGAGATGGTTGCTAGAGTCAGGGCTTCTGGAATTGAATCACAGCTAAAAATGCAGAGGCTATGCTCAAAAATGAATTTAAATTATCACGGCAAAAGTCCTCACAACTCAGGAAGGCCTCCTCTTCAGCTCTCCCAATCTAACATCATGTCCTCATTATTCTGCTAATTATTCCTCTGCTTATGTGTTTGAGGTTGGTCTCTTGAGTGCCTGTCCCCAGAGCCCAGAATTCTTCCTGAGAAAATCTACATTGTGTTCCACACACTTCCTGGGGAGGAGGAAGGGGCAGAGACAAAGCTGATTGTTCCACATATTACAAAGAGAGAAACTGAGGCCCAGAGGAACCTTGTCCAGGCTCACACATCCTGCCTGATTCAAGAGGTCCTGCTGTTGTCTTCTGTCAGAGCAGGAGGAATGGCTGGGAAGCAGCCACTGCCAGACACTCCCCTGGGCAGGCAATGTGCCCAGGCCCTGGCATGAATTCCACAGAATCCTGTCCACTCTGGGAGTGCTGGGAGGCACTGTGGATCTAAGCCAAGCCCCAGTGCAGAGAGAGGGAGGGAGGAGAAGCAGCTCTCTTTGAAGAGGAGCTGTGAAGAGAACTACCATCCAAGCTGGGTCAGGAATCTGCTCAGCCAAAACAGGGAGAAAAGGAAGGAGAGAAACAGACCCTGGGAAAACCTATCTTCCTCCTGGAAGCTGGTATTTACTAATTAGTAATTCAGTAGGTCTGGAGTAGGGGTCTGGAATCTGAATTTTTCAGGTGATTCAATGCAAGTGATCTAAGAATCATATTTTATAAATTTGACTTGAGGTAAGATAGTGTAGTATTTATAGGCCCTAGATCTGGAGTTATAGCATCCAGGTTGAATTACAGTTTCCATTATAAGATTTGTGGCCGGGTGCAGTGGCTCATGCCTATAATCCCAGCACTTTGGGAGGCTGAGGCAGGTGGATCACCTGAAACCCAGAGTTTAAGACCAGCCTGGCCAACATGGCAAAACCCCGTCTCTACTAAAAATACAAAAAAAATAGCCAGGCGCATTTGCGGGCGCCTGTAATCCCAGTTTCTTGGGATGCTGAGGCAGGAGAATTGTTTGAACCTGGGAGGTGGAGGTTGCAATGAGCTGAGATCACACCATTGCACTCCAGCCTGGGCGACAGAGCGATACTCTGTCTCAAAACAAAAAAACGAGAAACCGTTATAAGATTTGTGACTCTGGACAAATGATACAATCTCTCTGTGCCTCAGTTTCCTCATCTTTAAAATTAGGATGCTTGTAATAGTAGCTTTCTCATAAGGAAGTTGCAAAGAGTCAATGACATGATTTATGTAAAGCACATTAGCACATATGTGGCCCATGTTAATTTCTCAACAGTATTAATCACTATCATTTGTTCCAACTCCTCATTCCCATCCCCACACCCACTCCTACCAGAGTAGGAAATAATGGTATTGGATTAACATAGGGACTTGCCACCACAGTATTCTTTTGGATGTGGGTAATCTTTGGGTCATGGTTTGAGAATCCCTGATCCAAAGCCATTCTCCAGTCACTCTCCAGATTCCCTTGCTATGAACTGAGTCTCTTCTCAATAAACTGCCCCGATTTCATCTTCCTTTTCTCCTTGGACCCCCTCCCATCCTCCCAGCATCCACACAGCAAGCTGCTGCCCACCCTCCCCACCCCATCCAAAGTGATTTTGGCTCAGGATGTGTACTAGACATGAAAACATGCAGCAAGTCACACTTGTGGGGCTTCACAGGCCCCTGGATTTTGAAGATCACAGAATTTGGTGCTCTGGGATTTATGAGTAATCTTCAGAGGAAGAAGGGAACCGGAACCTCCTGCTGCCCAAATTCAAACCATGGAAATATGTTATCTTCCCGGGAAAGAGACATCCTACGCAAAGGCAGGGTTGAAGCCCAGGGTAAGCATATGGGTGGAGAAAGCTTTGTTCTGCATAAATTCTTGCAGGCAGTTTCAAGTCTGGATGGCACTTCAAGGTGACCACAAGCAGAGATGGCATAGGGAGAGGAAAGGATGGGATGAAATAATCCAACCAAGAACACAAAAGGAAAATAGAGAAAGTCAACTTTCAAATGCACAGTGGTGCTAGTTTGAGGGGTTCAGGGACCAGAGCTAGGCTGGGATGCAGAGAGAGTCAGGATCAGCTTTCCAAGTGGCCAAGCTTGTCTCCTCCCAGACATTCAGCCCTCCAGAGAACCATGACTTCTCCTCTTACCGTCTCTTCCCAGTGAAGCTGAAATGGAGAACCTCTGGGATGTGACACAGACATAGTGTGTCTCACTATGTTGGCCAGGCTGGTCTTGAATTCCTGGGCTCAAGTGATCCTCCCATCTTGGCCTCCTGAAATGTTGGGATTACAGGTGTGAGCCACCGCACTCAGTCAGAATAGACATTTTAGAGCAGGCATTCCCAGCCAGAATAAACATTTTAGAAACAGGCATTCCTGGCCGGGCGTGGTGGTGTGTCCTGTAGTCTCAGCTACTCCGGAGGCTGAGGTGGGAGGATGGCTTGAGCTTGAGAGGTCAAGGCTGCAGTGAGCCCTGATTATGCCACTGTACTCCAGCCTGAGAGTCAGAGCAAGACCCTGTCTCTAAAGAACGAAATAAAAAGAAACAAAATAAAAAGAAACAGGCATTCCTTTGAGGGAGACTAATTGGAAACAGGTCCTGTTCACCTTCCAACCAACCAATGAAAAAGGGGCATCCATCCTGGGCATACCAATTTTAAAAAGGCACTTCTCTGGGCAGACCAATGAGAAAAAGGATGTGCAGACGCATCCCCGTCAGGGAGCCTCAAGATTTCTGGAGTTGAGGATGGATCTCTTTGCCATCTATGTCCCCTCTTTGAGGATGCCCTCTGCACATTCATAAGAAGCATCCCTGCCTGGGTTGGTGCCCCAGAGGTAGTGGACATGAAGCTGGCCTGCCCCTTGCTCTTAGAGAGCTTCCAGCCTTGTCAGGTAACTAGTAGGAAGGTCCTCCTTCCTTCTGCGAGGTGGGCGTGGCAGTGCATGCCTGTAGTCCCAGCTGCTCAGGAGGATCGTTTGAGGCCAGGAGTTTGAGGCCAGCATGGGCAACACAGCAAGACCCTGTACTCAACCCATATCCCCCCAAAAAGAACAGACTGTAACACAGCGGCTGATTCAATCAAAACCCTGCAGTGGACCTTGGGGAGGGAGCTTCTGAAGGAGAGTGAGATAGTATTACTAGATTTAGCAAATAAAAATACAGGACTCCAGTTAAACTTGAATTTCAGATTAATGAATATTTTAAAAAGTAACTGGGTGCTATGCAATATTTGGGACACTTATACTAAAAAATTATTCATCATTAATCTGAAATTCAGGATTAATTGGGTATCCTCTGTTTCATCTGGCAACCTTAGAAAGAGAGAAAGCAAGAGAGAGAGAGAGAGTGTGTGTGTGTGTGTGTGTGTGTGTGTGTGTTTGTAGTTACAGGTATGGCATGATATATGGTGGCTTTTACCAGTAGATGGATTTTGACAGGCCGGATAGCCCTGCTTTGGGCAGGGAGCTCTGATGATCATCAGTTGGTAAGGACACTGTGGAACAAGCTGGAGTCAGACCTAGGTTTGCCAATTCTTTCTCCAGGCAGAATCTTTCCATCCCTTCTTCTATAAAACATTAAAAAATTAGCTGGGTACAGTGACACATGCCTGCAATCCCAGCTACTCAGGAGGCTGAGATGGGAGGATTGCTTGAGCCTTGAAAGTCAAGGCTACGGTGAGCTGTGATTGTGCTACTGCACTCCAGCTTGGGCGACAGAGCAAGACCCTGTCTTAAAAATACATATGTACATATATACACACATAAAATGTCTATTAAAAGGGCTTTTTCCAATTCCTCCACACAAGTGGTGTATTTTTCTAAATAGTACAAAAAC
Organism: Homo sapiens; assembly: GCF_000001405.40. Lineage (NCBI taxonomy): Eukaryota > Metazoa > Chordata > Mammalia > Primates > Hominidae > Homo > Homo sapiens. The sequence goes on along the minus strand of NT_187614.1, from coordinate 31,198 downwards.
GTTGTGTGATACCGAGGCCCTGAGCCTTAGGGTTGGAACACAGCATTATTTTTGTTCAGCACTTTAGGGATTCTAGATTATTTTTACACACATTAACTCATCTAATCCCACAATGACCCCCAGAGCTCAGTATCATTTTCCATTTGCATTTTACAATGTAGTGAATTGGGTAGAAGTGAGACAGCAACCAGCTCTCAGTTACACAGACAGATAATGAAAATAGTTTACTTTTTGCTCAATATGAGTTTAGCAAAGGCTTTCACGTAAACCGTTTCACTCCAACCTTATGGGGTATATAAAATCAGGCACTTTACACTCATTTTCTCTTTTCATCCTCATGCAACGCTGGGCACTAAATATCGTATGCTGTCATTTTATTGATGAGGAAACTGACGCTCGAAGTAGTTAAATCCTTTGCCAAAGATCACACAGCTGCAGCCTGCCCCTTATTAAGTGCACACTTCGTGATGCCATGCACCCTGTTCAGTAATTTACAGGCGTTATTATCTCCCCAACAGTCACAGAATATCGGTATTCTTATTATCCCATTTACTGATGAGAAAAGTGGGTTCAGAGAGGGTGAGTGACTGGTCCAAGACCACACAGCCAGCAGGTGGCTGAGGCAGGACTCAAAGGGCTAGCAAAGGAGCAAGTCTGGAACTCAAACCCAGTTCTGACTCCAGCTCTGTGCTGCTTCTCTCGCACCCCGACCCTGGGTGGGGGCCTCGCTCCCCACCCAGCTGAAACAATCAACGACCCTCTGGTAGACCAGGACCTCTCTTCATCGAAGTCTTAGGTAGCCACGCTTGCCAGGAGAAGGCCTTTCTTCCTTCACCCTCCCTGGACAGATCCGGGTCAACTGGAGGTGGCGGGCGAGAGGACCGATCCGCAGGGCGGTGGCGGGCGCAGGGCGAGGCTGTGCAGCGAACGGAAGAGGCTCCGGGACCGCCTCGCGTTCCAGCAGCGGCGCGGGGTGGGTGGGGCGGGAGTGCCGGGCCTCCGCCCCCTCCGCCTGCCTTTCCTTCCTCCCTCCCTCGGTCCCCGGGGCCGGCGGACCCGCGGGCAGGCACTGCCCGGGCTGGACGACGTCTGGCCGGCTCCCGGCGAAGGGCAGCGGAGGAGCGGCCCAGAGCGCGCAGCTAGGGCACTGGCGAAACCCCGGGACAGTCCCTCTCCGTGCGGGGGCGGCGCAGAGCAGTCCCATCCCCGGGGTCCCGGGCGCGGCTGACTGCCGGCTGGTTCCCTGCGCGCAGTAGCTCCCCGAGCCGGGCTGCACCGGAGGCGGCGAGATGGTCGCGCGCGTCGGCCTCCTGCTGCGCGCCCTGCAGCTGCTACTGTGGGGCCACCTGGACGCCCAGCCCGCGGAGCGCGGAGGCCAGGAGCTGCGCAAGGAGGCGGAGGTACGCCGTGTGTACCTGGCGGAGAGCGGTGCGTGTGCTTGAGACCTGTCAGAACTCGGCAGTCAGGCCACCCGGCAGTCCCCTGTGAGCAGACAATCTGCGTTACCCTACCCCTGTCCTCCGCCCCCTTCGCACTTGAACATAAAGAGCCGGGCAGTTTTTTCCCCGTGCCAGGCTGGAACCACACAGGCACGCGGATCCGCACTGATGGGCTGGGGTGGGTGCAGAGACGAGACCGGACAGACGGGCAAGAGCCCAGAGGGGACATCCTACCCTAGTTTGGCACGGGGCCACTCTCCCTCACCACCTAGGCTGGGGAGAATGAGGTTCATTCGTCGGATGCCCCCGAACCGTGTGGAAGCCTCAGTTTGGTGCTGTGGAGAGGGTACCGCTGGCTGGCCGGGACGCGGGACACAGCGCTGGCTTCCTGGCCGGGGACCGCCGCTGACCTGCTTGGGCAAGCCATTTAAACTGCTCAGAACTAGTTTTTCTGTCTGTAAAATGGGCAAGAGTAGTATACTCTCAAGAGTTGCTTCTAAGGAGCTTTAAACGGGGCTTCAGGACTGAACTTAAGGGGGCAGGAAGGTGAACCTTAGAGAGCTCCCTTTCCATTTTCTTGCTTTGGACTCAACTTGCTTGTTGTAGGTTGCGCAAGGGGAATTTTTTTGTGAGGTAGGGGTGGGGATCAATATAAGGCATCTATTTTCTAGATAAAAGTGTAGGCCGGACGCGGTGGCTCACGCCTGTAATCCCAGCACTTTGGGAGGCTGAGGCGGGCGGATAACCTTAGGTCAGGAGTTCGAGACCAGCCTGCCTAAAATGGTGAAACCCCGTCTTTATTAAAAATACAAAAATTAGCCAGACGTAGTGGCAGGCGCCTGTAATCCCAGCTACTCGGGAGGCTGAGATAGGAGAATCACTTGAACCCGGGAGGCAGAGGTTGCAGTGAGCCGAGATCCTGCCATTGCACTGCAACCTGGGCGACAGAGTGAGACTCTGTCTCAAAAAAAAAAAAAAAAAAGTGGTTGTAATAACACAACAGTATCTTTTCTTTCCTCCCCCAAAGAAGCATGTCTGCTTGTGTTCTTACTTCTTCTCAAGAATACGGCCAGGGTCTCCACTATTTTAAGGAGAAGGGATATGAACAGGTTTTGTTTTGTTTTTGTTTTGAGACAGAGTCTCGCTCTGTTGCCCGGGATGGAGTGCAATGGCTAGATCTCGGCTCACTGCAGCCTCTACCTCCCGGGTTCAAGCGATTCTCCTGCCTCAGCCTCCCAAGTAGCTGGGATTATAGGCATGCACGATCATGCCAGGCTAATTTTTGTATTTTTAGTAAAGACGGGGTTTCACCATATTGGCCAGGCTGGCCTCGAACTCCTGACCTTAAGTGATCCGCCTGCCTTGGCTTCCCAAAATGCTTGGATTACAGGCGTGAGCCACTGCATCCAGCTGGAATATGAACAGGTTCTGAATTACTGAGCCCAATGCTCTGCCCTGAGACTCTTGCTCCTCTAAGAGCTTCTTTCCTGCCCTCAAACTGCCCGTTGAGAGCTTCTCAGTATCCTCCCTACTCCCCTTCCCTCGAAGGGCAAGCTGAATTTGGGGAAACTGCAGAATGAAGAGGGCCCTCTCCGAATGCCTCATCCTTCCATCACCCAGCTCCCATCACTACTGGGGAATATTTGGAAATGACCCTGCTTCAACAAGGGATCATCTCTCATTGCCTTCCACCCCTCCCCTTCCTAGCACTGGGCTCTTGCTCTGTGCTCTCTGGTTTCTCTGCATATTCAGAGAAGCACTTTGTTTCTCTGAATTGAGACTCTTACAACATCAAGTACAGAGTCTTTGCAGCCCCAGGAGAAGGCTTCTGTCTGCCAAGCCAAGTCTTGTTAAGAGTCCCACCCCACCTCCCTGCAAGTGCGGGTCCCAGGCAATCCCTCGCAAGGGAACAGAGGCATATCTCTGCTGCCCATGCCTGTGGTGGCCCCAGATGGAGAGAATTTCATCTTGGGGTATGCTTGGGAAACTTAATATCCAGCAGATTGAGTTTCTTTCAGTCTATTTAACATAAATTTGGGGAAGGGGATTTTTAACTCTGAGAACAAGAAAATATTTTAAAAGCATAAAAACTCTGGAAATGTGTAATGGGTGTGTACGTGTCTCTATATGCCTATGCAAGCACACGTGTGTGTGTATATATACATATATTACATATATACACACACAACTGGGGATGTGTCTATGTCTATATGTGTTTTTGTATGTGGTTAATTGCATGAGCTTCAGTGCCAGACAAACCCATACGTAAACCATGGATAACTCATTTAACCTCTATAAACCTCAGTTTTCTTCTCCATACAATGGGGGTTAATAATGCCTATTTCACAAGATTGTTGTATGGTTTCATTGAAATAACATATGTACAATGCCTAACACAGCTCATAGGACATAGAAAGCAGTCTATAAAAGGAAGTTGCTCTCAGTGTTGTTATTACCTTTATCATTACTTTAGAGAACTGAGCTTCGGCTTAAAGTCTGGGTTTGAAGACTAGCTCCCCCACAACAATAATACAGGACAAAATATGTAAGGCAACTATTTTCAGCATTGGACAACAGACAGCACAGAGCTGCAATTCCTAAAGAGAGTATTTTAGTTACTATGACTACATTACAAATTACCCCCAAAACTTAGTGAAGTAAAACAACCATTTATTAAGTTCACAGATAACTGTGAGTCGAAATTTCAAATAGGGCACATCAGTGCAGCTTGTCTCCATTCTACAGTGTCTGGGGCTGGCATCATCTGAAGTGTGTTTAGATATTTGGCAGTCGATGCTGGCTGTTGGCTGGTGGCCTCAGTTATTTTTCACATGGACCTATCCACATGGTCTGTCCGTGTGGGCTAGTTTGGGCTTCCTTATAACATGGTGTCTGGGTCCTGGGGATGAGTGTTGGGAGCGGGGAGAAGAGAGAGGAACTATATCCTTTTTATGACCTACTATTGCTTCTACTGCACTCCATTGGCTAGAGCAGTCACAGCTGCCTCCCAGGTTCAAGGGGAGGGAACATAGACCCCACGATTGCTGAGAGGAGTGTTAAAGTCACATCGTGAGAAGAACGTGGGAATGGGAGATACTGTTGTGTCGTTTAGGGAACAACCATCCACAGAAGGAAAACCCAGAAAGTGAGCCCCACAGTTGCCCCAGTTCTTTGCTTGGAGACAATTCCTGACTGCAGTGCGGGGAACTAGACCTCAAGCAGAACACAGCAGTCCTGCTGTGCTGAGTGACAAAGCTCAGCGTTCAGGGCTGTTGAAGTAGCTGGAATCTGTGGAGGGGTGCGTCACAGAGGAGGGAGCTATACTGAAGGGGGTTCCCATAAGTCTGTATGGGGTTCACTGCAAGTCCTTCCCTGGGGACTGTGCTAGCACGTGTAGGGTGAGACTGTGTGATGCTTACCAGAGAACAGCTGCTATGTGATTGAGAACAGGAAAAAAGACTGGAGAAGTTGAGCAGTTCTGGAAGATATTGGCAGTCTGGGCCAGCCAAAATGGAAAAAACTCTTTAACACCCTGGGCATCTATGTAAAACACCAGCAATGCCATGCTTTAGGTGTAAGCACCATGAACTAGAGTAAGACCTACTCTAACAAAGCTTGGAAATGAGTAAACATAAAACACTTATTTCCCTTGTCATAATTTCTGTAAAAGACAACTGGCTGCTTAAAGCAAAATAATAACATCATAAATTGGACTTTATTTTTATTTTTTGAGACAGCCATGGCTCACTGCGGCCTCAATCTCCTGGGCTCAAGTGATCCTCCTGCTTCAGCCTCCTGAGTACCTGGAACTACAGACACGCACCACCATGCCCAACTAATTCTAAAATATTTTTGTAGAGATGAGGTCTCCCCATGTTGCCCAGGCTGGTCTCAAACCCCTGGACTTAAGCAATCCTCCTGCCTCGGCCTTCCAAAGTGCTGGGATTAAGGCTGGAATTCTACTATTCTACAATAGTAGAATTTTATTTGCCCACCCCTGCTTCCCTTGGCCAGGTGCTGTGCCACTGTCATAACTACTTCTTTTACATGTGTTTTAAAGTCCAACTTAATGGCCATGCCCCCTTATGGCCATAAGTTGGACTTTAAAACACATGTAAAAGTAGCAGTTATGACAATGGCACAAGGCAAGCGGGGGCAGGTAAATGGAATTCTACTATTGTAAGATTAGTACATTTGTGGCTGGGCACAGTGACTCATACCTGTAATCCCAGCACTTTGGGAGGCCGGGGCTGGAGGATTGCTTGAGCCGAGGAGTTTGAGAGCAGCCTGGGCAACATAGAGAGACCCTGTCTCTACACATTTAAAAAAAAAAAAAACATTAATACATTTGTGAATTGGAATGTCAGTGTGAAGTGGGAAATGGGATGTGTCAAGTGGGAAGTGAGAGATGGAGGTTTCACTATGTTGGCCAGGCTGGTTTCGAACTCCTGACCTCAAATGATCTGCCTGCCTTGGGCTCCCAAATTGCTGGGATTACAGACTTGAACCACCATACTCAGCCTCTACAGACTAATTTCTGTGTATATATATTTGGATATCCTGGACATTTCATATAAATGGGATCATATTATATGTGGCCTTTTGGAACTGGATAGTTGGAAACTTTAACACCACTCTCCCAATAATGAATAGAAAAAATAGACAAAAAAAATCAGTCAGGATGTAGCAGACTTGAACAATACTGTAAACCTTCTTGACCTAATTGATGTTGATAGAAAACTACACTTGAGAACTCCAGATACACATTCTTTTCAGGTGCATATCAATAATTTACCAACTGAGACCATAGGCTGGGCCATAAAATAAGTCTCAGTTCATTTAAAAAATTTAAATTTTGCAAAAGCCTGGGTGTGATGGCTCATGCCTGTAATCCCAGCACTTTGGGAGGCCAAGGCAGGAGGATCATTTGAGGTCAAGAGTTGGAGACCAGCCTGACCAACATGGTGAAACCTCATCTCTACTGAAAATAGTAAAAATTAGCCAGGTGTAGTGGCAAACGCCTGTAATCTCAGCTAGTCAGGAGGCTGAGGCAGAATTGCTTGAACCCAGGAGGCGGAGGTTGCAGTGAGCCGAGATCACGCAGTTGCACTTCAGCCTGGGCAACAGAGCGAGACTCTGTCTCAAAAAAAAAAAAAAAAAAAAAAAAGCCAGGTGCGGTGGCTCATGCTTGTAATCCCAGCACTTTGGGAGGCTGAGGCAGGTGGATCACCTGAGATCAGGAATTCGAGACTAGCCTGGCCAACATTGTGAAACCCCGTCTCTACTAAAAATACAAAAATTAGCCAGGCATGGTGGTGTGTGCCTGTAATTCCAGCTACTCAGGAGGCAGAGACAGGAGAATTGCTTGAAACCAGGAGGCGGAGGTTGCAGTGAGCCGAGATCGCGCCACTGCACTCCAGCTTGAGCAGAGCGAGACTCCGTCTTAAAAAAAAAAAAAAAAATTAAATGTTGCAAATTATGTTTTCTTACCAAAACAGAACTAATTTTAAAATCAGTAACAATAAGACATCTAGCAGAGCCCCAGATATTTGGAAATTAAACAACACACTCCTAAATTACCCATGAGTTGATTCAGAAATCATCAGAGCAATGAAACTAAATAATAATGAAAATACAACATTTCATATCAATATTTGTGGGATGCAGCTAAAGTAGTGCTTTAAATGAAATTCACAGCTTTAAATTCCTATAGTAAGAAAGAAGAAAAGTTTTAGGTCAATGATTTAAGCTTCCACTTTAAGAATCTGAAGAAAGAACAAATTAAACCAAAACGGCACAGGAAAGAAAGAAATAATAAAAAACAACTGTGTGATCATAGAGTTCCTTCACTTGGCTGCGGTTTCCTCTCCTGTAAAATAAGAGGGCTAAATTTCTTAAATGACTTCTAAGATTCTCTCTAGCTCTAACACTGTTTGGCTTTGGTGTGCTTGTATGCTTGTGCCTCTATATATGTGTGTGCCTGTGTGTGTATATACATCATCTTCCTCTGTGTCCATGTCTGTCTGTCTGGATGTGCCTGTGTTCTCAAGTCTCTGTGTGTATTCCTGTACCCTGTGTACATGGCTCTGTGTCCCCTCTGTGCACACAATGTAACAAAGTTGAGGCCTTTCCAGAGTGGGCTTTGCCAGGGAGGAGATTAAGTGCTTACAAAGCTGTGTTGTGAACAAACAAGTTCATTGTTGCAACTTAGGAACAAGTTCAGTGGGCAACTTAGGAAAACTAGAGCTGCTCACAGCACTAGTAAGTAGGAAGAGCATGCTCTGCTGAGTTGCAAGATTGAGAATTAACAGATGACATCATCACCCTGTCCCCCACTCCCATTCCAAGCCAGACACTGTCCTGTGCTTGGGTAACACAGATTCCCAAGGGCTCTATCTATCATTTGCTTTGCTTGGACCTTCTTTAGAACAGCCAGGCAGGAGTTTCAGGACCTGCCTTCCACTGGGTGGTCTAGCTATATCTGTATAGCTACTCCCAGTGTGCCAGTACCAGGAGCTGGATAGTTTGTTTCTCCAGGGAGACACTGGAGCTTCTGTGGAGTATCCACCCCCAGATGCAGTGTCTGTTTCTCATACCCCAGAGCCATTCGTTTGACTTTTTGTGAGTCAGAAACCCAGAAGCCTGGGTGTGGAAGCCGTTCCCAAGAACTTAGCTCAGTGACTCATGGGTATAGGGTGAATAGAAGTGCAGAAGAGGCTCTGAAGGGTCCTAGAGGACCACAGTTGGTGGAAAAGCACTTGTCTAGCCAATTACCAGGATTTGGGTAGTGGAAGCATGACCCTAATAGCAGGGAGACATGGTTGGACAATATCTCCCTAAACCCACCCTTGATCAAGGCATTATTTTGTGCCCTAAACTTAGTCCCACAAGTCTAGTGAGAACCATGAGTCCATACGGTATAGTTATTTGGCATTAGAGAAAGAGTACAAGATGTGGTCTGGATAAAGACTAACTGGCTAGTGTTTTCCATCTTCCTTAAGGGCAGAAAATGAAAGGAGGGCTGGCCACAATGGCTCATGATGGCTGTAATCCCAGCACTTTGGGAGGCCAAGGTAGAAGGATCATTTGAGGCCAGGAGTTTGAGACCAGTCTGGGCAACATAGAGAGACCCCCATCTCTACAAAAATTAAAAAATTAGCCAGGCACGATGGCACATGCCTGTAGTCCGAGCTACTCAGGAGGCTGAGGTACAAGGATCACTTGAGCCCAGGAAGTCAAGGTTTGTAGTGAGCTGTGATCATGCCACTGCATTTCAGCCAGGGCGACGAGCAAGACCGTATCTCAAAAAAAAAAAAAAAAAAAAAAAAGGGAAAGAAAAAAAGAGTGAGAGAGAGAGAAAGAAGGAGCAGGGATTATAGCAAGAGGTATCTAGGTTACACCTAGACAGAACTTTGTGACTATAAGACTAAGGACAAAGGGGCTGGGTGCAGTGGCTCACACCTGTAATCCCAGCACTTTGGGAGGCCAAGTTAGGTGGATCACTTGAGGTCAGGAGTTTGAGACCAGCCTGGCCAGCATGGCAAAGCCCCATCTTTACTAAAAATACGAAATTAGCCGGGCATGGTGTGTACGCCTGTAATCCCAGATAGTCGGGAGACTGAGGCAGGAGAATCGCTTGTGCCCAGGAGGCGGAGATTGCAGTGAGCTGAAGTCATGCCACTGCACTCCAGCCTGGGCAACAGAACAAGACTCTGACTAAAAACAAACAAACAAACAAACAAACAAAAAACTGAAGGACAAAAGAAAGAAGGAGAAAAAGAAAGGGAGTCAGGCAGAGGGAAGGGGAAGCCTTTACCCAAAATAAAGGAAAGGAGCTGAGTTAACCCCACTGCCCTGAAGTCTTCACTAGCTCCCAGGAGCCAGAGGGTGAAAGCAGAGCATTCTGGTAGCAGATGTTTATCTTTACGCAGGAACATGCTTCAGTCCTGTCGAATGCCTCTGGCCTGTTAGACGACCTGTTCTGGCTGTGATGGAAAACAGGATCCCAGCCCCTATTTGAAAGCCAGAGCCCACTGCCTGAGCAACTTCTTTCCTCTGCTCTAACCCTGAACTTTCTTGTAAAGCAGATAAGAGAAATCCAGCCAGAAACACCCCAGTTTGACCTTTTTCTTAATTGAGAGTCAGCTCCCCAGTAGAGAGAGCAGCTTGGCCCTTGCCCCTTTAGTTTTAAAGCCTCTGAGTCACTTGTTTAAATGTAAAATAAAACATCCTAGGGTAGATGTCAGAGGATCAGATTAGAGTACTGGTTCTGTCACACACTAGATCACTTTGGTAAGACACTACACTCCCCTGAGACTTAATTTCCTCATCTTTAAAATGGGAATAGCAACACCTGTCCTGTCTATATTCTTGCAAGATCATTGTGAGATTCAAAGAAGGTGTGATATCTTTAAAAAGCTCTACAGTTGCCTGGGCTTATTGTGCTCCTGACTACCAGAAAATATTTTCATATGTAGAACACATCAAGGCAGAATACCAGCTATCATTCATCTTTTTTTTTTTTTTTTGTAGAGACAGGATCTCACTATGAGGCTGGTCTCGAAATCCTGGCCTCAAGAAATCTTCCTGCCCCAGCCTTCCAAAGTGCTAGGATTGCAGACGTGAGCCACTATGCCTTGCCATCCTTTGCATCTTGACTTGGCTAATAATGCCAAAGATACACTTGAATGATAAGCACAATCTCAAATAGTCACTATGGGAACTAAAATAATAATAAAATGTAACATGAGATGGAGTATATCATAGGTAAAGTGACAGTTTCTGCATGCATTTGGCAATTTTTAAATTCTTAATTTCATTTCTGCTGCTGAAATTCTGTGATATGGAGGATGTCTAAGAAGGTGAGTCCTGGCTGGGCATGGTGGCTCACGCCTGTAATCTCAGCACTTTGGGAGGCCAAGGTGGGCAGATCACCTGAGGTCAGGAGTTTGAGACCAGCCTGGCTAACATGGTGAAACCCCGTTTCTACTAAAAATACAAAAAATTACCCAGGCGTAGTGGCGCACGCCTGTAATCCCAGCTACTCGAGAGGCTGAGGCAAGAGAATCACTTGAACCCAGGAGGCAGAGGTTGCAGTGAGCTGAGATCGTGCCATTGCACTCCAGCTTGGGCAACAAGAAGCGAAACTCCGTGTCAAAAAAAAAAAAAAAACAAGAAGGTGAGTACTACACGCTCACCTACCAAATGTCCCTTCCAGCAATAAAGCTCCATGAACATAGAGGTAAAAATAACATTGTTAATGGGGCAACTGTCATAAAGCTTTCCCAGACCATCTTCTTAGATGTTGATGATGCTCCTGCGAGAAAGGTAAAACAGTATTCTTTCTCCCATTTTATACATTGGGGCACAGAAAGGTTAAGTAACTTTGTCTTAGCTTACACAGCTAGTCAGTTGCAGAAGCAGGGATAGAATAACGGATAGAGCTGGAATATATATTAGAGCTCTAATAATCTAATCTCCTGGCTGGGCGCGGTGGCTCAAGCCTGTAATCCCAGCACTTTGGGAGGCCGAGGTGGGCGGATCACGAGGTCAAGAGATCGAGACCATGCTGCCTGAAACGGTGAAACCCCATCTCTACTAAAAATGCAAAAAATTAGCCGGGCATGGTGGTGGGCGCCTGTAGTCCCAGCTACTCGGGAGGTTGAGGCAGGAGAATGGTGTGAACTCGGGAGGCGGAGCTTGTAGTGAACTGAGATCTCGCCACTGCACTCCAGCCTGGGTGACAGAGTGAGACTCTGTCTCAATAATAATAATAATCCAACCTCCTAATTTTATAGAAGAGGAAACTGAAGCTCAGAGAGGCACAGGACTTACCTAAGGACATACAAGTTAGCCATAGTACCAGGAATAAAACTCAAGACTCTCAGTCCAGTGCCCTTGCCCTGCCAGTTCAATGATGCAGACTTCCTGACTCAGGCCTTGGGTTCATTTTGCTGCACCTCATCACTGGTCCTGCCCTGCGCAGAAATGGCCAAAATTTCCCTTCCCTCAGGCACTAAATAGGCTAGGCTATATGCACCCTCCCAGGACAAGTCAGGACTGATGCAGGCCTAGAATCCCTAGCACTGTGTGATTCCACCAAGCTGGCTGGGTCCCAGGAGAACTAGTTCCATTTTACCCAGACTCCACAGCCACTCCCAGGGACTTTCAGAAGTGACTCCCCAGGAAAGTGGTCCCAGCCCTAACCAAGGGGGTAAGGCATGTTGGCACAAGCTTTTAGGCCAGAGTAGGGTGAGTCACCTAAGGGGCACAGCCTTCCAGCTTCCTCTCCATTCAGCTCAAGCCTTGGGCTCCCTAAGAGAGAGGACGGGTGGAAAATAGAGAAGAGAGAAAACCTGGTCCTTGAACTTCAAGGCCAGGAGGAGTGGTCTAGACTCTGCCTCCTTGAAGTGGGGCAGGAATGGTGCCAGGTAGAACTCAGAGAGTCCTTAAGAGAACCATTGAACAAGCCCCCAGGACAATGGAAGCCTAGAAGGAAAATGGCCCCCAAGAGGGTTTGTGGTCAAGCTGGGGTAAGAACTGGAGCTCCACCTCCCAGTTTTGTGTCTTCTCCTGGGATCCCTTTGTCATGCTGCCACTCCTCCACCCTGACCCCACACCCCTGCTCCTTCTACTGTGCAGAGTAGACCATTTCTCTTACCTTTGCAGGAGGAAACTGAGGCATGAAAAATGCCTCACAGAAGAGGGTTAGGGACACCTCCAGGAGCAGAGGGAGTTTCAACCCCACCACCTCCTCACCCGGGAAGTTGGATCTGCCTCCACTCCACAGAATGTGAGAGCACCCAGCCCTGACAGCATTAAGGAGCCCCTTCCTGTATGTGTTTTAAATTTTTTTGAATATACACATGTTAAGCATAAAAGTATAAGGGAGCCCATAAATCCTGATAATCCCTGTTATAATACTTCAGTGCTTTTTTTTTTTTTGGAAATGGAGTCTTGCTCTTGTTGCCCAGGCTGGAGTGCAGTGTTGTGATCTGGGCTCACTGCAACCTCCACCTCCCGGGTTCCAGCGATTCTCCTGCCTCAGCCTCCCGAGTAGCTGAGATTACAGGCACTGGCCACCATGCCTAGCTAATTTTTTGTGTTTTTAGTAGAGACGGGGTTTCACCGTGTTAGCCAGGCTGGCCTTGAACTCCTGCCCTCAAGTGATCCACCTGCCTCGGCCTCCCAAAGTGCTGGTATTACAGGCATGACTACGCACAGCCACTTCAGTGCTTTTATAGAAATACAAAATGTCAAATTCTTAAAATTTCTTTTTCTCATTCTTTCAGTGGCTCTGCTTGGCTCGTGTCCCGGGCACATGCTCATTCTGCTTACTGAGATTTTAACTCTGCCTTGCTACCTACAGGGTCCCAGAGGCGAGTTAGGAAGAAAGGCCCAGGACTTCCCCTCTGAGGGACCCCTGAAAAAGGCCCTCACCCCCAACCCCCATCCTGCCCTCCACCCCGTCTTGCCTGCCAGAGTACTAGGCACAGCAGCCCAGCCAGGAAACAAGAGACGCTGCCAGTTAATTTCCCCTCCCTCCCACTCTGTCCAAGGCTTCAGAGTTCCAGAACCGGAGCCAACTCCCTGATAAGGGCTGGGTGTGTTTGTGGAGAGAGGCACAAGGGAGTGCCAGCCATGCCGACCTGTGACCTGGTCTCTCCCAAGTCACTCACCTAGCAAAACTGCCTCTAAGGAGACATTAATTCCCTGGCTACCTTTAGAAAGTCCTCTGTCCATCCTCCCCAAAGGAAAGGGAGGGGACAAGGAAGAGAACCAGGCATCCAGCTGAGGTCAGGCAAGTCTGAGACAGAAGCACCTGAATTGAGAACAGAGGTGTAACTGCCATGTTCAAAGCAGTTCCCTTTTTACAGATGGATTGCATTCCAAAAGTCTGTTGTTAACGTTCCCTCTAAGGTAAATCAACCAGATCAATTGTTTATTGAGTATTTACTTTGTACCAGGCACTATGCTAAATGTGCATTCTTTTATTTAGTCCTTCTGAGAACGCTGAATAAGATCAAGAATAAATTGAACTTATTCTCACTTTGTGGATAAAGAAAGAGGGGCTTAGAGAGATTAAATAATTTGTCCCCAGCTGGCTGGATGTGGTGGCTCACGCCTGTAGTCCCAGCACTTTGGGAGGCTGAGGCGGGGGGATCACAAGGTCAGGAGATCAAGACCATCCTGGGTAACACGGTGAAACCCTGTCTCTACTAAAAATACAAAAAATTAGCCGGGCATCGTGGCAGGTGCCTGTAGTCCCAGCTACTCGGGAGGCTGAGGCAGGAGAATGGCGTGAACCCTGGAGGCAGAGCTTGCAGTGAGCTGAGATGGCGCCACTGCACTCCAGCCTGGGTGACAGAGCGAGACTCCGTCTCAAAAAATAAAAATTAAAAAAAAAAATAATTTGTCCCCAGCCATCTGGCAGAGTCAGGGTTGGGAATAGATTTTCATTCCCAAACCTGGTGGCTATACCGTGATGCCACACGATTTTGAGCAGGAAATAGCTTCCCAAATTAAGCCACCAGAACACTTTCAATCCATTATGCATCCAAAAATAGTGTACATTTGCAAAGGGAAAAAAGGAAACAATAGTTCTGAAATACTAATGAATTAATGCAGAAAAACAATGAAATGGACTAGGAAAGTTACGTAGAATGAGGAGTCTATGAAAAGTTACTTTATTGAGAAGAGGATGTGGAGGTTGCTGAAAATGAATGTGAATTAAATCCACAAGGGGAAGCTGGATACTTGCAAAGATTTAGGGGTTTGCTGGTCTTAGTATCTAGCTTCATTCCCAACTTGTGCATTTTCCTTGAGACAGCAGCTATGATTGGAATTATTTTGAGTTAAGAAATACAGCATGGTGGCTGGGCGCGGTGGCTCACGCCTGTAATCCCAGCACTTTGGTAGGCTGAGGCGGGCGGATCATGAGGTCAGGAGATTGAGACCATCCTGGCTAACATGGTGAAACCCCGTCTGTACTAAAAATACAAAAACAAAATTAGCTGGGTGTGGTGGTGGGCACCTGTAGTCCCAGTTACTCGGGAGGCTGAGGCAGGAGAGTGGCATGAACCCAGGAGATGAAGCTTGCAGTGAGCCAAGATCACGCCACTGTACACCAGCCTGGGCGACAGAGCGAGACTCTGTCTCAAAAAAAAAAAAAAAAAAGAGAGAAATACAACATGGTAGGCAAGGTGGCATGCAGCACCTGTAGTCCTAGCTATTCAAGAGGCTATAGGAGGGTCACCTGAGTCCAGGAGTTTGAGGCTGTGGTGAGCAATGATCATGCCAGTGAATAGCCACTGCACTCCAGCCAGGGCAACATAGTGAGACCCCCATCTCTAAAACATAAAACATAAAAAAGGAAAAGAAAAGAAAAAAGAAATACAGCAAAGAAAATAGGGGTAAGAGAAGAAGACAGAAAATTATTTCTGTATAGGTAACACAACAAGGAGGGGTAAAAATTGAGGCTATGTAGGTAGAAGAATTCTCCTTGTAGAAGAATTATGCAGCTGAGGCAACATTCTTTTTTATCCAAGGTGACATTTATGTAACTTTATCAGTGAGAAGGGCAATCAGGGAGCCAAGTGCATCGTCTGCCCAAAGGGTAGAACTGGTGATAGGTGAGAATAATAGTCACACTTTTCTCTCCACTGGCCTCAAATAACTTGATTACTGAGAGAACAGCTTCCAGGTGTGTTAGGGTAGGCAGAGTCAAAGGTACCTGGACCCTGAGATGTTCTCAATTATACCAATTTCCCCAGAGGAGCTCGTCCTGGTCCACAGCTTTATATCACCTACATGCTGAAATATTCAGGCTGCTGCTTTGAGCTCTAGGATCATACAGCCAGTGCCACTTTGAAATCTCCAAGGTAATCTTAAACCCACGCACCCCCATCTGTACCTCCTGCAGGCTTCCTCATACATTAAATAGCATCACCTTCCAAGCCAAAAACTTAGGAGCATCCTGGATTTCTGTCTTTCATTCCCCACCAATTAATCCATCAGCAGGACTAAAACAAACCTACACTTCTTATCCTGGCTGACAGCCCTGCCTCTCTCTCTGACTTCATCTCACGCTCTGTTTCTTCACACTTGCTGTGCTCCAGCCTTCCTTCTGTTCCTTAAACATGTCACTGTCATTCTTAGCCTAGGGCTTTTGGATTTGCTGTTTCCTCTGTCTGGAACACCCTTTCCCACCTCATTGCATGGCAAGCTTCTCATTCTTTAGGACTCAGATTACGTATCAGCTCCTCAGAGACTCAACTCCTTCCTGACCTTCCGATGTGAAGTTTCTTTAAATTATTCTCAGTCATATCACTTGGTTTCTTTTCTTCATAGTACCAATTTATGTCCTTTATTTACTTTTTTTTTTTTTTCTTTTCGAGACAGGGTCTTGCTCTGTCGCCCAGGCTGGAGTGCAGCTGCGTGATCTCGGCTCACTACAACCTCTGCCTCCCAGGTTCAAGTGATTCTCATGCCTCAGCCTCCAGAGTAGTTGGGACAACAGGTACCCACCACCACGCCCAGCTAATTTTTGTGTTTTTAGTAGAGATGAGGTTTCGCCATGTTGGCCAGGCTGGTCTCGAACTCCTGACCTCAGGTGATGTGCCCACCTCGGCCTCTCAAGGTGCTGGGATTACAGGCGTGAGCCACTGTGCCTGGTTTAGGGATGTCTTATTTTTTATTGTACCTAGCAGGGTACCTAGTACATTGCATTAATTAACGAATGAATAAAAGAAGCTTTCTAATTCAAAAAATACATCTTTTAGAGAGTCAAGTTTTTATATCAATTATAAGGTTAGTGGTAAGTGCATTTGTTGTTCTAGGACCTTTAATATAGCTACATTTGGGCTGGGCACGGTGGCTTACGCCTGTAATCCCAGCACTTTGGGAGGCTGAGGTGGGTGGACCGCCTGAGGTCAGGAGTTCAAGACTAGCCTAGCCAACATGGTGAAACCCCATCTCTACTAAATACAAGAAATTACCCAGGCGTGGTGGTGCATGCCTGTAATCCCAGCTACTTGGAAGGCTGAGGCAGGAGAATTGCTTGAACCCAGGAGGCGGAGGTTGCAGTGAGCTGAGATTGTACCATTGCACTCCAGCCTGGGCAACAAGAGCAAAACTCCATCTCAGAAAAAAATAAATAAAATAAATAAATAAATAAATATATCTACATCGGTGGGGAAGATAACTGTTTTTTTAAAAATCCAGAATTAGACAATTCACAACCCAGCCATGGCAGAGCTAGCACCTGATAAGCTCCTAATCAATACCAAAAGATATTCTAGAGAATGTAGTTGTTTCAGGATGCATATGAATAGTGTATATGCACGTAACGCATAACACATATTATAATAGCCACTCTGTATGGAGTCCCTCCTATGTAATAGGCACTGTGCTAAGTGCTTTATAAACACTCTTGCGATTAGTCCTCACACACACAAAAAAACCCCTGTAAGGTAAGTACTAGTATTAAGCCCACTTTACAGTTGAGAAAACTGTGGTTTAGAGAAGTATCTTACTAGTTGGAATTCAAACCTAGGTGGATCTGACTCCAGAGCCTGTTACTGTACTGCCTAGCATGTGCTGCTAGATTCCTACTGATGCCGTAAGATATGGGTAGGTACTACTGGCCCAGTTTTAGGCATAAGGAAGCAAAGGTTCAGAAATATTGAGTGACTTGCCTGAGATCATCAGCTAGTCAGTGGTGACCTGGAATTGAGTCCAGGTCCTTTTGACTTTAATCCCAGAACTCATTCTGCTATAGCTTATAGACCCTCTTGGGCAAAAGACAAGAGGTGAGACTGGGCAGGATGTATGTGCCCTGGGCCCTTGGGGACCAAGGGAGGGGAAAGGATGCTATGGAAAAAGCAGATATTCCTCTCTCCCGCAGGCATTCCTAGAGAAGTACGGATACCTCAATGAACAGGTCCCCAAAGCTCCCACCTCCACTCGATTCAGCGATGCCATCAGGTAGGGTGGAGGGATGTGGAGGACTTGGGGTAGGGGTGCTAGGATGCCAAGCTCTGACCATTTCCTCCCTCCTCCTGGAAGCCTGGCTGGCTACACCCCAGGGAGGCAGACTTCCCTGCCCTCACCCTTACCACTCACCCTCCCCTTGCGGTCCTTTCCTCCTGACAGAGCGTTTCAGTGGGTGTCCCAGCTACCTGTCAGCGGCGTGTTGGACCGCGCCACCCTGCGCCAGATGACTCGTCCCCGCTGCGGGGTTACAGATACCAACAGTTATGCGGCCTGGGCTGAGAGGATCAGTGACTTGTTTGCTAGACACCGGACCAAAATGAGGCGTAAGAAACGCTTTGCAAAGCAAGGTGAGCACTGTTAAAATCCGGCTAGGCCAAGATTTCCCAATGTCTTGAAGCCAATGGCTAGGAAAACAGCTGAGCCTGGGACTGGACTTTGTCAGTAACCTCTCTTCCCTAGGGCACGGGAGGAGTGGGTGAATAGGACCTCTTGGCTTGAGGACCATGATTGTGAATACAGACATTTAATTCAGAATGACACCTACATTGATGAATTTTCATTGTACAAGTGTTTTTCCAGATCAAACACAAAACCCATGTAATTCCTTGATAAATTTTCAATGCAGGGCAGATAAACTGTTGCTAACATTTTTCATTTATATTTACTGAAGTTATTTTCATCAGAATTCATTCTTTTTCATAAGTTATTAAACAAATGTGTGATCTATTGATTTACTTTGTCCATAGCATATTTTTAACCACTTTATTGAGATGTAGTTCACATCCCATACAATTTACCCATTTAAAGTGTACAATTCAGTGGTTTTTAGGATATTTGCGGAATTGTGCAACCATTACCACAATCTAATTCCAGAACATTTCATCACCCTGAAAAGAAACCCCATGCCCATTAGCAGTCATTCCCCCTTCTCCCCCTCCCCTAGCCTCTGGCAACCGCTAATCCACTTCTGTCTCAATGGATTTGCCTCTTCTGAACATTTCATCATAGCACAGTTTACACATTACAGTTTCTGCTGTCATGATTTTCCTCTTGTAACTTTATTTTGTTTCTTTCTTTTCTTCTCCTCCTTCTTTTAGCCAAATTTAATATTCCAGGGGTTAAATGGTACAGATCTAAGATTTATGAAGATTTGATTCTTTTGTCAGTTTTTCACAAATAACAAGTTTCACTATGCATAATTTTTTTTAAAGACAGAGTCTTGTTCCATCACACAGGCTGGAGTCAGTGGCGCAATCTCAGCTCACTGCAACCTCCGCCTCCTGGGTTCAAGCGATTCTCCTGCCTCAGCCTCACAAGTAGCTGGGACTACAGGCACATGCCACCACGCCCAGCTAATTTCTGTATTTTTAGTAGAGACAGGGTTTTGCCATGTTGGCCAGGCTGGTCTCGAACCCGCCTTGGCCTCCCAAAGGGCTGGGATTGTAGGCGTGAGCCACCGCACCTGGCCTACCGTGCATAATATTAACAACCTGATTGTTTTAACTAAGTCTAATTTTCTCTGCTCAATTTTTGCAGCTTTCAAGATTTCTAACAAGATGGGGGTTTTTAACCAGGTTTTCATCTATCATTAATTTTACTGTGAACACTTTGGGCCATTGCCACTTTTAATTTGTGTTGACTACTTTTACTGATAGTATTCATTAGGAACAGGACAGAAGGCACATAGTTTGTTCTCATTTCTTAGCTAACCTGTAAGGAAATTGTGGGCAGTTCCCCTTCACTGTTGGAGGGTGGCTGTTTCCAGGTGTTTGCCAAACCAATTCTGCTTCACCTATATGCCCAGCCACTCTGGGTCCTCAGTACTGACTGCTTGCTTTCCTGGTAAAGCAAGGAGTCAGCAATGGGGTCCGGCTCCGGAGTCAGGATGCCCTTGGTGTCAACATGTTCTGTGTCCCACCGTGTTTCTGGGCAATGGAGAGGAAGAGTGAAGTAGAAGAGCAGAGAGCTACGAGTTCAAGAGGCACTGGTAGAACAGAGAGCAGCATCCCTGGAGCCAGAGGCCCTGGGTTCAAGTCTCAGCTGTGTGGCCTGGGCCAGGTCACTTTTCTCACTGAGGCTCCGTTCCTTCATCCGAGACATAGGCCCTTCCAGGTTGCAAAGGAGAGATGGTCCTTGATTACCAGGTGGAAGGGGCTTGTTGTGAGAATGCAGTGGAAAGTGGGGCAGCCCCAGAAACAGTTCAGCAGCTGTACTTTGACCTGAGCTCCGGGGCTGCTTCCTTCTGGCTGTATCTCACCTTCTCATGCCCCAAAGGAAGGATCTAATAGAGTTCATCTGTCACTATACAATTTCGAGCATCTCTCTCTCTCTCTTTCTTTTTTTTTTGAGATGGAGCCTTGCTCTGTCACTCATGCTGGAGTGCAATGGCGCAATCTCAGGTGACTGCAACCTCCACCTCTTGGGTTCAAGCAATTCTTCTGCCCCAGCCTCCTGAATAGCTAGGATTACAGGTGCACGCCACCATGCCAGGGTAATTTTTTTTTGTATTTTTAGTAGAAACGGGTTTCACCATGTTGTCCGGGCTGGTCTCAAGCTCCTGACCTTAGGTGATCGCCCACCTCGGCCTCTCAAAGTGCTGGGATTACAGGCGCAAGCCACCGTGCCCAGCCAGAGCATCTCTTTTTGATAGAGGATAGTATTACTCAGTTGCCACATAAAATATAGGATGCCCAGTTAAATTTGAATTTCAGATGAACAACAGATAGTTTTTTAAAGTTAAAAAAAGAAACTTATCTGGCAGCTGGGCACAGTGGCTCACATCTTTAATCCCAGCGATTTGGGAGGCTGAGGCGGGAGGATCACCTGAGGTCAGGAGTTTGAGACCAGCCTGGCCAACATGATAAAACCCCGTCTCTACTAAAAATACAAAAAGTAATTAGCCTGGTGTGGTGGCACGCACCTGTAATCCCAGATACTCGGGAGACTGAGGCAGGAGAATTCCTTGAACCCGGGAGGTAGAGGTTGCAGTGAGCCAAAATCGCGCCACTGCACTCTAGCCTGGGTGACAGAGTGAGACTCTGTCTCAAAAAAAAAAGAAAAAGCCTGGGCGCGGTGGCTCACACCTGTAATCCCAGCACTTTGGGAGGACGAGGCGGGCAGATCATGAGGTCAGGAGATCGAGACCATCCTGGCTAACACGGTGAAACCCCATCTCTACTAAAAGTACAAAAAATTAGCCAGGCGTGGTGGGGGGTGCCTGTAGTCCCAGCTACTTGGGAGGCTGAGGCAGGAGAATGGTGTGAACCCGGGGAGGCAGAGCTTGCAGTGAGCCCGGATGGCACCACTGCACTCCAGCCTGGGTGACAGAGCAAGACTCCGTCTCAAAAAAAGAAAAAAGAAACTTATCTGGCAACCTCATTGCAGGTACCTGCTCCTCCTGCCTGCCTGCAGGCTTCCTGTTCCTTCACTAAGCTGGCGGAGGTTGGGGGCACCAGGGTGTATCCGGGGTGGAAAAGGAAGGAAGAGGGGAATGTATATTTATTGAGTATGCACTACACGCCCAGCAGCTCCACATTGCTGTCTCATTTAAGCCTCACATCTTACCATGGGAAAAGTCTTATCAACCCCATTTTGCACATAGGGAAACAGGCTTGGAGAGATTCCATAATTTGTTATGTAAGTTTGCAAGTAGAGGTACTGGGATTCTAACCCATGTTCTTTCCACAGTGTCAGTTCCCTGCTGGGAGTCGGAACTCCAGGGTTCTGCCCAGGCAAAGCTTTTAGTTCTCCTCCCCCTTCCCATACTTTTTCCTTCCCCCTTCCTTTTTGAACTTTGGAGCAAGGGTGTCAGGGAGTACAATGCCAGGTGCTGCTAGGGCCTGGGGGTCACCACAAAAACCAGCCCTCCCTGGCCAGGAGTTTGGGTCAGGGCCTGAAGCGGCTAGCTTTCTCCATGGGAGCAAATCTGGAGGGAGACAGGGGCAAGGGCTCAGACTGCTGGCCCCCAGCCAGGTCCTTTCTTCCTGGCAGGCACACCAGCGACACCCCCTCCCCTGGTCCTCTCAGGAAAACAGTCGTTTTCTCTCAATTCCCATTCCTATTCATCCTCCCTATTCTTCCCCCAAACACACACATGCACATACTCAGAGTTTCCTACAGGATTTTATTCTGAGACCTGTCACCTTCACTGGCGGCCTAGAATGAGAAAACTGCCCGCCACCCCCTCTTCTGCCTGTGAAGTGAGGGACCCCACTAGCTGCAAAGAGGCAGAAGGAGCCATCTCACACTATGCTAATGGATTAGAGGTTTGTGAGGGGAAAGAAAGAGCCTGGGAGACCGTCCCCCACAGCAAGGGCGTGAAAGAGCCCAGCGCCCATTGAAGACTCACAGTGTGCCCAGCAGAAGCATGACTGGTACATCACAAACCCTCAGCCGCACCTCTGGACCCCAGGTCTTCCCTCTGCCTTCTTTGTCTCCCTCCCTTCCTTAGAGTCATTCCCTCTCTCCTCGTTAAGGGTTGGTCACTGGCTGGGAGGCAGAGGTTGGGTGGCTGCCAGGCCAAACAGGCCCAGGGAGGCGGCATTGCCTTGAATGGAGCTTGGCTCAGGGGTGGGAGAAGGGATGTACCCCTCCCCCACTTGCATTGGTGAGGAGAAGAGAGTCCAGCTCCTCTGCTCTCCAAGACCCTCCCTTACATCTGGAGAATCTTAGTTCATGCTTTGACCGGCAGGAATGATGTTTGGGCAGATTTATAAGCCTGGCGTCCTGGCAAATGTGCCTGCCTGTCTATGTGGAATAATGGAAGAGCCCTGGATTAGGTGTCAGGGCCTGCCTCAGCTACTTACTCATTCCGGGACCCTGGGCAGGCCCCTTGTCCTGGGGTCTCAGGTCTCAGTTACCACATCCTTGGCCCAAGAGTCCTGCCTCCAAGCCGCGAGTCTTCCACTTGAGGTTACAATCCCAGCCCCTGAGTTTGCAGGGCTCAGAAATAGCCCACAAGAAACTCGGGATCTGGCCCTTCCGGCCATGCTGCTGCCGGGTGCACGCTGAGCTGCAGTTGGGCCCAGACTCAGTTGACGGGGGCTGGGGTAAGAGGCCAGAGTCTCAGCCCTCAGGGAGGAGTTGCAATTTGGGGCAAAGGGAGAGAAACCCTTAACAAAGCAGAGATGGAAAACTTTCTCTCAGTCAGTGACAAAACACACGCTTTGTTCTTATTTGTTTTCACCTCAGAGCTCTCCAGAGTCCCTGAGGAAGCGAGGAGGAGAGGGGCAGGAAAGAAACTCAAATGAATGAGTCTTGTGGTTGTTGGCTGGCCATAGGCCCCAGGCCCTGGAAAGGGCAGAGTGAAGTGTCTAGAGGTGGCAGGAGGGTGTGAGGCCTGAAGAGAGATGGTGGGGGGCAGGGGGAGTCACAGCTGTGGCCTCTGTGGCCCCACCTCTCCTCCACTCTGACACTGCAGGGAGGGGCTGGGATTTGCTGGTAGCAACAGACACAGAACTGTTTTCAGACTCAGCCCAGGCTGTGGGGAAGAATAAGACCCTAGACCAAGGGTTCAGACAGACTTCTTCAGATTGGGGGCTTCTCCTGGGCAGAGGCTGCTTCCCCTCCAACACACTGGGACCTCCACAGTCCAAGCCACTGTACTGGGGACTGTCCAGGGTAAGGGGAGTCCTCTCAGTCTGAGGGCTGCCCTCAGCCAGGCAGTATCGCCCCAGTCAAAGGGGGAGCTGCCCAGGGCAAAAACTGTGTCTTCCCCGTCAGACGAGGGGCTGCTGGGGGAGGGCCTACCCCTCGCCATCCTACTGGGTCTGTGGGGACCAGACTCGGGCTCTGCAGCAGGTGTGACTGACGTGGGCTTTCTGGGTGGCAGGTAACAAATGGTACAAGCAGCACCTCTCCTACCGCCTGGTGAACTGGCCTGAGCATCTGCCGGAGCCGGCAGTTCGGGGCGCCGTGCGCGCCGCCTTCCAGTTGTGGAGCAACGTCTCAGCGCTGGAGTTCTGGGAGGCCCCAGCCACAGGCCCCGCTGACATCCGGCTCACCTTCTTCCAAGGGGACCACAACGATGGGCTGGGCAATGCCTTTGATGGCCCAGGTGCTGGCACAAAGCCTCCCTCCCGCACAGCAGGAGGGGAACCCAACTTGGAGAAGCAGTTTGGGGGTGGCAATGAAGCATTCACCCTCCCTGTGGCCTTGGCTGAGGCACATCTCCCTGCAGAGAACCCTCAGTCTCCTCATCCTAAAATGGGAACAGTGGTCCCTGCCCTATTATGTGTCACATGTCTGAAGGGACAGTCAGATGAAGCTCTGCAAGGGAAGTGCTTTGCAAATTCTCAAGAGTATTATGCATTCTGGGAGAATCTCCCGAGGTTCCATCATCCATCCTCTGCCTCTAGACAGGCCTGTGCTTCTCTTGTTCTCCAGAGTGGATGTTCACTCCAGAGCCCTAAAAAACATCCACTGCCCACCACTGCTCCCCCACCCCCAACTACCAGAGCCGCTGCCACAGGGCAAGAGGCACCCTACTCCCGACAGCCCTGACAGGGAAGTGCTTCATATACCTACGCCACAGATAGTTCTGTTTGTCCCCAACCTGAAGACTCTGGCTGCAGTTTAAACCGCTCTTTTCCCCTTCTGCCTAACGCTAGCCTTCAGAACCTGAATATAGGCTGTTTGCACATTTCCCCTCCTAATGAAGAAAGGAAACCTAATCAGACCCCTTCAAGCTGGGGACTTAAGCCCTTGTATGGCCTGGGAACTTGAGCCCCCACCTCCCTCGCACCCTCCTGCTTTCAGTCAAGCCCACCTACAGCAAAGCCCACATCCAGGCCCTACTGCTGAGACCTGGGTTAGGACCAGGAGGAATCTAGGCTTTGCAAGAATCCACATGTAGTGCACACATGCACTTATTTGTAACTGACTTCATCCATGTGATCTACCTGACATGGTTCTATCCATACCTAGTTAAGACAGCACTGCACTGGGAGTAAGGACATCAGGATCCCCAAGCAGCCCTCTGATTTGGGACAGATACTTTGTCTTTTTGAATAGTGGTCTTCTCTCCCAAACCTGCCCATCCGTCTCCCAGTGAGAGTTGAATAGAGTGAACAATGCTTGAAACAGCTGGAGACATATTCAAAATAGGCATGTATTCCTCCTACATGCGGCTGACTTTCCATGCCCCCAGGAGGATCTCCTTTTAGTCTAGCACCCCCATCTTTGCCAGTCACAGTTGGCCTGGGGTCCAAGAAGGCAAAGCTGGAGGGACCCTCGACAAGCTTCTAGGCAAACTTTATCATAGTGCAGTTTTCTGACTCCTGTGTCAGGGTCACCTGCCGCTGTGGAAGGGGAATTGTTAGGGGTGGTACCCTGGCACCTGCACATCTAATAAGCTCCATCTGGGGCACACTAAAAGCTTGAAAATCACTGATCCAGCCCAACTACCTCTGCTCATTCCTATTAGAAGTAGAGAGAGGCCCCCCAGAGGTGCCCTGGCAGAGGAGGGCAAGAACACAATTTTATATATATATATATATATATATATATATATATATATATATATATATATATATATATATTCACTTCTATATGTATGTATATTTTCTTTAACAAAAGTATATATAAAATAATAAAAATAAAAATTATACTTTTTATTAAATAAAATACACATACATATAGAAGTGAACCATCTCAAGTTTAGCCTGATGAACTTTCATACACTGAATGCTCCCAGCACCCAAATCAAGAAACAGAAGGTCCCATCATGCCTCCTTTTAGGGGTAACTATACTCTACCTACTCCTAGATCTTTTTGAAAGTAATTCTTTTTTTTTTTTTTTTTTTTTGAGACAGAGTCTCGCTTTGTCACCCAGGCTGGAGTGCAATGGCGTGATCTCAGCTCACTGCAAGCTCTGCTTCCCGGGTTCACACCATTCTCCTGCCTCAGCCTCCCGAGTAGCTGGGACTACAGACACCCGCCACCACGCCTGGCTACTTTTTGCATTTTTAGTAGAGACAGGGTTTCACCGTGTTAGCCAGGATGGTCTCAATCTCTTGACCTCGTGATCCACCCGCCTCGGCCTCCCAAAGTGCTGGGATTACAGGCGTGAGCCACCGCACCCAGCCTGAAAGTAATTCTTAAGTGGCCCTTATTACGTGCTAGGCACTGTTCCAAGGATCACTTTTTTGTTGTTGTTGTTTCGTGGTTGTTGTTGTTGTTGTTTGAGACAGGGTCTTACTCTGTCACCCAGGCTGGAGTGTAGTGGCGCAATCACAGCTCACCGCAGCCTTGACCTCCTGGGACTCAAGAGAGCCTCCCACCTCAGCTTCCCAAGTAGCTGGGGCTACAGGTGCACACCATCACGCCTAGCTAATGTTTTTGTTTTTTAGTGGAGATGAGGTCTTGCTTTGTTTCCCCAGGCTGGTCTCGAACTCCTGGGCTCAAATGTTCCTCCCACATCAGCCTCCCAAAGTGCTGAGATTATAGGCGTGAGCTACCACACCCTGCTGCATCATTTGTAATACACATGTACACACACACACACACACACACACACACACATTTATTATTCAGAACAACTCTGTGAGGAAGAAGCTCACCATCATCATTCCCATTTGCAGATCAGGAAGTTAAGACATAGAGAGGTTAAGCTAAATGCTGAAGGTCATACAGCTAGTAGATTGTAAAAGTAGGAATGGCACCCAAATTGGTGGGCCCATGCCATATCTACACCACAGTGCCTCTTAGGCGTCCACAGCCTACTCATCGTCCACTGCACTACTCACCTGAAGTAGTGCAGAGCCTACTGTTCACCTCTGCACACTTCAGGTTCTGCCAGATTTTAGGAGGGAAACTATACAGCAGAGAACAGCCACACACACCCCAGTGGCATTTGCGCTGGGCCGCGAGTACCTGGGGGCGTCGTGGGCCGTGGCACCCCCTGACCTTCTGCCCCACCTGCAGGGGGCGCCCTGGCGCACGCCTTCCTGCCCCGCCGCGGCGAAGCGCACTTCGACCAAGATGAGCGCTGGTCCCTGAGCCGCCGCCGCGGGCGCAACCTGTTCGTGGTGCTGGCGCACGAGATCGGTCACACGCTTGGCCTCACCCACTCGCCCGCGCCGCGCGCGCTCATGGCGCCCTACTACAAGAGGCTGGGCCGCGACGCGCTGCTCAGCTGGGACGACGTGCTGGCCGTGCAGAGCCTGTATGGTGAGGCCCCGGGACATGCCCCGCTCTTGGTCCCACTCCTGCCCCCAAGGCCTCCTGTCCTTGAACGCCGGCTCTGCAAATAGGATTTCCCATCCTAAGCTCATAGATCTGGCCTCCCTGTCGCCGATTCGTCCCAATTCTAAAGCCCTATGCCCCTCCTCAAATCTGAAAAACCTCGGATTCTTGCTCCCCCGAGTCCATGGCCCTCATCTCTCCATCAGTCCCAACTAATTCCTGTGCACAGTACCCCCAACCCCGCCCCTTGCGTTCCACTTACTGGATTTCTGCCCAACCCCCAGCCCCCGCAGCTCCCGCTCACACCATGTGCCCGCCCCATCACCCATACCCAATCCTTGGGCCCACCTCTTCCCCCATCCCGGACCCCAAAGCCTTCATTCCTGCCCCAGCCACTAGCTCTCCCCGAGCCTTTCTCTCACCACGATGCTGATGCCCCCTATCCCCAAAGCCTGCCCACCTCTGCCTGGTGGTGGGCTCAGACCAGGTCTTCTTCCCCAGGGTGGGCCAGTGCTACTGCCCTGGGATCTATCTCAGCCCAGGGCTGTCTCCCTCAGAGTGCCATGGGCAGAGCCAGGAGGCCTGGGTTCAAGTCACCTTCCATCCCTGATTAGCAGATGCTCTTGGGCATTTTCCCTCTGTGAACCCTCAGTTTTACCTTCTGTGAAAAGAGATAACAACTGAGGTCCTGCTTACCTGACAGGGCTGTTGTGCTACTGGGTATGAGCATGCTTTGTAGCCTGAGAAACTTATACCCTGTAATACTAACAGCTACTATTTCATGAGTACCTACTGTGGGCCAGGCACTTGACATGCAACACACCCATGAAGTATGCATCTTTTTGTCCACAGATCAAGATAATGGGGCTCAGAGAGGTTAGGTAACTTGCTCAGGGTCATGCAGCTAGGAAATTGCAGACTGGGATTCAGGTGATGGTACCAAATAATAAGCTTGTTGGACTCTGCTTCCCTCCTCTCATAAGTGAAGGATAGTGATGTAATTATTATAATTGCTGTAGTTATCACAGCCTGGGTCTCTGGACTCTGCCCTCATGACACCTGTGTTGCCCAGGAATCAGAGAAGAGGACTCCCTGACCCGCTTAGTTCCCTTGCTTGATACCCCACTCCAATTTTATCTCAGGAGGTTCCTCTGTCCCAGGATGTTGGGTAGAAGAAGATTCCTGAGTTTAGTTTGATGGTTAGCACCAACAACCAGGAACAACTCTTTTTTTTTTCTTTTTGAGACGGAGTCTCGCTCTGTCACCCAGGCTAGCGTGCAGTGGCATGATCTCAGCTCACTGCAACCTCCACCTCTCGGATTCAAGCGGTTCTCCTGCCTCAGCCTCCCAAGTAGCTGGGACTACACGTGTGCACCACCATGCCTGGTTAATTTTTGTATTTTTAGTACAGACAGGGTTTCACCATTGGCAAGGCTGGTCTCAAACTCCTAACCTCAAGTGAACTGCCTGCCTCGGTCTCCCAAAGTACTGGGATTACAGGTGTGAACCACCATTCCTGGCCCAGGAACAACTCTTAACCCCCACTCCCACTCTCCTTCCTTGCCCCTCATATTAGATAATCATGAAAGTAACCAAGGGAAGGTCTTGAGTGCACAGCATACCCTCTACCCTATGTGTGTTCTCTCTCTCTCTTATTTCCTTACTCACAAAGGGAAGCCCCTAGGGGGCTCAGTGGCCGTCCAGCTCCCAGGAAAGCTGTTCACTGACTTTGAGACCTGGGACTCCTACAGCCCCCAAGGAAGGCGCCCTGAAACGCAGGGCCCTAAATACTGCCACTCTTCCTTCGATGCCATCACTGTAGGTAAGAAGGTCCCACTGGTGCTTTGCTTCTTTCTCTCCTTCCATATCTCTTAGTGTCTCCAGAGCTGCAGTACAAGTTGGGGGGATGGACTGTAAAAGCCAGAAATCCCAAGCCACAAGCACGCTGCAGGTAGCAACCCCACACCCAGCAAAACACCGCTTCTTCCTGCCCACTTTCCCCTCTGCGCCAACTGTACACACCATACCCTATGCTTGTCCATTTGGGAAACTGGCTTCCAGGACAGCATCTTTCCTGGAAAGACAGCAGGAAGCTGATGGTCACTCCTCAACTCTCTCTTGTCTCTGGGCAGACAGGCAACAGCAACTGTACATTTTTAAAGGGAGCCATTTCTGGGAGGTGGCAGCTGATGGCAACGTCTCAGAGCCCCGTCCACTGCAGGAAAGATGGGTCGGGCTGCCCCCCAACATTGAGGCTGCGGCAGTGTCATTGAATGATGGAGATTTCTACTTCTTCAAAGGTACTGGCTCTGGGGCAGCGGGGAAAACTGAGCCCTAGAGAGGGAAGGTGTCCTGCCCAAGGTCAAAAGAGGACAAAAGAGGGGAAGACTCTCACACGAGTCCATGGTGGAGTCTCCATTCCAATCTGAACCTGTGACCCCAGGGAAGACTCTATCAGAAGATACCTTTCAGGGATGGATTAGGGAGCAGCAAGTGTCAAAGTCCCAGGGAGAGTTTCAGAGAGGAGTCTAGAGGGAAGCAGAGGACTGCTCTGGAGTTCTGCAACTGAGCAGAAAGCTGGATCTTCCTTGGAATCCTAGCTGTGTGGGGTTGGACGTGTCGCTTAACTTTTGGAGTGTGCATTTCTCGAATGGGGAAAACAATACCTCACACTTGCTGGGGAAGGAGTGTGAAAAGAGAATATTGCCTGAAGAGTGTGCAATATCTTACTAGATACATGTTAATACTTAGGTAAATAGTATTCATTCATTTGTTCATTCATTCAACCAATATTGAGTGCCTTGTATGCACTAGACGTGGTTGGATATGTTAGGGATACAGCAGTGAATGAAACAAAAATCCTTGCCCTCATAGAATTATTAGTAATGATGGCAGTGGAGAAAGCTCTGGGCCTTCCTTTCGGGGCTATCTGCCCTCTGCTGACACCTGCTGGGAGTCTAGACAATAAATAATAGGAGTTGCTACTACCACCCTGCTATTTATAACTAATTTGTAGTGCAATCCGTTTGATTGATATGAATACCAACCATCGTGGGCTCCAGCTTAAAGGAGAGCAGAGGTATGGGGGACAGAAGTGGGGTAGAGGGCCAATGGGTGACAGCCTCCAGCTCACCCTGGCTCTCCCAATTCCCCACAGGGGGTCGATGCTGGAGGTTCCGGGGCCCCAAGCCAGTGTGGGGTCTCCCACAGCTGTGCCGGGCAGGGGGCCTGCCCCGCCATCCTGACGCCGCCCTCTTCTTCCCTCCTCTGCGCCGCCTCATCCTCTTCAAGGGTGCCCGCTACTACGTGCTGGCCCGAGGGGGACTGCAAGTGGAGCCCTACTACCCCCGAAGTCTGCAGGACTGGGGAGGCATCCCTGAGGAGGTCAGCGGCGCCCTGCCGAGGCCCGATGGCTCCATCATCTTCTTCCGAGATGACCGCTACTGGCGCCTCGACCAGGCCAAACTGCAGGCAACCACCTCGGGCCGCTGGGCCACCGAGCTGCCCTGGATGGGCTGCTGGCATGCCAACTCGGGGAGCGCCCTGTTCTGAAGGCACCTCCTCACCTCAGAAACTGGTGGTGCTCTCAGGGCAAAATCATGTTCCCCACCCCCGGGGCAGAACCCCTCTTAGAAGCCTCTGAGTCCCTCTGCAGAAGACCGGGCAGCAAAGCCTCCATCTGGAAGTCTGTCTGCCTTTGTTCCTTGAAGAATGCAGCATTGTCTTTGTCTGTCCCCACCACATGGAGGTGGGGGTGGGATCAATCTTAGGAAAAGCAAAAAAGGGTCCCAGATCCCTTGGCCCTTTCCTCCGAGGACTTCTATCCTCCCCAGGCCTTTGTTTCTTCGGCTAAAGGTACAGTTCCTTTCAAGAGGTAACAGCACTGGGATCCAAGCAGGGGGATGAAAAACTCAGCAGAGAAATTCGAGACCATTTTGCAAGACTGTGCCCTTCTCCTCAGGACCCCCTGGCTCAGTTCTTGAAAAACGGTGTCATATTTAGTCAGAGGCCCCACCCCCAGGAAGCATGGATGGGGATGAAGGCACAGGCGTCTCCAACCTCAGAGGCCCTTTGTGGGGTCAGGACACAGAGTGGGAGGGAGACTGATGCAGGCCTACCAGTCCCTGGCTTTTTGTCTGGGGCTGGAATAAAGAGGTGCCTTCAGCTGGTGGGCCGAGAGGCAGGAAGCAGCCTTCCTTGGAGCAGTTCTTCCATCCTTTGCTGTGAGAGCAGGTGGGCATGGGTGCAGGGGAGGCCAGGGCCATGCTCTTCCATCCAAGCCAGGGCTAGGCAGCTGTGTGTGTGTGTGCAGAGCTGTGATGGAGAGAAGGGGCCTGCCTCTCCTCAAAAAGCAAAATGTCCTTGCAGCTCCAGGCCAGATGGAGAATGATGTGCAGCAGGGAGAGGTCAAGGGGCCTTCCTGGGGCTCTGCAACGCTGCAGGCGCTGGGGATGCAGCCTCCACAACAGGCAGCCCTGCAGGCTGAGGGTGGCCTTGTGCTCTCACAGTGGCCGCATTCTCCAGGCCACACACGAGGCATTCCCAAAGCTCCTGCTGTCTGGCCAAGAATAGCTGGGATTCCT